>NC_000001.11:111978077-112281107 GCF_000001405.40 Homo sapiens | reverse complement strand
CTCTTCCTGCATCCAGGGCACTGTCTCCATGGAGACTGGAGGAGCTCATCCTCTCCCTCCTCTTCTGTCTTCCATTCTGTGTTGTGTGGGGGAGCTATATAGTGGGTTCCAAGGGGGAAGAATTAACACAGAACCCACAAAGAGGGAATGAAAGAGGGACACTGAGTGTGAGAGGACAGAGCATAAGCTAAGAGTGTGAGGGTGATGGGGATACAGGGCACATGTGTCATGGGGGCAGAATCTGTTCAGGGGCAGCTTTCCGAGGGCAGGCAGGGTGGAAATGCTATAAATAATGGAAGAGACAAGAACGGATAAAGATTTGAATGTGTGTTTGAAGTAGACAGCATGGGAAGTTCAGAGGTTGTGCTCCAGTAACAGGGAGAGGGAACAAATAAATATCTGCCAGTGACATGCTCTGTGATAGGCAATATGCATACGTTTCCTCAGTTAATCCTCACAATTCCCCTATGAGGTAGGGAGTGTCAACTCATCTTACAGCTGAGTGTGCTGAGGCTCAGAGGGATGGAGTGGCTTGCCTAAGGTAATCAAACCAAGTAAATGGAGAGTTGGATTACACCTAAATTTGCCTGTCTCCAAAGCATGAGTTCAGAGAGGAGAAGTGTAGATGCTCAAACTTTGTCTCAGTGTTTAAAGAGGCTAACTCCATGTTGATATAAGTAATGCAGGTGGGAGTGTCTTCCTTCCAATTGCCCAGTCTATAGACTTTCTGTATAGAGGAGAAAACAGACTATCTGGAGGATATGAATGACTTGCCGGGGGAAACACATCACCGGTCCAACTTGATTTTCCAAGTTGGTTCTTGGAACCAGGTTCTCTTATGATGGAACACTCCCCTAAATAGAGGAGGGCAAATCCTTCCAATGCCAAACAGTTGGGGCAGAATTTCCAGGATATGAAGAAAACTAACTCCCCACATCCATTTTTTTCTTTTCATCTGGAAATGTGAAGCAGTTATTGATAACCACTAGAGTGGAAAGAGACCAGGCCCAGGAGACATGACATCTGAATTCTAGGCTTGCCTCTGACACTGTCTCTCCTGCACCCCTTTCTCCTTTGAGTAAACAGAATCCTCCTTTCCTGTGGGGAACTTCTTCCATGAGGTTTTGATGAAGCTACTCCACGGTCATTGTCAGTAAGGGCCCTGTCATCCCCGTCAGAGCTGCTGGTCACTGTCCAGTCAAGTGTGGAGATAAAGAGAGAGACAATTCTGACAATGTTGGAGCACTTAGATACTGATGTGGTGGATTCTGTATGTTTCAGTTATATGATTCCACAAGTAACAAATTATTTGCAAAGATGACCCCAGTATTTTCTCCCATCTTTGTGTGCATGCTTTTTTGCAATGAGATTTTGTCTCCTCCCATAGACAAATAGAGTCAATTTTCCCTCCCCTTGAATCTGGGATAGCTTTGTGACTTGATTTGACCAATAAAATGTGGTGGAACTCGCACATCTGGCTTCTAAGCTTTCATTTCAAAAGGCCCTGAAGTATCAGGTCTCATCCACTGGGCACCCTGAGACCATCATGCTGTGAAAAATCCTGATTTAGTCCCCTTGAGGATGGAAGAACACATGGAGAGAGGGACCCAGCCAACCCATCAGGTTAATGAAGCCACAGTGAGCTCAGGCAAGACTGGAAGAACCATCTAGTTAATCCACAGAATAATGAGGGACAATAAATCGTTAATGTTTTTTAGTCACTAGTTTTGGGATGGTTCGTTATGCAGCAATAGATAATTGATTCATGAGAGCACAGTCACCAACTTACCCTGTGACTTTGTGTATCAATCACAGTTCTTGACTTAAGCAAAACAAGATCAGCTTTTGCTAATTTGATCTGTATAGTAATTTATCTAAAGGATATTGAATCATCAGAACGGCTGAAATACTATGATCAGAGCTACTCAGACAGAAACATGTTCCTAAATTTGCCGCCATCAGCATCCCTCCATGGTTATGCCACAAGTTCAACTGTGTTCGGTTGTGATGCCAGAGTGACAGAGAATCCTTTACTATCCTTGCTTCTTTGCATCACTAGCTTCTGATTCAGTGTCGAGGGTGGAGCTTCTGATTGGACAACTCTAGGGCAAGTGTCTGCATCCTAGCTACAAGGGAATCTAGGAAAGTAAATATCTGTCATTTCAAGCTGTTATAATGGGAGGCAGACTTGTAAGATGGTGATTTTTCCAAATGTAGAAAGCGAGCCAAAAAACAATGACCGACATTCTCTATAGTCCACCCATTTTCCAAATCATCAATGCACCCCATTCTTTCCATATTCATATTTCTGAAAGAAAAATTTTCTTCCTAATAGAATTCAGTTATCTCCTGCTTAATCAAAGCCAGCTCATCTTCTCTCTAGATTCTCATCAGATACTGCATCTAGCTTCAAGTTTAGGATCTGTGGTTGATATCTATTTATCCTCTAGCTCTGGCATGTATTTGCATTAATATTCTGTAATTTATAGAATAAATTGTGAACCTAATCACAATGAACATATCCTACATGAAAACACGAGGCAAATGGAAAAAATGGAGCATAACATTTGTTGAAATACATAAACATTTATATAATACAACATAGAAAATAATTCACATAGGTACTCCTGTCCTTGTTTTCACTTAGTTGAAATATAGATATATTTTCGCTACAGTTGATATTTAAGATTTCCTTCTTGATTAACTTGTCCATGTTTCCTTTATTTTCACTCAGTACTCAGTTCTAGTTTTTACAATTGGTGGGTCGATGCAACATTCATTTTAGAGGGATTTGATCTCTTAGTAGTTTTATCTATGTGAGGTTGCAATGGTCTTCCATCAGCCATTACCACTGGAAGTGGAGATAGGTCACCCTAGGAGATCCCTTGTGTTCAATCCATACTCTTTTGTGGCCCCAGTGTATTGCAGCAATCCTATTTCCCCTTGATGATCTACAGCAATTGCTCCAGTAATCCTTTTCTGGGGGGAGGGCCTATTCATTCAGTGGGAATAGGAGCCATAAATGGTTAGGTTGGACTCAGCTTGCAATTCAATGAACTAGTTGTTGTGTTTCCTAGTAGAAGCCTTCTTCCTTGGATGCTAAAATTTCTAAGCCTGCAATATCCAGAGTTATAAGGATTGGAAGCCAAAGCTTTACTAATGCATCATTTAGTGTAGCAGTTAGATGTATCATCCCACTTTCA
This sequence comes from Homo sapiens, assembly GCF_000001405.40. NCBI lineage: Eukaryota > Metazoa > Chordata > Mammalia > Primates > Hominidae > Homo > Homo sapiens. The sequence continues at coordinate 112,277,904 of NC_000001.11, read as the reverse complement.
CCCTTTGGTTTCTGGAGTCATGATTTCTGGCTAGCTAAAAAACAGTATTATTATTGTTTTTAATTTTTAATTTTTGTAGGTACATAGGTGTATATATTTATGGGGTACATGAGATACTTTGATACAGGAATGCAATACATAATAATCACATCATGGTAAGTGGAGTATCCATCCCCTCAAGCATTTATCCTTTGTGTTAGAAACAATCCAATTATATATATTCTTTTAGCTATTTTTAAATATACAATTAAATTATTATTGACAATATTCACCCTGTTGTGCTACCAAATACTAGGTTTTATTCATTCTGTGTATTTTTTTGTATCTATTAAGCATCCCCACTTTCCCTCCACCCCCTGCCACTACCCTTCCCAGCCACTCATAACCACCCTTCTACTCTCTATCTCCATGAGTTCAACAGAAACAGCATTTTGATGATTCAAAGAATATACTTCATTCTTCAAGACAGTACCTCAGCCATGGAAATGGGTTGAGTGAGGAGTAGCAACACATTAGGAACAGGCATACTGGGAATATAAGCTTATGAAATTCACTTGTACCATTAGGACTTACTTAAGCCTGACCTGCTTGTATCATTTCCATAGATAATGATGTGCTGCTAAGCCTGCCTGATTTTATAAGTAGGTGGATCGATAATACCCTGTTCAGGATGAGTAGTCCAGGATGCATGATTATCTAGTGTCTGATGATCACTCATTCACTCTCAGCCAGGGCCTAGTAGCAAGCTAACAGCTATTTCTTTTAAAATCATTATTTTTAAATTGACATATAATAATTGTATGTATTTATGGGGGACAATTTTGATATATGTATGCAGTAGTAACTTGCTGAAGAAGATCTGGCTTTCTCCAAAACCTTAAGAGGCTTATTCTATGATTCTCCTATTCAACCTTACTTCATACTCCATATAGTACCCTGAGCTGCCAAAAGTACTTCAAATGTCATTGGATCTTATGGATCACAAGGGCCAAGTGAAGAGGTGCTTATATTACAGCCTGAACCAGTTGGAGAGCCCTCTTTACCTCTGAATTTTGCTCAAAGTTGTTAACCTTGCTGGTTTCAGGGAAAATGAACTGGATCAGTAAACAAAATATGGTATACATTACCTCCAAAGCCCAAGGAGATCCTTGCAATGTTATGCCATTTCTCTTCATTGTAAGAGGTACAGAAAGTTGTCTTATTTTAGAAAGAATGACCTCCACCATTGGACCCCACCCACTAATTGGGCTTGTGGTCCAATTGGGCCTACCATGAGGTGGACTTAGGTAAACCCTCATTTATTGCTTGTCTCTCATTAGTACCTGCTCACACCACAGTAGTGTTCTGAGTCTTCAGATTTTGCTATTTTCTTACAGCCAGTATCTGATATTTTCAGGAAGACACTGGATATTTACTTTCCCCCAGGACATAGATACTCTGGTAAATGGCTGCAGGACTCTTTGGGAGACTTCTGGGAGAAAGATTAAAGGTATAGCTGCCATGTAATTGCAGGGTTCTTACTGAAGGGTACTCATCTTCCTCTTCCTACATGGAGAACTGAATCTGAATGAACTGAGGTACAGGGATTGAATGAAGAGCCAAGTATCAGTAGGACATTTTAAGCTTCAATAACAGAAAATCTTGACTCAACTGGCTTGAAAATTAAAGAAAATGTACATTGCATAAAGAAATGCGTGCAGACTAAGATGTACAAGAGCTGGTTAATTCAAAAGCTCAAAAATATCACTGAGGACCTGGGCTCCTTATATTTCTTTGCTCTGCCCTTCCCAGTGTCTTGGTTTGCTTCCCTCTGTGGTTGCAAGTGGGCTTCCACCCTGGCTGTGGGGACCACATGCAGTTAAATTATGTCCAACATATGAGAGACTATTCCTTCCTTAGAGTCTGTGTTTTGGAGGAAGGAATTCTCTCCTGGAAGTCTCAACTGGACTTCTGTTAGAAAGGAGGAAAAAGTATTGGTGAGTAGTTTATTGGATGGTAAGTGAACAAGGTCTGCTATCAACTGCAACTCTCAGTCATGAAGACACAAGTCAGGACTCTATTCATCAGGCCTGTTAAATCAAAATAAAGACTTTACTTATATGTCCATCTCTTTTACTCTTGGGACTCCATGAGCTGCCATGCCAAAGATCCGTATGGGCTTGTATTAGTCAGTGTTCTCTGGAGAGACAGAACCAATAGGATATATCTATAGATATATGAGAAGGGATTTATTAGAGAAATTGACTTACATGATTATGGAGGCTGAGAAGTTCTATGACAGCCCATGTGTAAATTGAAGACCCTGGGATTCTGGTAGCGTTGCTTAGTCCAAATCTGAAGACCTCAGAACCAGGAAGCCAATGCTGTAACTCTCAGTAACTCTCACCATTCTCAGTATGAAACCAAAGGCCTGAGAACCCAGGAGGTCGCTGATGTAAGTCCTGGAGTCTAAAGGCCAGGGAGCCTGGAGTTTTTGTCCAAGTCCAGGAGAGGAAGAGTGTATCCTGGTTTCAGTAGATAGATTGACATATTCACCTTTTTTCCCACCTGTTTTTGTTCTGTGTCCCCAGCAGATTGGCTGGTGCCTGCACAAATTGAGTGCAGATCTTCCCCACCTATAATCCACTTAGACTCATGTGCTAACTTCCTCTGGAAATACTCTCACAGACACACCCCAAAATAATGTCTTACCAGATTTCTAGGTATTCCTTAGTCAAGTTGATGCCTAAAATTAACTTTCACAGAGTCAGCCCATTCTGATTATCAGGCTGGTCAGCTGCCTCTTCTGGTAGCCAAGCTCTGATAATTACTGCTCTTCCCAGGCCTGTGCTACTTTGTGATTTTTCCCAGACAAATTGAAATCGTGCATCTCATTTCCAACTATATCATCTTTCTACTAGCATTCTTGGCTTACAGAGAATAGCCATGCTTTTTATAAAGATGTTGGCACTACTGTCACTAATGTATTTACCATTGCCTTAATGAAGGTAGTGTGTTTTGGGTCCTCTTGGGAGATACAGGAGGTGGGGAAGCACTTGTAATAAATCCGCTCTAACATTGCTCTCTCCCTAGGTCTTTGAATTTACTTTCTCTAAATTATAGCTTGTAATTTCTGGCATCTTGGCTCATTGGAGCACTAATGTACTGTACCATGGAGCACTAATGAGTCCAGGTTTTTGTCAACTCACCCAGCAAACAATTAAAATAACTAGATGCTCAAGCTAGTGCATCAAATACAGAATTACTGCACATATCAGCATATCAATAAACTCAACTTAATCTAAAAGTATGCTTTTCCCTTGTTGGTCTAATACCCTCAGAATCTACTCCCTCACATATTTCTCAGGTCTCTACTAATACAATGATCAGAGTCATAAACTTTTGTCTGTAAGTTTTCCCTTAAGATATTGTATATGGATGAGCTTCATCCTCTACCCCACTCTACTCCCAGGAACATGTTGAGATCTAACCCTAGTTACAGGAGACAATGAGGAGTAGAGCAGGTGGAACATGAAGAGAATGAACTTCCCTTTGCAAGATAATACCCTCAGGTTAGATCATTGCAGGATTTTTAGGCGAGATGGGAATACTTGCATAGGAAGGGAAGAGGAGTTGATTTGGCTAACAAGAGAGATAGGAATCAATAAAGTCTAGAAATTCATGCCCTGAGTCATCCGAATCCTCTCGTAAATCTCTGTTCCAATTCTTAGGTCTACCTCTTTCCCGTTCTATGCTCTAATTTTCACCTAAGCAAAAATTTGGAAGGCTACATGTTAAACGAATCTTCTAGGCTGGATGTGGTGGCTCATGCCTATAATTCCAGCACTTTGGGGCAGGCAGATCACTGGCGGTCAGGAGCTTGAGACCAGCTTGGCCAGCATGATGAAACCACATTTCTACTAAAACTACAAAAATTAGCCAGGTGTGGTGGTGTGTGCCTGTAATCCCAGCTACTCAGGAGGCTGAGGCAGGAGAATTGCTTGAACCCAAGAGGCGGAGGTTGCAGTGAGCCAAGATTGCACCACTGTACTCCAGCCTGGGAAACAGAGGAGACTCTATCTCAAAAAACAAAAACAAAAACAAAAACAAAAACAAAAACAAAAACAACAAAAACAAAACTAATCTTCTAATTCAGCAACCTGTAGGATCAAACTTTGTGTCTGATTTTTGTCTATTTCAGGGTTGTGGCTGTAAGACAAAAGAGATTCTTCAAGCAACAGGTAGAAAATCTGTGGTTTTTATTTTGTGTCTTGACTTGAGAACTTAAGAATTTGTGTGTTTTTATTCTTTGTTTTAAAAAATCCACCTAGCACTATTGGAAGAAAGCAGTTTATCCTATAGTCCTTGATTTTTTCATGCTTTTAATATTGTTGTATGGTGGCAACTGTTTCATACCCTAAACCTTGACTTTAATAGGTATTTAATTCCAGATGACTACAGGTAGAAACCTAATGGTATGCCACTATTTACCGTGTTGTGGCAGAGTCCCATATTTTACTCCAAGCTGAATTTTTACTGTGTGTAGCCCTAAGCATGTGAAACAAACCATCTCGGATTCCTGTTAATTTCTGGAGGGTCTGTTTCTACCCAACTCTTGGTAATATTTTGGCATTAGCCAAGGTTTTTATTTGCAAGCAACATAAATCGACTGTGGAGAAAAATAAAAGATTGATTAAAAGGATATTGGGTAGCTTACTGAACCAGGAAGGAACAGCATCCAAAAATCATGACCCTTGAGATAAAATCTTCCTCTATTGCCTTTTCATTGAGTTACCATCTACCAGTCACAACATGGGACAGGAGTGTCTGGTTGGCAAGAGGTTATGTCCAATGTCTTTGCCCTGGAGAAAAAAATAGCATGGAAAGTGAATACCTGGCATTTCTGGCTTCCATAGTGGGAGATGGGTTCCCCACGAAGGCTCCTAAGGTGGGGAATTGCCCAAAGGCAGGAGTTAAGTTGCTGAACAGCCAAAACAAATGGTAGATGCCCATTAGCCCTTGAGCAAGTTATTGCCTTCTCTGTTCCTCAGTTTCCTCCTCCCTAGAAAGAAGGGTGTAAACTAGATGGTCACTCAAGTTGCTCCCAGATCGGTTCTTCTGAGGCTCTACCACTCCCCTTTGGCTTCTGTGGAGTAGACAATTCTAGCTCACATTGTTCCAACTAAGAGGCAATGTGCCCTTGGACTGCTTCTAGTCATAGAGCACCAGGGGATGGGGGACAGAGGGGGTGCCCAAAGTGACAGCCTGAGGGGGTGAAGGCTACTCTTCCTGGCTTCTGGCAGTTGTTGAGTTGAGCTCTTGTGCAGCTGTTTGCAGCAGGTTTCACACTGAAGCAGAAAATAGAAACAGTGTCAGGCCAGCACCGTGAGTGATCTAGAGAACAAAGTCATTTTTCAAGACACTGCCCTGTTTAAACACTGGGTGTCGAGGTGACAGATTTTGTAGACACTTTATGGGAAAAAAAAATTCACCACCTTGAGTGATTTTGAAGCCTTTAGAAATATTTGGCAAGTGTGAACAGTTGGTTCCCCACACTTTCTCTTTAATCAATTGCTTCTTTAAGAAGTGGCTGTGCTGAAGGGAGAGAGCTGTATAGTTCCTCCCCCACCTCTGGCTCCCTTTCCGGCGCATTGGGTTTTCAATATGAAGAGGCAAAATTTTCTCTACAATCCCCAAAATGGTGCCTGCATATTAAAAATACACCAGCTTTCTTTGCTGTTTGCCTGCGGATTTGTTTCATTTCATACCTCACTGAAGCCTCCTCTCTGTTCAGAACACGCTGTACCCAGTTGTAAGGAGAGAAGAGGGGAGGGAAGAGACTTGAGAAAGCATCACTTGTTTTCTTAGCAAACTCTAAAAATGTTAAAAATTGAAGCCTGAACTTTGAATGAACAGAAAACTGAGGACTTTAAGAGGAGTTTTCATTCACTGGCTTGCCTGGAGCTTTGACCTTGCCCTTTCCTTCACCTGAAGGTGGCATCTACAAGCTCAATCAAAAGATGGACATTGGGATTCAGGGTCTGAATTACTACTACCTTTCAGCCCTTGTCCAGCCAGGATCTAGAAACAGATCCACGTTTCCTAAATGGGTGAAGCAAACATTTATGTAATTGAATATGACATGCCTCATGAGAAGCCAAGCCATTTCTTCTGCATCTACTTACCACCTGCAGTAGGTTAAATGTGTCCCTCCAAAATTCATACCCACCCAGAACCTCTGGCTGTGACCTTATTTGGAAATAGGATCTTTGCAGATGTAATTAGTTCAGGATCTTAATATGAAATCATCCTGGATTTAGGGTGGAACTAATCAAAAGATACATCTTTCTAAGAAGAGGAGAGGACACAGAGAGACACACAGAGAAGGTGATGACAATGATGAGAAGACGGAGGCGGAGATTGGAGTGATGATGCATCTACAAGCCAGGGAACATCAAGGACTGCCAGCAACCACCAGAAGCCAGGAGAGAGGCATGAGACAGTTCTTCCTCCTATCCTTCAGAAGAAATCAACTCTACTGACACCATGATTTTGGATTTTGGCCTCCTAAAATGTGAGAAAATAAATTTCTGTTGTCTTAAGCCATGCGGCTTGACATAATTTATTACAGCAGCCCCAGGAAACCAACATACCATTTTGAATGCCCCTTTGCTCCCCAGTTCTCAGCCCATAATATCCTGTAAAACTTTCTTTTCTCTCAAGTTTCACCTCAAATGCTACCTCCATGGTGAAGTTATTTGAAACTTCATTAAAAATTCATCATTTCTTCATTCCTTGTTCTCACAGCCTTTGGCACTGACTTTGTTCTATTATTTAGTTAGTGGTTTACATTGGTGCTCCTCCCTCCTTGATCATGGCTTTCTGAGGGTAATGACAGATCTTCGCATCTCCTTCTTTCTAATGCTCAGTAAAGCACCTGGTGTATAGCAGACACTAGTAAATGTGTGTAGAGAATGGATGGAATGAAACCATGGCATCCTCCAAAGGTGACACATTAGGTGCTGCCAGACTTCTGAAGAGGGACAGCTTGCCCCTGGTGGATCTTTCACACCCCTTACCTGTATGCATTTATTTTCTTCTGATGTCATCTCTGTCCTCTGTGCTTAGCTGCTGACTGTTAACACATTTCTTCTTAAGTGTTAACTGACAATCTTGGTGTTGGCTGGTCCCAGTTAAAGGTAAGGCTCTTTCCAGGATCATCCATACTCACAACATAGAAAATCTTCACACCTTAGGAGCATCTGGTTGGGGCATGGGAAGGTGACTTACTGGTTTTACTGGGGAGATGGAAGATGTGAAGGAGCACAGGCTTCCTATGCTGCTTCTGAAACACTGCAGATCTCTTCCTGGAAGATATGGTCCAGGTGGCTGTCTCTCACTCTGCTTTGTGTCCACTGCTGCTCCCCTGCCCCATTTCAGCCCACTCCCTCCCAACCTCCCCCAATTCCTTGCCAACCACCAAATGATCTGGATTGCTTGGGTATAAGAAATACTGTCTTTTGTCCTCATTGGGCTAACTTTTTGTTGTTGTTACTGCAAGGCAAACCTTAGGAATTTGACAGAATTGAACTATTTTATTTTTTAAAAAAATGTTTAAATGAAAGAATGGAAAGGAAAAGTGGTACTCAGACAACTTTCTGAGCATATGGTCAGGTGAGGTGGTAAGAGCTACCTGCAGGGTGCTCCATGGACTGCATGGACTCTCTCTGCCCAGGTGATGTTGTGTACCTTCCCATGCAGCATAGATCCAAGGGCTTGAGTGGGGTGCACGAGGAGCTCTGCCAGTGTGGTTGGGCAGAGGTGATGCTGAGAACTGCCTCCTGAGCAAGCCAACTCATGTGATGGGGACTGGGAGAAGGTGGCTAGGAAGACCCAGTGCCCCTCCCTGCTAACAGCCACCACTACCTCTGTGTCCTCACAGACTTCTGCTGGCATATTGGAGGTTAATGTCACAGTGCTCAGCTACTTGGTAAAGCAAGTGAGAATAGCAGGGATCTGTGGAGACCATGGCAGATTCCAGTTCGGAGGCCACATACTCTGAAGCTGAGGTTGATTTATGAGGTAGGCTTGGATTCTCCTGCTTCAGCTCCCTCTGGAACTCTCTTGAAGGTTCTGATCATTTTATTTTCTTTCTAAATTACCATATTGTCATTCACCCTTAGCAAATGGTCCTGGAACTTAAAGGGAGCTGCTTTGGTGGAGTCATTAATCACAGAGCATGGAGGGATCTTGGGGACCGCTCTCTTCTCTCCTTCCCTGCTCCACTTAGATGGCAGGATTCTCTGTCCTTTAAGTGTCCTGCTCCATGACTTGGACTTCACTCTGAGAGTGGGCCAGGACTTTTATGGGGAAGGCTTTCAGGAAGAGAGAGTGAGAGAGAAAAAGTGTCTTAGTTTATTCCTGCTGCTTTAACAAAATACCACAAATTGGGTAATTTATAAATAAAGGAAATTTATTTCTCTCTTCTTAAAGTCTGGGAATATACTTGGTGAAAAGAAAAGAAAAGACATTTATTTCTCTCAGTTCTGGAGGCTGCAAAGTCCAAGATCAAGGCTCCAGCAGATTTAGTGTCTGATGAGGGCGTGTGCCTTCTTGTTGTTCCTCTCACATGGCAGAAGGGGCAAAAAGGAAGTAGGGTGCTCCCTTTAATGTCTTCTATAAGGGCATCAATCTAATTTCTGAGGACTCCCCTTCATGACTTAATCACCTTTTAAACACCCAACCTATTAATACTGTCAATTGGGTATTAGATTCCAAAATATGGACTTTGGAGGGACACATACATTCAAACCATAGCAGAAAGATTGGTTCATTCAACTCATCTATGTATATTGAATACCCCTTTATGCCAGGCTCTATCTTAGGCACTGGGGATATAGCTATGAACAAAACACACACAAAAAACGGACCCTCAAGGAGCTTACGTTCTAGTTGTAGAATGACTTAAACAGTACATGTATTGTTTTTTCTTTTCCAGAAGGCAGAAACAAGGCAGGGGATCCAAAAACTTTATTGCTGACCTGAGGTGGAGAGTACATCAGAGGGCAGCAAGCCAAGTGTCTGTCTTATCATCAAATACCCCTGTATCTCTGCAGGGTTGTGTGAGGCTTGGGCGATGATGCCAAACAGACATCATTTAACCAACAAATTTGCCCTCCCTGTACTCAAAGCCTGCTGGGGGAGGATGGGACTGGGTGACAGTATGGCCAATTACTCCAGTTTCTACAAGCATGTCAAAAATTACTCCAGTTTCTGCAAGCATGTCACAGGCATCCTCTGCTGAGTCAGTTCTTGGACTGAATTGTGAAGATAAGGGTTGCTGAGTTTGCATTATCCCTCAGGGAGAGCCAACAAGCAGTATCACCCAGTCTCTAGAGGGCTCTCAAAATGGGGGGAAGAAAGAAGATCGGGAAGGTGGAAGAGGGGAGGGGAATCCATATGTCCTGGGGCATGAGTCCAGTGAAGACACAGACGGTGTCAGGGACTCAAACCTATTAGAAAGGAGAACATTTCTGTGTGACCTTGGCTTTCCTTTCTCTGCCTTTTCAGGAAAACCGGTATGTCCAGTGTCTTATATTCCAGCACCAGCCAGGCTCAGGTTTTGTCAGGGGTGCTGGGGAGTATCTCTGGCAGAGAGGGCAGAGCAGCAGGGCTGTCAGGCCTCAGGGCTGGGGGGACTTCCCTAGAGCATCAACAGGAGGAAGAGGACAGCAGGAGGCCAGCCTCCAGGCTGAAGGGTCATTGGTCTCTAGGGAGAGAGGGCTCATGGCCTTGGCCCAGGGACTTTGCTTGGCTGTCTGACAGGCCCAGCATCTGCTGGGGCCACTGCACAGCCAGCATTAGCTCTGGGCAGGAGCCTGACTCATAACAAGCTCCTAGGTCTCCTCATCTCCAAAAATAGGGCCTGAATTTGATCTGTCACTTACAGCATTTAAAATAATTTTTTAAAAAACAAGAGAACTACCTTTTAAACAAGAATTTACAAAAAACTCTGATTTTAAAACCAGTCAAAAAAAAAGCATATTGGTTGAAGCAGGACAGGAGCTGGAGTCCTGCCTGCTCAGTCTCTCTCCTCCCCTTACCATGGCCCTTGAACGGCTCTTGGAAGCCCAGGCTTCCCAGAGGTAAGTGTGAGAACTATTGGACAGACATGGTGTAAGGCCCCTCAAACTGACATTCATGGCTGTGTGCTGTTGGTCTTCCCAGGCACAGAGAGGCAAGTGAAGGGCCAGTGGAGCCAAGGATGTGAACTGCTGGCACTTTCTAATGAGGCCTAGTTATAAAGTGGTCTTCTTCATAGCTTCAGACTTTTTTAGTTGCTTTTTTCTGTTTCTTTTGGTCTCTATTTTCTGTTTTTCACATGAGCTCTTTTTCAATGTCTTGTAATGTTGGAAAAGCACCTGGAATTCCAGAGTTTGACCTCCCTGTTCTGGTAGAGTGAACCTGCCACAATGGCACCTGGGAGCCCCCAGGTTCACCCTCTGCAGACAGTAAACTTGCAGTCTCTTGCCAGCATAGGGGATGGGCGCTGCCTGGTGCTGGAATGGAGGAGGCTTGAGAGCTGCTGCTGCTGAAACAGCTTTCTACCTGTTCTCCTTATTTTGACAACTTCTTTTCACTTCTACTTCCAGAAATATTTTGTGCTGCCAATGCCAGGGCATTTTGAGGATTCTGTGGTATACATCAGGTTGACTTTTAGCTTTCCTCACATAGATTTCTCAAATCTGTCAAGTTCATTATCCTTTGCCTATCCACTTTGCAGCTTCCAAAATTTTATTGCTATTTTCTCCTTTCCCATTTTGTCTTGTCCTTGTGGGTTTACACCTTTGTAAACAATCCCTTTGCTGTAATTTTAGTGAGATTTGGGGAGGGAGAGAAATTAGATGTGTGTCTTCAGTTCACTACCTTTAACAGGAAGTCTGGCCATTGAATTTTATCACTTAAAAAAAGACCTTTCCCAGTTTCCCACTAAGCAAGGCCCCAGACACCCGGCACAGGCTTTATGCATTAGCAGGAAAGCTGCTATTCTCCCTGTGTGATGGCCCATTGGTCACTGTCTAGGCCCAGCATCTTCTCCCAGTCCTGATGATACCCTGTCAATCACATTCCCTCCACCTGTCATGCTTCATCACCTTCCCTATTCCTGTACATCATTCTCTCCACTTAGATGCCCTTGGGCCCCTATCAAGACACTTTCAATCCATCAAGGGAAAAAAATATCAATGATTTTTTTTTTTTAACTGAGCATCTAGGTAGGTCTGTGAATATGGGAATCAGATTTTCTGAGTCCCAGATTGGGATTTTTGTTCTGGTCTTACATTAAAAAAGATTGTTTTGCAGATGTAGTTTAAACACTAACATTTTTTAAATTTAGGGAGCACCAGGACAGAATATTTGAAATCTAGTTTGCCCAGAAAACCTGAGATGTCTTCATTATGTCTGGGGGAAAAGCAAGAAAAATCTCTTTTCTCAAGGAGCATATAATCTAGCTGGGATTGCAAGTTGGAAACACTAAAAAAGACAGTATCAGGCATGTTGGCAAGTGCCAAATAAGTAATATAGAGTGCCCCAGGAGCTTTGAGGACAGGAGGTCCTTGAGGTGCTGGGCTGGACAAAAAGAGATTTACTGGAGACAGGCTTTAAAGATGGGCCTTGTAAACTGCTCACAGATGTCTGAGACTGGTTCTGGTGGTGAAGAAACTAGGAGATTACACTGCCCTTGTTGCCAAATCTTTCCCTGTTTCTTGTAATCTGCGGTCTATTACCCACAACCACCAGTCACCTTCCACCATCTGACTGTCTGGGCTTCTTGGTAATTCCTCCTCAACCTTAGAACTCCCTTTGAATCATTTAGGATTAAGTTGTGCTTTAAGTAACAGACACCCCAAATAACTGTGGCTTAAACAAGAAAGTTTATCTCTTCCTCAGGAAAAGTCCAGAGGCATCTGGTTTTGAACTGGAAGGGAAGTTCTGTTCTGTGAAGTCTTCCTGGATGCAGGATCTTTCCAGCTTCCTGTAGTTCTCATCCTAATAGACCAAGAGGGAGGCTAGTGCCCTAGCCATCACATCCACATTCCAGGCAGCAGGATGGAGGAAGGACTAAAGAAGAAAGGGGAGCAAAGGATGACCATGAGCTGTCTTATAAGACAGGGTCTTAGAAGCTGCTATGTATTACTTTTGTTTATGTCTGTTAGGCCAGCACTTAGTCAAATACATTAAATTAAGTTGGGATATATAGCCTTTACTCTGGGTAGCCAGCTGTTATTATGGAAGAGGAGAAGAGAAGCTACTGGGACAACTAGACATCATGGCCACACTGTTGCCATCAATCCCTCTCAGGCCTCGTTTGGCCACCCCATAAATCTGTCCCTCTCTCATTGGCACATTTCTCCACCCGTTGATCTTGTTCTTTGTGGCCCCTGTTGCTTAGAGTTGATAAATGTCAGAGCTGCAAAGAGACTACGTCATGCAGTCAGATAGTTCCTCAAACAGCTGAAGAAATGAAGGTGCAAGGAGGGACCCGACTTGTCTAAGGTCAGTCACATCACTGAATAGTTGCAGAATTGTATTAGATCACCAGGATAAAGGTTCATCCAAATTGAGCACCTAAGTGGTAAGAGAGCAAGAGAGAAATAAAGTGCTCAAAGCCAGGGCAGTTAACCCGGAACGTCTTCTGGAGGAAGTGAGAGTTAGAATGAGTTTGGGGAAAGAGAAAGTCATTTGGAAGGGAAGACAATGTTTCTAGAAGGGAAATGGCCTACATAAAGCCACAGAGTCGGGTTAGAGCATTTTGCTAGGGCCTATGAGTTTGAACAAAATGGAGGGTATGTTGTCAGGTCTGATGAAAAATTAAACCATGAATTGAGGTAGGGGATAGGGAACATTGGTTGAATGGGGTTTGAACTGCACCCAAGAGTTTAGAATCAATAAAGAAATATGTCCATCTCAGGCTTTTTAAGTTTAACAGAATCTGGTTCAGTACGATCTCTATCCATCTGTTTCTGTCTCTCTCCCCTTTCATTTCTGCCTCTGACCCTGTCTCAGTTCCCAGCTCCCTGTTTCTGTGTCTTATTTGTTTCCTCTCTCTAGCTTCTGGCAGCAGCTTTTATGGTTACAAAATGTTTCCTGTAATCCCCTTAATAACTGTTGATGGGTTTCCAACTCTGAACCCATGCAGATCTCCAATCTCCAAACCACCGAGGTCAGTACTCCCTTACTCTCCCTCTTGTACTTTATGTAAACAAAGTCCAGGCTGTTTTTTTCTCTGGCCTGGACACTCAGAACAGTGACAGACACTAAAAAGGCTGGATAGTTGTCCTCCTCCTCTGTGATGGGGATTGGGAGACATGCTACCTCCACAGTTCCTGTGGATGAAGAGCCTCTCTTGCTCCCTTGAAATCTACCAGCTCTGAAATTTATGATGAATTCCCTGTCCCTACTCCTGGAGGTGGCTGCCAAGGAGACAGGTTAAAAGCCCATATTTATGGCAAGTGACACTTTCTGAACAAGATGTTGATTAAGAAGTATGTTGGGTTCTGACTCTTGCACAAACTCCAGGGGCTGAACAGCAAGTGCAAAGACCATGCATGGGGTAGGGCCTCCCACCACGTGTCTAAGCCCGGAGGCCCTCAGGGACAGTGCGGGGCCCGGAGACCTGGTAGTGCTGTGCTGAAGTTGACTCTCACTGGCGGATTGTTAAATGTTCAGGAATGTTAAAAGCTGGCTGTTAAACTGTTGGTTGCTTGAAATGGGCTGTAGTGGGCGTATTTACATCATGGAAATGGGCAAATACTATAACTCAGGATTTGTGTTTCCCGCCCACTTGGAGAACTGGTTTACCAGTAGGTTACTGAGCTATCCTCATTTCTGGGCACTTTGTGGGGAGAGTGGCAACTGCCTGAGATCCTTATGGCTTTGTCCGGGGCTCTGGCCTGGTTGAGAATTGATTCACCTGAGGGTGGGAAGGTTGGCATTAGGAGAGTAGTAGAAAAGTGAATGAGAATAAATCTCCATTCTGCCAAGTGAGGCAGAGCTGTGGCCAAGCTTCTTATCTGGTCCATGGACCCAGGACAGTGGGAAAATGTATCACAGTGACTATATTTGTTTACAGTGAAAAAATTAGCTCAGTTATACTTCCTAGTCAACACATTTCTCTCTTGGTTATCTTATCTACTGCATCCTTGCTTCCTTAATGCTCACTTTCTTTTACTAAGGGAAGGGGTGACTTTGCAATCAGAAACCTCAATATAAGAATGTCTTAAATGTTATGACTAACATTTAAGAGCAGGCTAACAGCTGACAATATGCACAGTGCTGCAAAGAGCTGACTCATGTCCAGTTGTAAATGTGAACCGTGGGACAAAAAAATGCCTAATTTGTGAAGCAAATACTCAAATGCATCTAGTCAACCAGGGCTTTTTGCACACTAGTGCCCCTCCTTGTGAGCATGAAGTGAAAGTTGCTTCTGCACTCTAAAGTGAATGTTTTGGCCTTAATTGAACATTAAGCTGCAGGGGGCCTCTTGGGTTAATACTGGACGTTAGCCTGTTGATGAACATCAAGCACTCCAGACTATTTCCTCTATATAACTATTGCAGCACACACTCAAACACACAGAGAACATAGATCCTCACAGACACATAGAGGAAGCCTTGGAGAGTCAGTATAGGAGAGATTCACCCAGAGCTATGAATCTAACTGCTGAAAACAGACCCAAGGAAAGTAATGCAATTGTCATTAACCAGAGTGAATGGCCTAGCTGATGGATGCCAGCAATGTGCGGAGGCTTGATAATCACCTGCTCATCTCAGGATGAATGTGACGCTTTCGTTCCCCCGCAAAGTATTTATTTGTGCGAGATTAGATTTGACTGGGGAATGCTTCTTCCTTTTCTAAATTATTAATGTCTAATAAAAGGTTATAGCCAAATTCCCTGACAACCTCACATGTGGAAATAAAACCATCATTTTTTACGCAGCTGCCATGCATTTTCCCTTCAAGATGAAGGAATACAAGAAAAAAGGAAAAAGAATTGGGGTTATGTTCCGCTCACTGGGGGGTGTTCCTTTTGCTATTGGTCTCCCTCTTTCGAGGTGTTTTTGGTGGGGAATGAGTCTCCTAGTTTTTGGCTCTTCTCCATTTACAAATGCAGCATGGTGGCTCTGTCCAATCACTTTAGCCTCAGAGCCCTTGCCTACTTTCAGGCAGAGCTGCCATTGTGTGTTGATGGTGAAGGAGGGGTTCTCTGATGGTGATGGTTTATGGTTTGGAGGCAGTGTGTCAATCAGCCTGTCTGTCAGTCAGTCAACAAGTCTTTATTTATCTCAGTAGGTGGAGAGCAGCCCCTTAGATGGTTGGGACACGTGGTCTGCCTGCCTGCAGTCTCTCCCTTTGTCACCATCCTACACACAGCTGTCACATTAACTCTTTCTCGGACACAATTCTGATCCTGTTGGACTCTTGCCCAAACATTTTAGCAGCTCCCCATTCCTTCTAGGGAGGAAAAAAATCTATGTAGCTTAGCCTAACATTCTGGGGTTGCCTCACTGTAACCCATCTTCAAAACTTTAGTTCTTGTCTCCCATAAGCCTCTTCATGACCCCAGATGGAACTACTTGCTGTTTTTTTTATATGTCCTGCAGTTTCCCACCTCTATGCCTTTGCTTACTCTGTTCCTCTTCCATCTCATCTCTCTGTGCACAATTTCTTCCATCACTTCAGCCAGAAAGTGCTCTGATACCATATAATTTGTATTATTTTTCTGGTACACTGAGTTTTACCTTGCTGCCCAGCAATTCTTGTGGAAGGAGGGCACTGTGGTAAAGAGCACAGATTCTGGAACCAGACCCAGAATTTGAATCCCAGCCCTGCTACTTAGTAGCTATGTGACTTCTCTGAGTCTGGCTTTTTCGTCTCTAGAATGGAGACCATTATAGTACCTATTTTGTGAGGGTAATTGCAAGGATTAGATGGTTTTATCTTTGTAAAGTGCTTAGAATATAGTCTGGTAGATAGTAAGCAACATAGAACCATTAGCTGTCATTATTTGTAAAAGAAAAAATCAGAGCACTATTAATTTACTACGGCTGGAATTCAGTATAACTTATCTGCAAACAAGGCAAGACTGATTCCAACACTAAAAGTCTATAATAATATTGCTGACATATAGAAGTTAACATTTACAAAGCATTTGCTCATCATTGCGAGTGCTCTATGTGCCAGGCGCAGTGTCTTACTTTAACTCTTGATGTAAGTATTATTTTCTCCATCGTAAAACATAAAACACTAAAATTCAGTGGAAATCAGGAACTTCCCCAGGGAGACTTAACTTGGATGGACAAGGATCAGGGTCTTCTGACCTCCAGCCACACCAGGTTTTTACTGCTGCCTCTGTCTATGATCCAACTTGCTATTCTGAGGCATTTGAATCTTCAGAGGAAGGAGTATAGAGTCATTGTAGATCAACAAGGGCCTGCTGTGTCCTGAAAAGCTGAACCGCATTCCACAACCCATGATCTCAGGTCTTACAGAGTGAAAATGTCAGGCCTACATAAAAGTGGGCAGTGAACTATGGTGGGCTATGTACCGGTAATCTGCTCTGTAGCCCACTTTCAGGAGCACTGGAGGCCAAATTGCTTTGTTTCTCCCTCCCAGGTGGCAGAGGTGTGTGTGAACTTCAAGAATATTAACTCTCTTCACTATTAGTCTAATAAAAATTAATTAGGTAGGCATATCTGCAGTAGAAATCCCCAAACAAATCAACGACATATTGTCTAGTTATGCATGTCTAGGCCAAATAGAAATGTTTCAGGATCATTTGCAATTTTGAATGATCTGACCAATTGCTCTCGTCTACCCAGTTTGGAAACAGAACACCTGCTTTTCTAGATATTCAGTCCTCAACTCTCAAAGCATTTACCCTCACTCCACACAATGACCTCTCACCCCATCATTGTCTGTCCAGGCAGTAGTTTGGGATGTCTCTGTCCCATGCATGTACTATACATAGTAGTTTATCTCAGTGTGCTTGACTCAGCATGAAGGTTCCTGGACAGCAGGGTTTTTCTTCTTATAATTCTCTCTGTAAGTGCCCCAGCACAGTGCCAACTAAAGTAGGTAGAACTTGGATGGTGATGACAATTAGCATGTTGTGTCTGGAGCAAATTAAATTTTCTAAATTATTGAGGCCTGGATTCTTAGGGTTTTTGATGATTTAGGTTCCAGTCCGGGTCCCAGCACTCATTAGTTGTGTGTGGCAGTCAGAGACCTCGCAGGACACAATGAGCACATTCAAAAGAAACAATGAGGAGGGTTTAAAGAAGGGGTATGCATGGGGGGAAGGGAAATCAACCAAGAATGGTGATGCTGTCTGGGGCCAGCAATGTCAGGGACACTGCTACTATCTCTAGGCCTGCAGGGGCAAAGGGAGGGACTGATGGTCAGAACCTGGAGAAGGCCCTGGCTATCACAGAGAGGGCTGCCTGACAGCCCCTGAGGCTGTAGACAGAGGACCACAGTCACTGCGAGACTATGACCCAATAAGGAGGGGTGAGAGGAGGAAAAATCCCAGTTTCTCTCTTCTCACACCCTCTGTTTTCTTGCTATTGCCTCCCATTGGCCTAATCCAACTATAAATCAGAGGGTAGGAGAACCTATGGATGCATTTCCTAGAAGTTAGCCTCCTAGGGCACAGAGCAGGGTGGAGAAGGGTGGAGAGTGGATCTGGGGTGGGGTAGTGGGGGACAAACTGACAGCATCCAGCCCACCTTGTGACCTTAGACAAGTTCCTTAAAAATTATTTGATTATTAGCTTTTCATTTATTTAATGGGGCTAATTATCTTATCTTGCCATAAAGTTGTTAAATGTGAGAACTATACAACATTATATAAGGGTATGAGGTTGTGATAACTTTTTTTTATGCACTTATTTGGCTTTCATTTGTTTGGATCAGTTTGACCAAAGACAGATCATGGGAGATGCAAACCTAGGGCAAAGAGAAAACTCTTGCAGGTACCTAGCAGGCCAGGGGTCATGAAGGAGCCAAGCCATTCATTGCTGCTATCTCCACAGAGTAGGACAAAAATTTTGAATTTGCTTTTGATTCATATTGAAGTAATCTTTTTCTCTTTGCTGCAATTTATTCAGGTTTATGGAGCACATAAAGACCTACAAAGGTGGCCTTTTGATGTAGTTATGCAGCTATAAACTTATACAGCTGTAATATTTGCATTTTAATGATTTCTTTATATTGCCATAATTGGAAGAGTTAATGATCACGTCAACTGGACAATGAAAACCATGCTCCTGGCAGCCAGTGCTCTTCTTACCCTCTCAGGCTCTCTGGAGAGTATGGAAGACAGATGTTTCCTGACTCCCCTTTATCTACAGCTGATGGACCACCAACTAGTAATCACTAAACTTCCCAAAGTTCTCCTTGGAAAGGCTTCCATTTGATACATACATTTTATTTGCCCTTGTTTTGGGAGCAAACTTCTCACCTCTCTCTCCAGAAGGAGCCAGGCTGGCATGTTGACTATTCCTTTTCCTCTTGCAGCTACAGTTTCTTTGCACAGTAGTTTTCCATTTCAGGCTTCGTTACTGAAGAAAGATCTGGGAAACAAAAAGGGTTTTGGGCTGGTATGTGCACATGTGCCTGTTATTTAATCATGTCCCAAGTGCTTAGAAAAAAGTCCCTCTGAGATCAGAGCTGGATGAAAGATCTTGATTTTAGCTGGAGGGGAAAGGGGGAGCTAAAAATCAGCTTGTCTGAAAATTCTCATAAAATTTGCAAAACCCTGAAACTGAAAGTTCTGCAGTGCAGAGGCATTTCCATGCAATGTAAACAAGGTCAGTTAGGGCCTCTTGGAACTATGCTGGGATGGGGGCCACTGTCAGTCAAGCTACTGTTGGGCTTGGGATGAGGATGGAGGGAACTGACCGTCAAAATAGAGATGGCTTTGGGCAAGATTAGAAAATAAGCAATCCCTTTCCTCCCACCTTTCCCATCTGCTTCTGACAAAGGGAGAAAAAGGAAGCCAGTTAACCCCCACCCTCACCCCCACTTAGTTTGACATGCAGTGCTGAAATTCTGGGCAGCTCCTGGAGGGGTGTCACATTGATTATTAGTGATAGTGATGATGGTGGTGGTGGGTCAGTAAAAGGAAGGTCTCAAAAAGGGCTGTGAAGGGGAAGTGAGGAGTACATATTCTGAGCAGAGAATAGCCAGAGCTGGCTGATGCTCAATAAGTAACTATTGATCGACTTGATCATTTAAATTGGCTCTGCAATATATTGTATGAGTCAGTGCCAACAGACATCCTTATTTCCTTATGCCTTGTTGTAGCTAATCCGAAAAGTAGTTTTATGCTTTGAACAATCACTAACCCATGGTGCAGAGAGGAAGCAAGGGCACAGCCAATATGGCAGGGGAAGCCAGCCTGGCATGAACTCAGAGAAGTTTTATAAAATGGTTCGTCATCATGAGAATGCTTGGGAGTTGACTAAAAACTGGTCTTGGATAGGGAGGAAATTGCTCCCCTTCCAAGAGCTATCAACACAAAGAACCTACATCTGTATCCCCCTAGATATGAGGGGATAAAAATCCTCTGGAGAAATTTACTTCTGACTTACAACTTTGAATTGGGCTGGGAGAAAGAAGAGTAGAAGGAAGGAAAGATTCTCCTCAGTACCATGTGGGCTTACTTTGAGTCTGAATAATTTGTTCCTAGAAGTGTAACTGGGGCTTTCTTAAAGGCCTTCTCTTCCACTTTCCACTCTCCAAATATCTCCTCTGCTCCGTCTGAAACATCAACTGAAGACTTGGGACTAATGTTCAACCATTAGAAGGTTAGGGCTCCACACATGAGAGGAGTACAGGGGTTCCACCACATTGTACTATATCTTAGTGTGACTTGACCCGACTGGCACTCTTTTTTTTTTTTTTTTTGAGATGGAGCCTTGCCATCACCCAGGCTGGAGTGCAGTGATGTGATCTCGGCTCACTGCAACCTCTGCCTCCCGCGTTCAAGCATTTCTCCTGCTTCAGCCTCCTGAGTAGCTGGGATTACAGGCGCCTGCCACTACGCCTGGCTTTTTTTTTTTTTGTATTTTTAGTAGAGACAGGGTTTCACCACGTTGGCCAGGCTGGTCTCAAACTCCCGATCTCAGGAGATCCAGCCCTCCTCAACCTCCCAAAGTGCTGGAATTATAGGCATGAGTCACCACACCCGGCCCCGACTGGCACTTTTGAATCATGACAATGAGAGGAGATCAGCAGCACTGGAAGAGGATGAGGCTGATGTAGGGAAATGGGAAGAATGAACAACATCTTGTAGACTCAGAGCACTGGTCTTTGGAGGGAACCTTAGATGAGAAATTTTTCTTGGGTTAAGGAGGAGAGTACCAGGAGGTGAGGAAACCAAAGATACACTTCACTTATTTTGGTAATTTTTCATCAATACAGATCTGATTGGTGGCAGCCCCTTTTATTAAGTAAATTTTTGTTTCTTTCTTACTCTGAATATGACCTATTGCTTTCTGATTTGTCGGTAGGAGGATCCATTCTAGATGACAGAACAAGATTACAGTTCAACTAGAGGCTTTTATTAATAGGTTAGATCTGTGTAGGCAACTGATTGACCATAAAACAGATGACATCATGGTGTTGAGCTGTATGGTTTTCAACTATCTGTCACAGTCATCTCATCTGGTATTCATAAAAATTTGGTGAAGGAGAGGGCAAAGAATCTTAAGCTCATGGAAGGGTGCTGACTTTGCTGTGGTACTCAGCAGATAAGTGGCAGATCCAGGAACTTGGATGCTCAATGCTCTCATATGCCAGTGTCAGTGGCTAAGATGGAAACATCTTTTATTGAATATCTTTCAGTACAACCCTGCTAATGAGGGGAATGAACAAAGTGGCTTTGGAAGGGCTTGGTCTCTATGTTGTTAATTATTCAAGGCAATATACTTAGAAAAAGGATGCAGGATTCTGAGAATGTAATTGTTAAAAGTCCTTAAGAACCCTACAGACTATAGGTATCTGGCCAATCAGGTTCTTTCCAGCCCAGGACTGTAGCCATTTGGCATCTTCTTCAAGTGTACATGACTAAGAATCAATGGTGATGAGGTTCTTTCCATTATATCTCCTTCATTTTGCAGAGGCTCAGGCATAATAAATGGGATGGAAATGTCTGCCAGATGAAAATTAGGACTATTTGCCATAAACACGTCTTTCCCCCACCACTCTCTGCCAATATAGGAAGAGATCCAGAAAGAGAATGAAGAAATGAGTGACTCAATTCAGATGCAACAAGAAATAAATTTCACAAAGTCTCCTTCTCTTCTTGTGCTTTTCTAGCAGCTGGATTCTTTTTGGGCTTGACTTGTGGCAGCACAGCTGTTCTAAATTTCTGGCCATTTTTGTATGTCTTAGAATCACTTTCTGCATAGTTCTTTTAGAATTTACTCCTTTATACTTATGAAATTAAAACATCCTCATTAAATTATGAACATCCATTCAACTCTCATCCATCCAATCATACCACTGCTCATCTATTTAATTAACCATCTGTTTATCCATCCATCCATCCATCCACCCATCTGCCCATCCATTCATCTAACAAATTAGCACATAAAATCACTGTATTAGGTGCTGTGGGAGACTCAAAGACCACTAAAATGCAGTCTCTATGTTAGTCAGGGTACAAATCAGAAGACAGAGATCACTTTAAGTATTTATAACAGTGAGAATTTAATACAAGAAACTAGTAATAGAAGAGTTGGGAAGCCAAACAGGAAACTGTATGGGAATGCAGAAATCAGCAACCCTTGGAAGACACTACCACCTTAGGTTGGGGAGACAAAGGGAGGGTGAGATGTTACCAGAGCCCAGAGGTTGAGGTCATTAGGTGGAAACTGGGACCATGGCGGAAGTGTTCAGTGTGAACTTGAACCAGGGTAGATGTGTCTAGTGGGACATGGAGGAGTCACAGCTGCTGAAGAGGCAGTAGTTGAAACAAAGAGGGAGAGGGAGAAATATCCTGACTTCTCCATTCCTCCTCACCTCTAGTCCTCTGAAAGTACCTCCCACTGGCTGAATCCAGCCAGAAATCTGGGAGATGCAACTTGCATGGCCCAGTTTCCCCTGTCCTCACCATAACACAGAATAGAGCAAAGAAAGGGTGAAGAATGTATCTGAGGGTAAACATGTGCAGTACTAGCACAGCCTCAGTTCAAGGGTTGGGGAAGGAGAGTCCAGGATCTTTCTTTGCTCAAATGCTAGTAAAATCTCTCTGATTTTAGAATAGCTTCATGAAGGAAATGGGAACTTTGCTAAAATAACCCAATGATCCTTTTAGGAATCCAGTAAAACACTGAGTACTCTTTCCAACATGACTACCCTCTGGAAGGGCTGTGATTAGGGACTTTTTTTTGTCCCTAGGGACAGAGCATAGTGGTCCTTCTGCCCCATGCCCAGTGCCCAGTAAATGTTTGTTCATGATGCTTGGTCATCACCTACCACACCAGGCCCTGTGTATTCCACATTCCTGTCAAACCAAATCACTCATACTTGTTTATATGATTTTGCATTGGCTGCAGCTGTTCTCTCTGCTAGAAGATTCTCATGCCTCTTGTCTCCTTGGAGAATTCTTACTCATCCTTTGATAACCAGATCAAGTGTCACATCTTCTGTGAAGACTCCTTGGGTCCTGCCTCTATGTTCCTCTAGCAGTTTCTTCATCTCTCCATGACTGCACTCAGCATCATGTGCACTAGTGGCTAGTTGTCCATGTGTCGGTCTCTTCTACTAGTCAAGAATTCCTGGGGAACAGGGACCATGTATTAACCACCTCTCACCCACACAGAAGTATAGCACAATGTCTGGTACAGAGTAATTAATAAATTTTAGTTGAAGGATTGGACATATCATCATTGTCTATGTGCAAAAACATGTAGCTGGCTAATTAAAACCTCTCTCCTCTGAGGCTCTCAATCCTTCCTACCTCCCTCAAGGGTGATGATGATTAGTTATTGAGGTAACTAGGGAGGTTGACCAAGTGAATCTCCAACCCTGGCTTTCCCATGCATGAGACCCTAGAAATACCGCCTGGAAAGAAATTCCTAGAGAAGGTGGGTCTGAGGGCTGTGAGCTGTTACTGGTACATTCCTTTTGATGTTTTAGAAATGTGTCTTCTTAGTCCAGCCCAGCCCATCACAGCTAAGCAGAGTTTTTGTCTGTTTTGAACAGCTCACACAGGTTTTTAAGCTTGATCTTGTGGGTGCATTTTTAGATATAGGAAACAAGATCCTTTCTCCCTTCCTCCTCTATATTTTATTCATTTTTTTTTTCCCCTGCCAAATGATAGACCTCCTCTGCCTGCACTTGGCTTTGGCCAGAACTTTGGTGTCTTGACCTGCTCTAGTGGAGAAAAGCACTATTGGGTTGTCTCTTTCAGGGCACCTGGCCCCTTTCTGAGTCCTACAACTTTTGAGCTCATTGATTGATTCTCATTCTTCCCCATGGCACTCCCACAGCCAAGGGGGCAGAGGATCTGGATAGGAACCTCCTATTGTTCAGGTAAAATATTAATATCAACAACGACTAACATCATTCTTCTTAAGAGTGTCAATCTTTTCTTTTTAACCTTCAATGCGTTCTCAGATAGTTCTGTAGAACAGAAGGAGAAGCTGGTAACTGTCAGCCACTTTATGGTAGATAAATCGAGGCCGGGAGAAGAAAAAAAATCACAGTAAGAGGCAGTGAGCAGAACCAGATGATGAGGTGGGTTCCTGAGTCTCAGCCCACGGGGCCACCTGTGTTGTGGAAAAGTTAAAAATGTACCTGGAATTGATCTCAGGTGCTGTCAGGCGAGGAGCCTGGACCCAGACACAGGACTGGGGAAGAGCCCTTACCTCAGCTGGTGATGGAGTCAGGGGACGGGGTCCTTCTGAGGTTTCTGCACAGCCCCTCCTCCACATCTACCTTCTTTCGCCTGCTGGTGAGAGGTGGGAGATGAGTAGTGAAGCTAAGATTGTCACTGGGACCAGATAATGACAATCTTAGCTTCAGATTTCTCTAATCTTGGTCTTATTTGTGTTTGTGGCCTTGGGCAAATTATATCACTAAGTTGGATTTCGCACCTGTAAATGGAGAAAATTCCTACCTAAAAGCTGTTTTGAGGGTTAAATGAGATAGGGAGTTTAGCCATGTACCTAGCACATAGTAAATATCAAAGAGGGAGTATTTATAATGATGATGATATTTGTCATATCAGCTCACTCCCTCTCACTTGTCCCTGGCCCTTTCCTCAGCTTTGGGGCTGGGCTTCATCTGCAGCTGCTGCTGGGCTGTCTTCTTTGTCATTTCAGGCCAGTCATAGAAAGCCTGCAGCTCCTGAGCTCAAACTCATGGGTTTCTTCCACGATCTTTTGTTTCCTAGTCTCTCTCCCTGTAGTTTCCAGTTCCCAGTTACAGGCAGACCTCCTGGGAAGACGGTTGAGAGGAGGAGGTCTCAGGAGTGAAGGGGGAAGGCTGGGCTCTGTGGACAACGGCAGGAGAGGGAAAAGGATAGGGTTATTCAAAAGGAAGGAGAGGCCCAGGGTCACTGTTTTGAAATGAATGTGTGTGTGTATGGGGTAGAGAGAGGGTGTGGTAAAGATGGTAAGCACTGTTGCTCAGTTAACTTGGAAATAAGAAAAAGCTACCAGAATCTTCAGCTAAGCATTAAAACAGAAAAGGATCATAGAGAATGGAGTGATGAGAGAACAGCTAGACCCAATCTCTGGAAAGTGTAAAGCAGCTGGGCCCAATTCCAAGGCCTATTCTTCCCATACCTTTTCCTTTTGGGGGTGCCTCTGCCAGCCCCCACCACCTTCCAGTAAGTTCTGCTCCTAATATTGTAAATTGCTCTGATTTCCGTCTTGGTAGGAATTGACCTCACTTTCATATTTTCCAAGGGTACTTGTCCTACAGAGTGTCTGGCTCCAAGCACCAGGCCTTCATCATTATCTCCCACAGTGGGGCTTCAAGGTGGCCCTGGCTGTGCTCTCTTTATGTGATTTCCTTTTTTTTTTTTTTTTTGAGACAGAGTCTCGCTCTGTCACCCAGGCTGGAGTGCAGTGGTGCGATTTTGGCTCACTGCAACCTCTGCTTCCCGGGCTCACGCCATTCTCCTGCCTCAGCCTCCCGAGTAGCTGGGACTGCAGGTGCCTGCCACCATGCCCGACTAATTTTTGGTATTTTTAGTAGAGTCAGGGTTTCACCGTGTTAGCCAGGATGGTCTCGATATCCTGACCTCGTGATCTGCCCGCCTCGGCCTCCCAAAGTGCTGGGATTACATATGTGATTTCCTGAGAATCTCTTTATGTGATTTCCCTCCTGGGCGTAGGCTCAGACACTCACTTCTCTCTGCCACATCCTTGTGCCATGTACTATTTCCCTTTTTCACTTTTATTCCTGGGGTGGTTGGAGCTGGGCTTTGCTGCTGAGCAGGCCTGGCCTTCACTGCTCTCTGGGGAAGGTCAGATCTGGCTGCCTGTGGACATTTCCGGGCCATTTGACAAATGGGTCCATGTAAATGGGGGTGGCAAGTGGCTGGCAGGGAGGGCGGGGATGAGATAAAAGGGTGGCTCTCCTTGCCCTCACTGAAAGGTTTGGAAATTCCACAGTCATGGATTCTCCTCCCTTTTCCACTCCAGTCCTCAGCTTTCTTTCATCATTGTCATTTCCTCTCTGTTCCTCCACTTCCAGCAATGACTTAGTGGCTCTCAGAATAACAAGTGTCTTCAGGGATGCCTACAGCTAGAGAAGTTTGGCGTCTTATGATCTCTAGAACATGCCCTTGCAGGGACTCCAGATGTTGGTGAGCCAAGATACCCCCCGATGTGTTCTTTGAACTGGATCCCAGCCAGGGTTGGGGAAGAGGCAGGGTTGCCCTGTGCAGGGCTAGGGTGGAGCAACATATCTGCAAGATGATGAATCATGCTCCTGGACGCTGGCTTACCAATCCTTTGAGAATGTCTGAAGACAGAGGGTTCTTGTTTGGCACTATATATACGTTGGCTATGGAAATGGGTGGAGGAGGTCACAGCCTGGCCCATTTATGTGGCAGTGTCCACACTTCTCCCTAGATTGGGCTGCTCGGATATGCAAATATCTTCAGGGCTGTCCGCAGTATCTATGTTTTTTTATGAAACAGCATGTTTCACTGGCATGGATACTCAGGAACTAGATTTGAACTCACCCATTGGTCTGCACTATTCTATAAAGATCTGAGTTTGTAAATCTATTTCTAAAAACATTAGGCCTCTTCCCCAATATGTCCTCAAGAGTTGTGCTGATCTAACCAGATCCATAACCCCTGGGAAGCTCCCAAATTTGAAACATCACTAAAATCCATCCAAGGATCAAAAATCTGAGTCTGCGAGCAAGAACTTCCAAATGAACTGGCATCTTGTCTGGTAATACACAAGCTCTGGACCTATGAAAGAAGGCAGAGTGCAATGGGGCAAGACAGTGGATTTCCCTGGGTTCAGGTCTGAGATACTCTCAATGGTTCAGGGCTCGAGCCACATCTTGGGACACAGTACGACCCTGTAGGCTTGGGCAGACACTGAACTAGACCCATTTGTGGGGAGGGGCACATCTGGAGGAAACAACTGCTGTGAGTAAGTACCTGAGGCAGGAAGCAGTGGCTTCATCCAGCAGTCCGCATGGGTAAGGATGTAGGGCAAGGGAGGGGACAGCTCTGGTGAGAGGCCTTCTGAGAGGTGGGTTTCACAGAAAGACAAGGAATCCAGCTCATGTGATTCTTGGAGGCCAGACAAGCATGTGGTTGTCATCAAGTACATTTCCCTACGTTGCTTCTTACAGCATTTACTTATTTATAACACTCTGTCATCTCAAAAGCAATCTCATGTGGCTTTATTATATAGATGTTATTAAAATTGTTCTTGAGCTTTAAATCATTAATGTGAAATGCCCAGTATAGACTGGGATTGCAAAAACAACTATAAATAGATCCATAAATTGAACCAGAACTCTATTTTTTAAAGCTTTTAATTTTGATATAATTTCATATTTACAGAAAAGTTACAAAAATGCCACAAAGAATTCCTGTTTAGCCTGTACCTAGGTTTACCAGTTGTTTTCATTTTGACCCATTTGTTTCATGATGTTATTAGGTACTCTTGAAAGCCAAGGGCAACACTCTAACTCTCAGGCCCAGGCTCAGGAAATGGGTGGAAGAGGTCACAGGCTGGCCCATTTATGTGGCAGTGTCCACACTTCTCCCCAAATTGCGCATCCTCAGGGCTGTTCACACTATCTCTGTTTTTTCATGAAGCAGCATTTTTCACTGACATGGATACTCAGCAACTAGATTTGAACTCACCCATTGGTCTACACTATTTTATAAAGGAGGGAAGTGTTCGGGGGTTAGAGGGGACATGTGATCAGAGGCGAGGTGGTCCTGGAGAGACAGGGGACAGGGCAGGTCAGCAGAGTAGCAGAAAATGTGCTGAGGCAGAAAATGTCACTGAGGCAATTTTCCAGAGGGATGGGGTCACTGAAAGATCAACATGCCCAATTCTAGCTCTGTGATCTTGAACAAAGTGCTAAACCTTTCTGAGCCATTATTTCCTCACTGGTAAGTAAAGAGATTAACATCTACTTCGTTGGGCTTTATGGAATAAGCTGGTGTGTGTAAGGTATCTTACAGTGCCCAGCTCACAATGAGTGCTCAATCATGGTAGTTTTTAATAATGATGAAGATGACGATGGTTAGAATAATAAAAAGAATACCTCGTGAGGTGGAGATGGGAGCCAGAGGCTGGGACCAGCTTGATGCAGCAGGTGGGTTGCTGGTTTTGCCTGCAGACCAGGGAGGAGCACACAGACCTGGATCCCAGGCGGGATTCATGGTTCCCTGGGCATGATGGGGAAGCTGCTGGCGTGGGGAGGACCACGTGAAGAATTCTTCAGCATGAGAGAGCCAAGTTCCTCTGGCCAGGCTCTAGAGGTTGGAGATCTTGGGTAAGAAAAAATTAAAACTGACAGCCATAGAATGCCCCTCTTTTGGCCTGAGGAAGGATGAATTGAATATTTGAGATGCTGGAAGCCCTCCTACATGGTAAGTTCAAAGAACTGAAAGTGTCTCGCTTCTCTGAGGATTCCAAACAGACTTTGCTAAAATGTAATTAAGTTCCAAGTCCCTGGAAATCAATCATGCTCCCAGGAACTAATACCTTGGCTTGTTGATTAGAAGTGAGGGGGAGCCAGGGGCAATTACTCTCTGAGAAGCAAATTCTTGGCTCAGAGATCCAAATGCTCAGAGATCCAAGGACAGAGAGCTGAGGGTGGGGGTGGAGGGTGGGAGTGGGGGTAGGTGTGGAAGTGGAGTTAGGAGAAAGGGTGATGAAGCAGTCTCTGGGAACTGCGGCTAATTACACATGACCTGTTTCTTTGGGCTAAAGTTCTTCATTGGCTACAAAGCCCATCTCCTGATCTATACTTGAGTCTCAGGAGCTTTTCTTTATATTGGGAAGAGACTGAATAGAAGTGATCACTGGATCGCAGGGCTCAATGAGGCCAGCAGTCATTATTTAATGCGTTTCGCTCCTGCCAAGCCAGAGGGAGAGCAAGTGGAGAGACAAGACAGACTGCCAGTTAGCCCCTTGTTGAGAGGCTCCTGAGTGCCCAGCCCTGCCCTGGGCTTGGTACTTGCTCCCAGAACTTGACAAGCATCCCTCTGAAAGGGGTAACACTGATCAGGAATGCAAGAGCCCTGGGTCCAGCCAGAGTTCTGCCTTGAACCAACCACATGACTTTGGTCCAGCTGGCCTTCTGGCCTCAGTTCCTCACCTATAGAATGAAAGGTTTGGACCACACAATCTGTAAGGTCCCTTCCAGCACAGACACTCTTCTCTCCAATTCTTTGCCACAGAGGAGGGGATGGAGGACGGCCTGGTGGTTGAGAGCCAGGGTAAATGCAGAGAGAAATCGGAGAGAGAGAGTACAAAGAGATGAGTTAGATGCAGTAGAGATGATGGATTGAGGGTTGAGGACTGTGTACAGACTCAGAAAACTCAGTCTGCATAGCACATGATGCTGGCTCTGCAGCTGAGGCTCCTGGAGGGCTGAGAGGACAGCAGGGGAAGGGGAGTGAGTCCCATTGTGACCTGAGTACTGATCAGCCTGGTGCTAGATCTCTCAAACTAGAAGAGCAGGCCCAGCTTCATTCAGACCCAGGCCGAACTGTCTGAGCTGCCCTTCTCCAGCTCATGCCTCTGTATCTGGACATGCTGTGGGGAGTGAGGGTAGAGAAAAGGAGAGGAGGGTAGTCAGAAACCCTTTCAGAAGCAGTGCCTCAGTGTCCTTCTTCTTTTGGGGTCTAGGGCAGCTTCAAGTGGGCTCCAGATCTAAAGCCTGCTGATTGTCCATGAGCGGCCTGTGGCAGGGCAGCCCGAGGCAGAGAAAGAGACTAGGCTCAGAGGCAGAGGCTGAGCAGAGGCTGCAGGATGGGCCTGAGCCTAGTGTCAGTGGTGCACCTGACCCAAGGCATCTGTGGACACTTGGCTGTCTATGATCCAAGGCCTGGGCTGGACGGGCCTCAGAGGGTGTGTGTGAAAACACTGGGAGACACTTCAAAGCCCTTGCTATAAACAATGTGAAAAGAAAATCACCATTGTTAACCTTCAAGCCTGGACTCCTGAGCTCCTCTGTCTCCCTCAAGTGGGTTGGCCCCATGCCCTTAGGCAGAATGCAGAAGGCAGCAGCTCCTGTCTCTGAGAGTTTTCGTTCTGGGGTTTCCTCCAAAATTTTGGGCTGGATATCCCTTTGCAGATGAAGCAACTGAGCTTGTCCCACTGAAATGAGTGGCTCAGGGGATTGGTTAAAAGCAGGGACTTGGGAGTCACAAGGACTTTGGTTTGAATCCCAGATCACCCACTTATTAGCTGGGTGACTTAAGGCGATTTCCTTATAATAGGAGACTCATCCTCTCATCTGAAAAATGAGGACAAAACTAATATCCTCCTCATAAAGCTGTTGTGAGGATTAAATGGATCATCTATGTAAAGAGCTTAGCACAGTATCCGGTTCATAATAAGAGGCTGTTAATACTACTGCTACTACTACTATTATTATTATTATTAAGTTCCTGGCAGAGCCAGACCTAGAATTCAGGTCACCTTACTCTAGGTAAGTGCTATTCTGTAACTTCACCTTGGCCTGAGCTGTTTTGGGTTCCTCAGAGGCAGGGCGATGATTGAGATGAACTCTGGACCTTTGAGCTTCAGAGCAGTTCTCCTGGTGTCTGCACTCAACTCTACCTGGGTAGTTCTATATCCCCTACTTCCATTTCCCCACCTCTCAGAGCCATATATGAGTGGGCTGAAGGCCTTCTGACCTCCCCTTTCACACATGGCAGCTGCCTCTCACTGGGCACACCTGAGTCTTTCTCCTGACCTGCTGTTTGTTCTGGGCCATTGAGGGCTGTTTGCTTTCCTAAGCCAAGCTGCCAATGGCCAATTTTCCATGAATCATAATCGCCTTACCCCATTAGGCAGGATAATTAAGATAGGATGGTGGGCCGTTTGCTCAGCACACACAGGAATCAACAGCTGTCCTGGCTCTCCAGAGAACCCCAGTATCTGTCCACAGCTGCAGCTGCCTCTCTCCCCATGAAACCTGGCATCATTCCCCCACCCTGGGGGATTGGAGGGGGTGGCAAACTGTCTACAGTCCCTGGGGTCCTTCAGGGAATTCCACAAGGTATTACTGAGCACAATTGCAGGAGATGAGCTGCCCAGTTTGCTGAGAGCTGGTTGTAACTAACATTTACTGGTATTAATTTACATCCATTGAATACCTCCTGTGTGCCAGGCCCCATGCTAAACATATTACATAGATGATCTCATTTAATCCTCACAACAGCCTTCTAACATTGCTATTGTTATTAACCCCAATTTACAGATGAGAAAACTGAGGCTGTCAGAGGTTAAATAAAGTACTCAAAGATAGAGCTGGGATTTGAATTTTGGCAGTCTGACTCCAGAGTCTACGCTCTTAATTGCCTCTTCTTTGTCTATGTGTAGGAAGTACAAATGTTAAATAGTTTTTCTTCTTTTTCACCATTTTCCTAAATAGTATTTTTATCTACAAATTCCATTCAGGCAACTCCTGCCTTGGAGGGCATGGTGCTGAAACCTTGGTTATTCTGTAATTAACAGAAGGTTACAGATCCCCTAGCTCCTTGGTTATATCCTGAAGACAGTTAAATGAAGAAAGCTAAAAATGTTGAAGGAAAAATAATACTGTGTTATGAAACCAAAGAGAAATCACTTCGAGGTATGTGTTGTTTTTGGATTATCCATCAATGTGGATAATCAAGAGCTGACTATATTTTTATGCACAACTTAATCTGCACCTTCTAAACAACTTCTGCAGTACAATTTTGGACAACAAATTGTTTCAGATGAGAGATTCTTGCTCCTCCTTGAAAACCATTCTTCATTTAGAATTATCCTCGCTGCCAGCCATCAGGGCTGACAAGAAAGCAGAGACTTAAGCTGTTGCTACAAATCCTGGCCCTTGGCTGTCCCTCATTTGCTCATCACAGATTCTCTTTGTATCTCCTCCTTCAGGAGATGTCCTGAGCAGGGAGGAGGAGCTGGTGCAGCATTATGGCAGGCTTCAAAGCTTTGCACGAGTCTTCCTTTCATCCTCCTGGAGGCATTTGCTTATTTGAGGAGCCCTTAGCCAATTCTGGAAATGGGGTCAGTTCAGGGGGGGCCTCAGAACAGCTGGGATCGAACCAGCAGCTTATTCTTCAGGCAGAGCTCCCTGGTGTGAGACCACACCAGGAGGGCCTGGCCACCTGCTGTTGTTTCCTTGAGCCCAGGCAGCCTGTGGGTAATAGGGCCATTTCTCCAGGAAAAAGAAAGTGGAAAGTGCGATGGGCACCTATGCCAAAGCAGACTTGGAGTTTGGCATCCTGTAGACCTTGATTTACGTAATTGATCTTTTTACAGCTCCTGGAAGAGGGAGCTATCTCTCCTAACTATGGGTGAAGAAACTGAAGCTTGAGGAGGTTGCCACTTTCCCAAGGTCACACAGCTTGTCAGTGGTCTATTTGGGATTTGAACTCCAGTGCAATGCCAGAATCCTTGTTCTTTACTTCTGTGGGGCACCACTTCTCTGCACCTGCCATTTGGTCTTCATTTGGGAGGCTTCCTTTAGATCCAGTTCCAGGCAAAACTGTGATTCCTCTTTTCTTGGATTGGACTGGCAGGTGCCCCTCAACTTCATGGAAGTGAAGAAAATTGTATCAGAAACATTATAAAACCATCTTCAAAAGAAGATGAAATTAGCTGGGCAACTTTGAAGCATAAGGTGTGTTTATTCTTCAAAGTTGCATGGTACAAGAAAAGTCAAAAAACTTTTGTCATGTAGAAAATACAAAAAGTAAAGTGTGCTTTGGTGTCACTTGGCTGATAATTTTCAATACTATCACGTCTACACAGCTTGTAGTCTGCCCTTGTGCCCATGCAGCTTTGCTCTTTTGTAATAGCAAATACTAATAATAGCAAGCACATATATAGCACTTGTAATGCGCCTGTGGCTGACTGTTCTAAGAGCACTTGCTTTGTAACTTACTAGCTTCATAACTAACTTAGTCTCCACCACAAACCCATGAGACAGATACTATTATCATCCTCAATTTACAGAATTTACAGGTGAGGAAAGTGAAGCACAGAGCAGTTAAGTAACTTCAAGGTCATGCAGCAAGTAAGGGGCAGAAGTGGGATTTGAACTTGGGCACTGCGATTCCAGAGTCTGTGTTCTTAACCATGCTTATATAAACTCTTCGTCAGCTTTGTATCACTTCAGTGCACAAGTTTCTTGCTCTGCTTTGGTGGTGTATTCTGTTGGGTGCGACCCTTCAGCTGGGGTCCCTCGCTTGGATATTGTACTCTGCACTTAGCATTTCTGTCTGAAGGCAGCTGTTGTATTGATGATGGAGCTGTGCGCCCCAGGGGCCTTGGCTTTTCCTTCTCCCTGTGTGCAGCCCAGTGCTGCATCTTGCCAGGACCTTGCATGCTTGCCCCTCTACTCAGGAGGAACACTTGCTTCTTTGATAAATGCATTTTGGCCGCACATCCTGTGCTGGCTCTTGTCTAAGCGTTAAGAGGTGTGGAAGCAACACAAAGCCCACTGGGGACCTCTCCTCTCTCCTGTACCCTCTGCCCAGCTCCATCCTTTTCCAGAAGTCAAGGAAAATCGAAGATCCAGGGCAACCTTGAAGGGAAAAGTGATCACAAAGCAGCAGCCTGAGGCAGTTGTGGGCAGGGAGACAGCAGCCCCAGCCTTTGGTTGCAGTGAGCGGCTGGATGTGCTAAGGAGTCCCCAGGCAGCTGGGGACCCCAAGTCTCTGCAGCCTCAGCTCTGGCTAGACAATGTGCTTCTAGAGAGTGGGCCCCAAATCTGAATCATTTCTGGGCCTTTCAATGTGTCTAGCACAGAGCAGACCTTTAGTAACCATGTTCTGGATGAGCGAATTTGCCCCTTAGTCACTGTTTGGTGCTCAGGATTTCTCAGGGAGTCTTGGGGCCTGCATTAGCCACAGTCTCCAAAAGAAAATGGGTTCATCTCAGATGGTTCATCCCAGATGGTTAAAATGAAGAGGACTTAACTTAGGAATGATTTACAGAAGTGAGGGCAGCATGGAGGGAAAACAAGAAATGGCGAGGCACCTAGAGACAAGCTGCACTATCCCTAAGGCTGGAGAGATGGGACTGAAGT
Organism: Homo sapiens; assembly: GCF_000001405.40. Lineage (NCBI taxonomy): Eukaryota > Metazoa > Chordata > Mammalia > Primates > Hominidae > Homo > Homo sapiens. The sequence goes on along the minus strand of NC_000001.11, from coordinate 112,244,101 downwards.
GGGGTAGAGAATGGTGCCCCTGGAGCAACTGTGCAAAGGAGGCCACTCTGCAGGAGCTACAGCCATGCAGGGATAGAGCCAGAGACGTGGCCCTGAAACAGGCAGGGTATAGGGAAGAAATGCCCTGACTTTTCTCTCTTCCCATATTCTGAACTCTGCCAGCTGTTCCTGCTTTGGCCCCCCTACAAACCCTACTGGATGCACAGCAAGGGAGCCTGGTGAGACAGTCCTCTGGTGTCAGCCTCCTGGGGCCTGAAGGGTGGAGAAAGGATGGGGAGAGGGATCAGGATATGGTCCTTCCTGTCTCTCCTGTCCACGCCCACTGACCACTGGCAGGAGGCCTTTCACTTCTCCTCTGCAGGAGGATGATTCTAGGAGCAGCCAGATCCTGGGGGCTTGGCCTGCTTTGGAGGAATCAATCCCTCCCTCTCCTCTCCTTTCTCCCTCCTTCCTTCATGCTCTTCTTTTCTCTTGCCCTTCATTTAGACTCCACATTTTACAGGCGTTACTTGTCCCTCTGACTCTGGGCACCCAGGCACTGCTTCTCTCGTCTCCTCCTTCTCAGCCTTTCTTTCCCATCTTCCGGTTCACTGAAAGAACCTTGGCTGCTAGGCCAGCCCTGGACCAGCCCAGAGCCAGGGGTAGCTTCTGAGCCAGGGATGGGAAGTTGCTACAAGCCAGAGTGTGTGGCAGCCTGGATGGTCAGGCTCTCTGCTCAGCTTCCCACTCCCCCAAACCAAAGCCACAGGCCTCTGGGTAGCAAGTAACCACCTGTGTTGCTGAGCACCACAGCTCTGGGCCCTTCTCCTCCACTATGGAAGAGGAAAGCAAGTGGTTCTGTATGTCTACAGATTTTTCTCAAAGAGAATTTTGCTGGGGAGTGGGCAGGGGAGGGGCCAGAGTAGAGCCATAGCATATATCTCTTTGTAGCCTAGGAAGAAGTTGAGCAAAAGAACCACTTTTCCAGTGGCTAGCCCGGTGGGGCTTCCATTGCTTTGTTCATTCGTTTGTAAATGTTTCTGGAGCACCTACTATGTGTCTACCACTGTGCCAGACCCTGAGGATTCAGAGATGGCTGTTGCTTCTGACGGGCGATGGCCCTGTTTAGTGCCTGTGGGTGTATTTTGCCAACTTGAGCTCATTCTAATGTGTACCATACAGGCTCTTACTGATATCAGGTGATGGGACTCAGCCTGCAGTCAGCCAGATTTTGTGCATGTGGGTAAAGAGAAGCAGGAGAGAAATTTCCTATTTCCTAGAAATTGTGTGACTCTGGACAAGCCACCTAGCTTCTCTCTGTGGCTTCTCTATCTGTGTGAAAGGTATACCTTTCCTTTGAGGAATTATAACTTTCCCATCCCATGGGGCTGTCAATCATGAGGCTTTGCCTCCTACATTGGAGGGCACTTGACACAGGCTGGCCAACCAGAGTACCCCATTCATCCATCTTGCACAATGATTCCTCTCAATGTAGGCATGGAATCCTGCCGGTGTCAGTGGGTTTTCTTCGACTGTTTCCCCACCTCCCAAACCGGCCTTTCTTAGTCGTCCTTATCTGAGTTGATGATAATTCTAGCATTCCTATTGCTCAGGCTCGAAATCTTGTAATCATTCTGGACACTTTTCTGTCAATCCACATCCCAGTCATTATTAAGTCATTTTGGCTCTATTTCAAAACATGCTCCAAATCTTACCACTGTCCCACTCTGGTGGAAGCCACCATGATCTCTGCCTGGGTTACTACAATAGTCTGCTAGCATCAGTCACGCCCCCTACAGTCAAGTCAGTTCCAGGAGCCAGTGTGAGTTTGTTGTTGTTGTTGTTGTTGTTGTTGTTGTTGTTGTTTTTGAGACGAAGTCTTGCTCTGTCGCCCAGGCTGGAGTGCAGTGGCACGATCTCGGCTCACTGCAACCTCCGCCTCCCAGGTTCAAGAGATTCTCCTGCCTCAGCCTCCCGAGTAGCTGTGATTACAGGCGCCTGCCACCACGCCTGGCTAAATTTTTGTATTTTCAGTAGAGACGGGGTTTCACCGTGTTAGCCAGGATGGTTTCGCTCTCCTGACCTCGTGATCCGCCCGCCCCGGCCTCCCAAAGTGCTGGGATTACAGGTGTGAGCCACCGTGCCACGTCTATTGTGAGCTTTTTAAAATGCATGTCAGGTCATGTCATTTCTCTGCCTCAAACTCTTCAGTGACAACCCATTTCCCTTTCTATGTGGCCAAAGGTATAATGCGCCTCCCAGTCACGCCCATTATTTCTCTGATCCTGTAATCTCTACTTCCTTCTCTCTCGCTCTGCTTAGTCACACTGATCCTTTCTTTGTGCATCCATCATGCCAGGCATACTTCCACTTCAGGCTCTGTGCATAGGCTGTTCCCTTTGCCTGAAATGCTCTTCCTCCACATACCTGCGTTGCACCCTCCTTTGCCTCCTTCAGCTCTTTGCTCCCATGCCAGCCACTTTCTCGGTGAGTTCTTCTCTACCCTCTACCTCCAATTTATAACATAACTCCTGGCACTCTTATCTCCCTTCCTTGTTTTATTTTCCTTGTGATTATCACTATGTTGCATACTATACATTTTACCTACTCATTTAGCTTTTTATTTGTTCTCCACCCTTCTTCCAATAGAACGTTTTATTCCATAAGAGCATGGGATTTACATTTGTTTTGTTTATGGCTGTATCCCTGGTGCCTGACCACGATAGGGGCTCCCTGCATCCTGTTGAAAGAATAAATAGACTTGACATATCGGCTCTGGGAGAGGGAGTCTCTGCTCCCTGCTCAGAATGAGGGCTTGGGGCTGTTCTCTCTCCCACTGTGTGGAGAGCACCTCCCTGAGTGTGTGTTCCCAGGCACAAGGAACGCAGATGGAGGCATCAAGTCCTCAAGACACAGCATGTCCTCCTGGACCTGGCCAGCTCCACCCTGGCTTCCCAATCCCTCCAGAAACCTCCTCTTTGGCATAGCTGGTTTGAGTTTGGGTTGATCACTTTCAACTGAATGAACCCTGGCCAAAAAAGTCTTGGCCCTTGGGAATCATGAGAATTTAGCCAAGTGACAGGGTCAAGACACTTGGAACAGGAGCCTGGCATTGAGGCAAGCGTTGGTATACATTCTGTGGAGTTCTTTCACCCCAGACAGGCAGGGTAGAGTATTCTGGCTATGAAAGAACACTTCTGAGAGCAGAAACTAAACTTCTTCTGCTCTGCCCTATGCAAATCTACTAAAGACAGACCTTCTCTGTCTGTTACTCAGGGCCATACAGGAAAGAAAATGCAGGCTGGTAGTTCTCACCTGATTCCAGCCCCTTAAGCCTTCCAAGACCACTGCAAGTGACACAGGGAGGAGGTGCCCTAGGCACATGAAAGACCTTGACCATGATGTCTGAAAACCTAAGCCAGGATCTTGGCTCTGCTATCCCAGCTGCATGGCCTTGAGCACGTCTCTGCATCTCCTTGGCCTCAATTTTTCTCATCTGTAAGGTGAGAGGGATGAAATAAATTACTCTCAAAGTTCTTTTCCACATAACATTCAATGGAAGCAGTAGAGCATTATGGTTAAATACGTAGACTCTGGGGCCAGGCTGCCCAAGTTCAGTTCTATTGCTTACTGCAAGCTTAACTTCTGAGCCTCAGTTTCCTCATATTAAAATGGAATACAAAATGATACCTACCTCATGGGGTGGTTATAAGAATTAAATGAATAGAACACATAGAGGGCACAGAAGTAAGCTAGGCATATACTAAGTCCTCAAAAATATTAGCTACTATTATTATTTACCATTATTGAAAGAATTTACCCTGGATCCTGGAATGATTTCTGCTTCATCTGTAAAGGTGACCCCTTCCAAAGGCAGAGCCCTTTTCCCAGGGGTTGCAGCTCCCCCATCTTTGCATGAGCACTGACCATTCTCTCCCTCTCCTGTAGTGTCTGGAGGCAGCAGAGTGCCCTGAGGGCCAGGAGTCAGCTTCCCCACCTCCGGGCTGAAGGCTGGGGCTGGCTTCACTCACTTAATTTGGAGAATTTCCATAGCCCTTTTAGCATATTTTGCTTGGGCTAGCTTATTTTCGCCAACCATACATCTTATCACTGTCATAAATTTTTATTCCTATGGACATGTCTAAACTTATGGGTTGAAATAACGTAATTTACATGCTGTTTAGTATGCAGATTGGGTTAATCTGCTTCTGCAGATTCACCACCAGGCCTGTGTAGCCTCTCTCTCCCTCCAGGACCTCAGCCTGATTTGAATATTGCATTCTGTTTTGTGTGGGGCGGTGAAAGATGTGTGGATCACAAGCCTCCCCTAGACAGCTCCAGCACCCCACTCCCTGCGCCTGCGGTCCACCCTGCACACAGCTCCCCCAGGCAGAGGCCTCCTTCCCACTGCATGTCACTCCCACAGACTCCCCATCTCAAGGCTAAAAAGCCATCAGCAACCAGGTGAGCTCTCTTTTGTCTTAGGCTGCATTCTGAGATGAGGATTTCAATGTGAATGAATCCAGGGGACATTGAACCCAGGAAGCACTGGCAGGTACAGAAGGGAAGAAAGCCAAAACAATGTGTCCTGGAGCAGGTTAACCCTGTGGGCATGTGGGCTCAGTCCCACTGGGGACTCCGGGAGATGGTTTTGAACATGACTCAGAGTTGTCCCATAGAAAGGGTGAAGAAGCCAGGGTCTTTATTCTTTAACTCCTCACCATCATTTGCTGGATCCATGGTCCTTATTCTCTAACTGCTTGCCATCATTTGCTGAGGGCTGTTGGCTGAGGGGTATTAATCCTTGCCCACCGCCCCCGTGCATCTGACCTGCCCCATGTGCAGGCTGAGGAAAGCCTTCAGGAAGGGGTGATAGGTGTTCTCAGAAGGACGTCATTGGCACTTACCTGAATAAAGAATGACAAGGAGATATGAGTGGGGTGCCCTGTTCATAGCCTCTCTTTCCCATTTTCAGCCTGATTCTCCCTCACTTCACCTAGGCTTTGTATCCATTTCATTTCCTCAAGGAGGCCTTTCCTAACTCCCCTATTTGAGACAATGCCTTCTCATGCTTTATCCTCCTTTACTGCTTGTTTTTCTATCTGTGTGTTTTTTTGTCTGAGTCATTTTAGTGTGGGAAAAGACAGTAAGCAGACAAATATTTAATATATCAGGCAGTCAAGGGCATGACAGAGAAAATTAAAGCAGGAGAAGAAGACTTAGGAATGTCATATGGGGATGGATTGCTATTTTATATGGGACAGAGGCGTGTGTCAAGGTTGTCCTCTCCAATAAGACATCAGTGAGCTGGGAGAGACCTTTAGCAAGTGAAGGAGTGAGCTGTGCAGAAGAGCTTTCCAGGCAGAAGGAACAGCAGGTGCAAAAGTCCCAAGGGGGACATATGTTTGACTCATTTGAGGCTAACATTGTGGGAGCACAGCATTTGAAGGGGAGAGGAAGGAAATGAGGAGGAAGATGGAGAGGAGAAGGAGAGGTAATAGGAGGTCTGATTATATAAGACCCTGGAGGTCTTGGTAAAGACTTTGGATCTGTGTGTTAGTCAGGGTTCTGCAGAGAAACAGAATCAACAGGGTGTATATATAAACAGACTTATTGTAAGGAATTAGCTCATGCAATTATGCGGTTTGACAAGTCCCAAGATCTGCTGTTGGCACCCTAGAGACCCAGGAGACTCAGTGGTGTAGTTCTAGTTTGCATACTGGCAGGCTGGAGACCTGGGAAGAACCAATATTTTAGTTTAAGCCTGAGGGGTGGAAAAAAGCCAGTGTTTCAGCTCAAAGGCAGTCAGGAAGGAGGAGTCCCCCTTACTTGTGGAAGGATCAGCCCTTTTGTTCTAGTCAGCTTTCAACTGATTGGATGAGGCCACCCACACTGAGAAGGGCAATTTGCTTTACTATCAACAGATCCAAATGTTAATGTCATTGAGAAACACCTTGACTGACACACCCAGAATAATGTTTGAGCAAACATCCGGGCTCTCCATGGCTCAGTCAAACTGGCACATCATACTCTGAGTGAGATTGGAAGACACTGTAAGTTTTACAGATAAGTGGTGTAATTTGACTTATGTTTTTAAAAATTACTCTGGCTGCTATGTGAAGAAAAGTCTGCAAGGGGCAAGGGTTAATCAGGGACAATTTTTCAGAAGCTATTGCTATAATTCAGGCAAGTGATGGTGGTGGCTTGGGGCAGGGAGACAGTGGGTGGAGGTGGTGAGAAGTGGTTAGATTCTAGATGTATTTTGAAGGGAAAACCTGCAGGATTCATTGATGGGTTGGAATGTAAAATGTGACAGAAGGAGAGGCATCAAGGATGATACCAACGTTTGGGGCCTGAGTAATCAGAGGGTAGGAGGTTCCATTAATTGAGATGTGGAAGACTGTTGGACCAGCTGGTTTGATCAGGATAAATCAGGTGTTAGGTTTTAAATACGTCAAGTTCAAGATGTCTGTTTATGTTTAAGCAAGAATGTAGAGCAGGCCATGGGATATGTTTGACTGGAATTCAAAACTCTGATGTAGTTTAGTTCAGTTTGGCAATCAATAAGTACTTCTTGGCCAGTCGCATTGCCTCACACCTGTAATCCCAGCATTTTGGGAGGCCAAGGTGGGAGGATCGCTTGAGCCCAGGAGTTCAAGACCAGCCTGGGTGACATCGTGAGACCAGTCTCTACAAAAAAATTTCAAACTTAGCTGGGTATGGTGGCACATGCTTGTAGTCTCAGCTACTCAAGAGGCTGAGGCAGGAGGATCACTTGGGCCTGAGAGGTCAAGGCTGCAGTGGCTGTGCCACTGCACTCTGGCCTGGGCAACAGAGAGAGACCCTGTCTAAAAAAAACAAAAACGTACTTCTTGAGTGAGTGATTATGAGACCAGTCAGATTTGTCCCATGAGTCTCCAATGACCTTCTGCATATCACTAATCCTTGTAGTCCAGAGAGGCCACCTCCAGCAGGTGACATCAGTCTCTGCTCTAGAACTAGGACTCATTAAACTGTTTGCCATGATGCTCTTGCTAATTATTTGACCTGGTAGAGACAGGTAGAATCTAGACAAGTGTCTTTCACTGGCATTGTAAGCTTTTAAAACATTCTATTGCTCCATTCCCAGATTCTGATTCAGTTGATCTGGGGTGAAACTTGTACATTGGTAGTTTCAAAAGATCCTCAAGTAATCCTCTGGATCCTAAAGCCTGTCCAGAGACTGAGAACTATTATTCTAGGGGTCTGCCTTAACTGACCTTCTGTACTTCACTGTTTGTTTGTTGTGACTTTAAAGAAAAAGTCAGCCCTTGGCTGTTCACGGTGGCTCACGCCTGTAATCCCAGAACTTTGGGAGGCCGAGGTGGGTGGATCACCTGAGGTCAGGAGTTGAAGACCAGCCTGGCCAACATGGCGAAACCCTGTCTCTACTAAAAATACAAAAAATTTAGCTGGGCGTGGTGGCAAGTTCCTGTAATCCCAGCTACTCGGGAGGCTGAGGCTGGAGAATCGCTTGAACCCAGGAGGCACAGGTTGTAGTGAGCTGAGATTGCGCCATTGCACTCCAGCCTGGGTGACAAGAGCGAAACTCCATCTCAAAAAAAAAAAAAAAAAAAAAAAGTCAGCTCTTTTGTCAAGGCTCCAGAAAAATTACAAAGTCTTAGAAAGGAGTGTTTGAAAAAAAATCCCACCAATTAGAAGAAGAAAAGTTCTGTGCAAAAAGATATTTGGTATAGCATTATTTTTAATAGTGGTAACTTAAAACCACCAAATGGAATATTATACAGCCAGAATCATTTTGTAGACAGTATAGTAACTTGCAAATATGTTATGAGAGAAGGTTAAGTAAAAAAGCAATATGCTAAAATGTGTCTACATTATGAGTGCAACCATGCAAACTTATGCATGCATATAAATAAAAGACTTTAGGGGAACAAAGAAAAATGAAAGCAGTTGATGTGTTAGTATAATAGTATAGCGGATGATGCTGCTTTCCCATTTAAATGACTGCTTTACTGTTGTTAGGGTGTTTACGTAGTGAGCAGGAGAAATAAAGAAATGGCAGTGTTGCTCCAAGCACACAGCCATATTCCCTGCCTCTCCAGGAAAGGTCCTTAGGTTTTATCTCACTATCTCTGAAACAGCGGGATCAACCTCTGGACTCACTGGGGAACCTATTCTATGTCAATTAGATGCCTAATGTATGCCAGCACTGTGCTAGCTACTGAGTTGAAACTGGGTTAGGGGATACATGAATCAGTCATTGTTCTAGAGGAGCTCACTGTAGAGATGGAGAAATTAATGTATTGTAAGCAAACCATTATAATAATTGTAAGATAATGCCATGAGTATGATGACAATGGCATGAACAAAGTTCTGTGCAAACTCAGTTAAATCTGCTCCAGGACCCCAGGGTGTTGAAAAGAGGAGGTGACATTTGATCTTAGTCTTGAAGTTAGAAAAGGGATGGGGGTAAGGGGAGTAGGGAGGAACAGATATTCCAAACAGAGTGTGTAAGGACAAAGAGCCATAAAAGGCATGGAGTGTTTAGAAAACGGCAAATAGGTTTGGATGGAATATTTATTATTTATTAATTTACTCAACAAGTAATTGTTGAGTATTTGTTGTGTGCCAGGTGTTGACTTAGATATTGGGAAGACCAAGAATTATGAACCTTGTCTATGCCTTGAATACTAATCATAATAATAGCAAATATTTATTGAGAGCTTACTAAATGCTTTATATGTATTAACCCATGTATTCTTCCTGATAACTGCTGGAGAGGGTACCATTCTTATTCTCATTTACAAATGATGAAATTGAAATTTAAGGTAAAAGACTTGTTCACAGTCACACATTTGTCATGCAGTGGCGCCCCTAGAGATCACAGTCTAGTGGAGGAAACAGACAAGGAAACATGAAAGCAGAGTGACAAGTCTAAGATGGAGGTAAGGGAGCTCTGAGTAAGGGCCTAGATGCTGTCAAAGTAGAGTTCTTGGAGAAGATGACTTAAGCGGAATCCTGGAGGATGAGTGAGCATTAGACATGGAAAGTGGGAGTGTGAGAAGGAAAGACAAGAGCTTTACAGTCATGATGGGTGATGAAGCTGGCGAGGTTGGTTGGGGCCAGTTTAGGAAAGGCTTGAACATCCTGCTACGGAGTTGAGCCTTTCTTCTATAAGTAATGATGAACTAACAAGCTTTTTTGATCTGTTTTTAATCAGGAGGCTGAGTGACTTGGGCAATGATTCAGCAATACCAACTGTGAACTCTCAATGACTTGGGCTAATGAGAAGAATGACATGGATAATCTAAAAATAATGGACAACTGGAAAAAACATCAGCCTGCTTGTGGAGCACACCAGGTCATGATTTCTGCAGTGGGGGAGGAGCTGATTTGCTTCATTCATTCTAGAACCTCTATTCTAGCTGATGTTAAATCTGGTTGTTTTTGAGAGCACTCATAGCCATCATGCCCATCTCTGTATCACAGGGGTTTGGGAAAAGAAACTCTTCTGGCCAAGGATGGAAGAATAAAAACATAACTGAGTTCCAGATATGCTAATGTTTTCCACTATTGCATCTCTAAGATATCAGTAGGACCTGGAAAGGTGGCAATGACCTCATGGCTCCCAGGTGCTGGGGTTGCTGCAATGGCTGGAGCTGAGAAAAACTTGAAGGTTTTAGAGAAGCTCTGCTTCCAAATGAAGGGTGCAGAGTAATTAATGCCCCAAGCTACATGGAGTGGCCAATTGAAGAAGCTATAAAAGTTGGAGCAGTGCAGGAAGCAACATGCCTGGGAAAGGGGATTTTTTTGCACTTTTTATTGCAATAATGCAGGAACATTCTATGAATAGAATCCAGGGGAGCCATCAAGTCCATGTTCGGGTGACTGTAAGGGGAGGGATTTTGATCCTCTTCCGAGACAGCTGTCTTCAGGCTCAGGCACAGATCACATTATTTTATTAGAGCCTTCAGTAGTTAAGAGAAAGTTCTTGGTTGAATTGGGAAAGGGACCTAAAAATAACTGTAAAATTTTGAGCTAGCTCTGCCCCTTTCTGTACTAGATACAATCCTGGATGTAGAGAATCAGAGACTTGAGGTTAAGACCTAGCTCTGGCACCAACTTGGACAAGTCACATCACCTATCTCCACCTATCTCCTTCACTGTGAAATGAGAGGATTGGAATAAATGATATCTAAATCTCCCCTGGCCTCCATTGTTTCTGCTTTGTGGATGCCGTTTTATGGATTGAGAAATCAAAGTCTATTGATGAAAATGATTGCAATGTGCAGATTCACTTGGAACACAGAAAGACTCAGAGAGCTGGTCAGTACCAAAGGAGGTTGGAGTGCTTTGCCTTGAATGCAAGAAATAACGATGTGCAATGTCATGGAGAATTTTAAAACAATAATAGATACAAGAAAAAGTCGGTCTGCTTTTTATTATCACCATGCACTGACAGTTCTAAGCAATGTCAGTGATAAAATATTCCTCACCTTGATGGACAACTCTCCCCATCCTCCATCCTTGGTATACCACTGTTTATCTGTACAATTCTCTTTTTATTCAATGCTCTTTCAATTCCTCTCACTACACAGGAAGAAAATCTCTTTAAGGAGCTCTTTTTTTTTTTTTAACATTTTTCTTTCTCTCTCTTTCTTTCTTTTTCTTTCTTTCTTTTTTTTTAACCACTTCTTAGCATTGATTTATCCCTAGTAAAGAAGAATGATGAATTACTTTGAGTTACTTCTTTAGTAAGAAAGGTATGCTATAGGAGAGAACTGGAAAGGGACCAAGGAAGCAGGGACAATAAACATGGAGAGACCAGAATATGGAATGAGGTGTGGAATGGGTACAGAAGGCTGGGTGGCTTGTGGGTCAAGTCCTGAACACATGGCTTGTGGACAGGGTGTGGACAGCTCCCTGAAGGCCCAGGTTAGGTTGGGCATGTGGTGCATGAAAACAGACCCTGCCTGCCTCTCAGCTCAGATTTCTCAGATTTCCAGCACCCCGGCCCTTTCCTGGGGCTTCCCCTTGCCTCCCCTCAGGTGGATTTCCTAAGAGTGAACCCTCTGTACTACACCTGCAGTCACACCACTCGCCATCCTTCTCTGAGTTGGATTTCCTCTCCACCCTGCCCTGGTGTCTAGAATATGAAAAGGCTTTGCCACCCTGGGGACTTGCATATCCTGCATTGGTGCCTCCCTTTTGCAGGCCTGGCCCCCTTGGTGTTCAACCTTCTGCGAGCTAGCACCTGCTGCAGGGTGCATTTGCGTGCTCCAAGGAGCCATTCCTGTGACAAAATAATCTATGCACATTCTTTGGGGGCTGAATGGGCTGCTCTGGAGAACAACAGAGGGGACCCCCAGAAAAATATGAGTGTGGTGGAGGAAGAGGCTGAAGGCAGGGTGTTAACCCTAAAGATAGAGATCTTTGTCCTCTCAAATTAAATAAGAAGTTTTGGGTTTTTGTTTGTTTGTTTGCAAAGTGAGAACCCAGTTAGTAGCAATTAAATTGACAACCCAATTCAAACCAGTCCAAACTGAAGCCATGAGGGCCAAGTTCTAGTTTCTTACAGATTTACAATTTGCTAAATTTTCTCTTTGACACACACATCAGACACATATTCCCTCTGGCACATTCAGTTTCTAATTGTTATCCTAAGATGATTTATTTATTCTTACAGGAAGAGAAAAGAAAGGGGCAGCTTTTACCGAAGTTTGTCTTATTTCTTTCACTCTTTCTTTTCTGATTATAAAAGCCACACATGTTTACCATAGAAAGCTTAGCACATGAATATTCTAAACAGAGATAAATACTTCCTATCAACCCCATCATTCAGAGATGACCACTCTCCATTTGCAGCTGTGGTTGACATGGAATCGTCTGGGGAGTTTTATTGGCAAGAACTTGCTCTATTCAGCTGAGCTTTTCCTTAAGAAGACCCCTGAGGTACCAGCCCTCTCTGAGCCTAGTGGAGGGGGACTTTCTGTTCATGCTGAGGCCCCTTCCCAGCCTGACAGAAGCTTCTAGCTCTTCCTTAGTCAGTTCCCTGCAGGTCTGGGAACCTTGTGCTAGTTCTGTTCTCTGGCCTCTGTGCTGTCACCTGTGAAGCTGTGTCCTTTGATTTCCTCTTGCAATCCTCTTGTTGCTCACAGCTGGCAACCTTCATAGTCATTCACACTCACACACAGCATTTCTTCATTTATTCACATTAAGTCATTTCACACTCATTTTAATAGTTATTATTCACAGTACTGTTAGTTTATAGCACCGCACAACATTATAATGTTGTAGTGAACAGTCGTCATTTCTTTGTGCTGCTCAGCCAGCTACGCACCATTCTGGGTTTGGGACCTCCCCACCCACCTGCCTGCTGGGTGTGCAGGCTGCTCTTCTTTCACGATGGAAACCAAAGGGGGGAGTTCCTCTCTCCCAGCCCAAAGGCCATGCAGGAGCCAGCCTGTGATCTTGGTTCAGCCAAACAGGCAGTACCATCTCACACTTTGACTCTTAAGAGAACTTTGCTAAGAATCTGGAACAGGTCAGACTTTCCTTATGGTGGCGGCAGAGCCTTTGAGATTTGGCAGTCAGCCCTGTTGGTTTTGAGCACCCCTAGGCTGTGGTGGCCTAGGGCAGCACAGACACTGCCCTACCCATATGGGTCCTGAGGCCCTGGCTAGTCCCCACTGGCCATCCTGGGTTTCCATCGTGTTTCTGGGCCTTGTTCTCCAGCTTTCTGTTGATTCTGTGAGTTATCTGATATTCTTCAAAAATATTCCTTTTCATTTAATGCTAGCCAGAACTGCTTAAAGAACCCTATACTGTTTGACTTTTGTCTTAAAGTTTGAAACGTTACTTAGTAAGTCACAACATACTAATTTGAATTTCATTTGTAACATAACTTCTCTTTCCCTAGGCCACATAAGTCAGGGAGATGGAGAGAGAAACAGAGGGGACAAAAATATAGTCACAACAGTATTTACCTGGCTTCATTTCACCCTTAGCTGCAATTGTCCGGAACTCAGGTCCTGCCTCCTAAGATCCTCCACAATAGCATTTCTGCGCTTCTCACTGCCTTGTAGCCCTGTAGCCTTCTGCTTGTCTATCTCAGAGACTGCTGGTAGTGCTGCTTTTGTAAGGGTTTTCTTCTTCCATGGCCCATTTGTCTGTGGGCTATCTGGCTTGCTTGAGTCATATCCACTAATCAACTATTAAGGCTGATTCTTCTCTTTGGAAGACCCAGAGATTTCAGCTATGATTCTGGGCTACACTTTGAGCCTCAGAAATGACCATGTGTTTAGTGGTGACCTCACGGGCAAATGCCGCAATACTTTTCTGGTGCCTGTCTGCCTAAGTCTTTTCTTCTCTGTCACTCCAGTTCTGCTTGTCCCCAGGGATATGATTTTCAAGTCTCATGATCTTATGTCAAGTCACATCCAATATGATCTGACGGGTTGGGGAGCAGGGCAGGGTCGGATGATCTGGAATGACTGCCTCCTGTGCTGGAATAAGCGATAAGCAGACAGGCCCCTCCGCAAGTGCTGGGAGGAACGCCAGTGCCGCAGGTAGAACACAGCATGAAAGGGGTATGTGGAGGACGACAGGCCCGGAGAAATCCTGTCTCAGGCCAGAGTGGAAGGCCAGAATGTGGACTTTTCCAAGCAAGCAGGTTTTGCAACATCTCTAGGAACCTAGGAGCCAGCAGTGAACAGGAGTCTAGGTAGGCAGATGGGAAGCAGCGTCCTAGACACTCAGCTAGGGTTTGGGACCAAGAATGCAGAAATGAATAGCTCCGGGTTGGGGGTGGGAGGTGTGGCACAGAACTAGGACACATCTGTAGAAAAGTATTTTTCTCGAACCATATCTGTATTTTAGGTATTCCAAGTCTAAATATTCCATGGTTAAAAAAGTTTGGAAATTATGGAATTTTAAGTTCTTCTCTTGGAGATTCATGATTCACAAGACTATACAAGACGCTGAATCCTATGATTACAAACAAAAAAACAAAACCAAACCTGTTTAGTAGGTAAACAGGGTTATGTAGGCAGAAGACATTTTCTTTTTTTAAATTACTTTTTTCAAATTCATGAGCATTTGAAGTGGCAGCCAGCTGAGTCACAAAATTGCTTTTAAAAAATTATGATTATTTTGTAATTATAAAACTGCATATATAATACATATAAGTGGTTTCAAAAATATTAGAGAAACAATACGTTAAGAAATAGATTATTACCAGTCCCTATGAAGTTCCCCTGTGTGTCCCTCCTCATTCAAATTTCTCTCCTCTCTCTAAAGGTAACTCCAACTTGAATTTTACCACTTTTCTATGTATCCCCAAACAATATTGTTTAACTTCACCTTTTTCAAATATTATACCATTTGAAATCATTGTTTGCAACCTTCTGTGAATTGCATTTTTTCATTAAAGATATTGATAAAATCAATCTATGTTGACATGTTCTATAATTATTTCATCTTTATGGCTGTTTAATATTCCATTGTATAAATACATTACAAGTTAGTTGTCTATTTACCTATCGAACATTTGGGGTACTTTCATTTTTCTCCTGTAATTATTACAAACAATGCCATGTGAACATTCTTGGACTTTTCGCCTGCGTGTATGAATAAGCCTTTCTCTATAATCTATTCTTCCAAGTAGATGTTGCTGGGTCACGGGAGTTGTGCACATCATCCACTTTACTAGAAACTGTTTTCTAAAGTGGTTGTACCATTTTACACTCCAACCACTGTTTACATGCTAACCAACACTTGGTATTTTCAGAATTTTCATATTTTTTACAACTAGGTGGGTGTGAAATAATATCTTATTCTGGTTTTAATCTGCATTTCCCTAATTTGCTATCTCCACCACTATTCTCCCAGTATTCTCCAGTAAGAAACAGACATTATCATTGAAATTAAAGTTAATAGGATGTGGGCTACTAAACAGCCTTTGTAGCTGAAAGATAAAAATGCAAACTGCATAATTCATGGTTTATTGTTATATGTAACTCCAGTTGACTTCAATGGAAAAGGAATTTTGAATGAAACATCATGGAAAAGACAGTACCTACAGCAAGGCTGGAGGACCAGGCTCAGGGACAGGTCCAGAAGAATCAAGGAAGACCAGCAGGAACCATGGTAGGATTCACTCCACAGGGCCGTTCTGGTTTTGAATCACTACTGTTTACACAGGCCACTGCTGCTAGGGAACCACTTAAAGACAATACTAGTGTTTTTGCAGGGAGACCGGGGGTGGGAGGAGTCAGGTACAGATAAAATTTTACTTCAAACTCAACAATTCCACACCAAGAAACAGCTACCAGCATTCCTGGAACTATTATGCCATTATTTGCTGTAGCTTGCTTGTCCTGTAGCCTACTTTGGCACCTTAACATCTCTATTTGTTGATGTTGTCTTTCTTTTTGAATTATTTATCATCTTTATCATTTTTAAGTGTACAGTTAAGTGGTAATAACTACATTTATATTCTTTTTCCCCCTTCATCTCCCTTCCCCTCTACCCCTTCCCTGGTAACCACCAATCTGTTCTCTATCTTCATGCATCCACTTTTTTAGCTCCCACATGTAAATGAGAACATGTGATATTTATTTTTATGTGCTTGGCTTATTTTACTTAACACAGTGGCCTCCAATTCCATCCATGTTGCTGCAAATGGCAAGATTTCATCCTTTTTTCATGGCTGAATAATATTTCACTGCATATATATACCTCATTTTCTTTATTCATTCATCCATTGATGGGCATGTACGTTGGGTCCATATTTTGGCTATTGTGAATTGTGCTGCAATAAGCATGGGAGTGCAGATATCTCTTTAATATATTAAATTCCTTTCTTTCTTTTGATTATATACCTAGTAGTGGAATTGCTGGATCATATAGTATATCATATAGCAGTTCTATTTTTTATTTTTTTAGTTTTAGAGATGGTTTTTCACTGTGTTGCCCAGGTTGGAGTCAAACTCCTGAGCTCAAGTGATCTGCTACCTTGGTGTCTAAAAGTGCTTGGATTATAGGCATGTGAGGCACTGTGCCTGGCCCTATTTTTAGTTTTTTGAGGAACCTCCATACTGTTTTCCATAGTGACTGTACTAATTTACATTCCCATCAATAGTGTATGAGGGTTCCCCTTTCTCCATATCCTTGCCAGCATTTGTTATTGCCTATCTTTTTGATACAAGTCATTTTAACTGAGGTGAGATATTTCATTGTAGTTTTAATTTGCATTTCTCTGATGTTAGCAATATTGAGTATTTTTCTATACCTGTTGGCTATTTGTATGTCTTCTTTTGAGAAATATTTTTTCAGATATTTGCTTATTTTAAAATCGAATTTTTTTTTGCTATTAAGTTGCTTGAGTCCCTTACATATATATATATTCTGGTTATTAATCCCTTGTTAGATGGACATTTTGCAAATATTCTTCCCCATTCTGTGGGTCACTTCTTCACTTTGTTTCCTTTGTTGTGTGGAAGCTTTTGAGCGTGATGTTATCCTGTTTGTCTGTTTTTGCTTTGGTTGCCCATGCTATTGCTGTCTGACATAAAAAAATCTTTGTCTAGACCAAAGTCCTGGGGTGCTTCCCCAGTGTTTTCTTCCAGTAGTTTCATAGTTTTAGGCCTTAGATTTAAGTCTTTAATTCACTTTGTTTTTTTCTTTTTTTTTTTATTATACTTTATGTTTTAGGGTACACGTTCACATTGTGCAGGTTAGTTACATATGTATACATGTGCTATGCTGGTGCGCTGCACCCACTAACTCGTCATCTAGCATTAGGTATATCTCCCAATGCTATCCCTCCCCCCTCCCCCCACCCCACCACAGTCCCCAGAGTGTGATATTCCCCTTTCTGTGTCCATGTGATCTCATTGTTCAATTCCCACCTATGAGTGAGAATATGCGGTGTTTGGTTTTTTGTTCTTGCGATAGTTTACTGAGAATGATGATTTCCAATTTCATCCATGTCCCTACAAAGGACATGAACTCATCATTTTTTATGGCTGCATAGTATTCCATGGTGTATATGTGCCACATTTTCTTAATCCAGTCTATCATTGTTGGACATTTGGGTTGGTTCCAAGTCTTTGCTATTGTGAATAATGCCGCAATAAACATACGTGTGCATGTGTCTTTATAGCAGCATGATTTATAGTCCTTTGGGTATATACCCAGTATGGGATGACTGGGTCAAGTGGTATTTCTAATTCTGGATCCCTGAGGAATCACCACACTGACTACCACAATGGTTGAACTAGTTTACAGTCCCACCAACAGTGTAAAAGTGTTCCTATTTCTCCACATCCTCTCCAGCACCTGTTGTTTCCTGACTTTTTAATGATTGCCATTCTAACTGGTGTGAGATGGTATCTCATTGTGGTTTTGATTTGCATTTCTCTGATGGCCAGTGATGATGAGCATTTTTTCATGTGTTTTTTGGCTGCATAAATGTCTTCTTTTGAGAAGTGTCTGTTCATATCCTTTGCCCACTTTTTGATGGGGTTGTTTGTTTTTTTCTTGTAAATTTGTTTGAGTTCATTGTAGATTCTGGATATTAGCCCTTTGTCAGATGAGTAGGTTGTGAAAATTTTCTCCCATTTTGTAGGTTGCCTGTTCACTCTGATGGTAGTTTCTTTTGCTGTGCAGAAGCTCTTTAGTTTAATTAGATCCCATTTGTCAATTTTGGCTTTTGTTGCCATGGCTTTTGGTGTTTTGGAGATGAAGTCCTTGCCCACGCCTATGTTCTGAATGATAATGCCTAGGTTTTCTTCTAGGGTTTTTATGGTTTTAGGTCTAACGTTTAAGTCTTTAATCCATCTTGAATTGATTTTTGTATAAGATGTAAGGAAGGGATCCAGTTTCAGCTTTCTACATATGGCTAGCCAGTTTTCCCAGCACCATTTATTAAATAGGGAATCCTTTCCCCATTGCTTGTTTTTCTCAGGTTTGTCAAAGATCAGATAGTTGTAGATATGCGGCGTTATTTCTGAGGGCTCTGTTCTGTTCCATTGATCTATATCTCTGTTTTGGTACCAGTACCATGCTGTTTTGG
Source organism: Homo sapiens (assembly GCF_000001405.40). NCBI lineage: Eukaryota > Metazoa > Chordata > Mammalia > Primates > Hominidae > Homo > Homo sapiens. Next base: position 112,226,043 of record NC_000001.11, on the reverse strand, counting down.
TTACTGTAGCCTTGTAGTATAGTTTGAAGTCAGGTAGTGTGATGCCTCCAGCTTTGTTCTTTTGGTTTAGGATTGCCTTGGTGATGCAGGCTCTTTTTTGGTTCCATATGAACTTTAAAGTAGTTTTTTCCAATTCTGTGAAGAAAGTCATTGGTAGCTTTATGGGGATGGCATTGAATCTGTAAATTACCTTGGGCAGTATGGCCATTTTCACGCTATTGATTCTTCCTACCCATGAGCATGGAATATTCTTCCATTTCTTTGTATCCTCTTTTATTTCATTGAGCAGTGGTTTGTAGTTCTCCTTGAAGAGGTCCTTCACGTCTCTTGTAAGTTGGATTCCTAGGTATTTTATTCTCTTTGAAGCAATTGTGAATGGGATTTCACTCATGATTTGGCTCTCTGTTTGTCTGTTGTTGGTGTATAAGAATGCTTGTGATTTTTGTACATTGATTTTGTATCCTGAGACTTTGCTGAAGTTGCTTATCAGCTTAAGGAGATTTTGGGCTGAGACAATGGGGTTTTCTAGATATATAATCATGTCGTCTGCAAACAGGGACAATTTGACTTCCTCTTTTCCTAATTGAATACCCTTTATTTCCTTCTCCTGCCTAATTGCCCTGGCCAGAACTTCCAACACTATGTTGAGTAGGAGTGGTGAGAGAGGGCATCCCTGTCTTGTGCCAGTTTTCAAAGGGAATGCTTCCAGTTTTTGCCCATTCAGTATGATATTGGCTGTGGGTTTGTCATAGATAGCTCTTATTATTTTGAAATACATCCCATCAACACCTAATTTATTGAGAGTTTTTAGCACGAAGGGTTGTTGAATTTTGTCAAAGGCTTTTTCTGCATCTATTGAGATAATCATGTGGTTTTTGTCTTTGGCTCTGTGTATATGCTGGATTACATTTATTGATTTGTGTATATTGAACAAGCCTTGCATCCCAGGGATGAAGCCCACTTGATCATGGTGGATAAGCTTTTTGATGTGCTGCTGGATTCAGTTTGCCAGTATTTTATTGAGGATTTTTGCATTAATGTTCATCAAGGATATTGGTCTAAAATTCTCTTTTTTGGTTGTGTCTCTGCCCGGCTTTGGTATCAGAATGATGCTGGCCTCATAAAATGAGTTAGGGAGGATTCCCTCTTTTTCTATTGATTGGAATAGTTTCAGAAGGAATGATACCAGTTCCTCCTTGTACCTCTGGTAGAATTCGGCTGTGAATCCATCTGGTCCTGGACTCTTTTTGGTTGGTAAGCTGTTGATTATTGCCACAATTTCTGCTCCTGTTATTGGTCTATTCAGAGATTCAACTTCTTCCTGGTTTAGTCTTGGGAGATTGTATGTGTCGAGGAATTTATCCATTTCTTCTAGATTTTCTAGTTTATTTGCGTAGAGGTGTTTGTAGTATTCTCTGATGGTAGTTTGTATTTCTGTGGGATAGGTGGTGATATCCCCTTTATCATTTTTTATTGTGTCTATTTGATTCTTCTCTCTTTTTTTCTTTATTAGTCTTGCTAGCAGTCTATCAATTTTGTTGATCCTTTCAAAAAACCAGCTCCTGGATTCATTAATTTTTTGAAGGGTGTTTGGTGTCTCTATTTCCTTCAGTTCTGCTCTGATTTTAGTTATTTCTTGCCTTCTGCTAGCTTTTGAATGTGTTTGCTCTTGCTTTTCTAGTTCTTTTAATTGTGATGTTAGGGTGTCAATTTTGGATCTTTCCTGCTTTCTCTTGTGGGCATTAGTGCTATAAATTTCCCTCTACACGCTGCTTTAAATGCTTCCCAGAGATTCTGGTATGTTGTGTCTTTGTTCTCATTGGTTTCAAAGAACATCTTTATTTCTGCCTTCATTTCGTTATGTATCCAGTAGTCATTCAGGAGCAGGTTGTTCAGTATCCATGTAGTTGAGTGGTTTTGAGTGAGATTCTTAATCCCGAGTTCTAGTTTGATTGCATTGTGGTCTGAGAGATAGTTTGTTATAATCTCTGTTCTTTTACATTTGCTGAGGAGTGCTTTACTTCCAAGTATGTGGTCAATTTTGGAATAGGTGTGGTGTGGTGCTGAAAAAAATGTATATTCTGTTGATTTGGGGTGGAGAGTTCTGCAGATGTCTATTAGGTCCGCTTGGTGCAGAGCTGAGTTCAATTCCTGGGTATCCTTGTTGACTTTCTGTCTCATTGATCTGTCTAATGTTGACAGTGGGGTGTTAAAGTCTCCCATTATTAATGTGTCGGAGTCTAAGTCTCTTTGTAGGTCACTCAGGACTTGCTTTACGAATCTGGGTGCTCCTGTATTGGGTGCATATATATTTAGGATAGTTAGCTCTTCTTGTTGAATTGATCCCTTTACCATTATGTAATGGCCTTCTTTGTCTCTTTTGATCTTTGTTGGTTTAAAGTCTGTTTTATCAGAGACTAGGATTGCAACCCCTGCCTTTTTTTGTTTTCCATTTTCTTGGTAGATCTTCCTCCATCCTTTTATTTTGAGCCTATATGTGTCTCTGCACGTGAGATGGGTTTCCTGAATACAGCACACTGATGGGTCTTGACTCTTAATCCAATTTGCCAGTCTGTGTCTTTTAATTGGAACATTTAGTCCATTTACATTTAAAGTTAATATTGTTATGTGTGAATTTGATCCTGTCATTATGATGTTAGCTGGTGATTTTGCTCGTTAGTTGATGCAGTTTCTTCCTAGTCTCGACGGTCTTTACATTTTGGCATGATTTTGCAGTGGCTGGTACCAGTTGTTCCTTTCCATGTTTAGTGCTTCCTTCAGAAGCTCTTTCAGGGCAGGCCTGGTGGTGACAAAATCTCTCAGCATTTGCTTGTCTGTAAAGTATTTTATTTCTCCTTCACTTATGAAGCTTAGTTTGGCTGGATATGAAATTCTGGGTTGAAAATTCTTTTCTTTAAGAATGTTGAATATTGGCCCCCACTCTCTTCTGGCTTGTAGGGTTTCTGCCGAGATATCCACTCTTTGTCTGATGGGCTTCCCTTTGAGGGTAACCTGACCTTTCTCTCTGGCTGCCCTTAACATTTTTTCCTTCATTTCAACTTTGGTGAATCTGACAATTATATGTCTTGGAGTTGCTCTTCTCGAGGAGTATCTTTGTGGCATTCTCTGTATTTCCTGAATCTGAACGTTGGCCTGCCTTGCTTTATTGGGGAAGTTCTCCTGGATAATATCCTGCAGAGTGTTTTCCAACTTGTTTCCATTCTCCCCATCACTTTCAGGTACACCAATCAGACGTAGATTTGGTCTTTTCACATAGTCCCATATTTCTTGGAGGCTTTGCTCATTTCTTTGTATTCTTTTTTCTCTAAACTTCCCTTCTCACTTCATTTCATTCATTTCATCTTCCATCGCTGATACCCTTTCTTCCAGTTGATTGCATCGGCTCCTGAGGCTTCTGCATTCTTCACGTAGTTCCCGAGCCTTGGTTTTCAGCTCCATCAGCTCCTTTAAGCACTTCTCTGTATAGGTTATTCTAGTCATACATTCTTCTAAATTTTTTTCAAAGTTTTCAACTTCTTTGTCTTTGGTTTGAATGTCCTCCTGTAGCTCAGAGTAATTTGATCGTCTGAAGCCTTCTTCTCTCAGCTCGTCAAAGTCATTCTCCATCCAGCTTTGTTCCATTGCTGATGAGGAACTGCGTTCCTTTGGAGGAGGAGAGGCGCTCTGCTTTTTAGAGTTTCCAGTTTTTCTGTTCTGTTTTTTCCCCATCTTTGTGGTTTTATCTACTTTTGGTCTTTGATGATGGTGATGTACAGATGGGTTTTTGGTGTGGATGTCCTTTCTGTTTGTTAGTTTTCCTTCTAACAGATAGGACCCTCAGCTGCAGGTCTGTTGGAATACCCTGCAGTGTGAGGTGTCAGTGTGCCCCTGCTGGGGGGTGCCTCCCAGTTAGGCTTCTCAGGGGTCAGGGGTCAGGGACCCACTTGAGGAGGCAGTCTGCCTGTTCTCAGATCTCCAGCTGCATGCTGGGAGAACCACTGCTCTCTTCAAAGCTGTCAGACAGGGACATTTAAGTCTGCAGAGGTTACTGCTGTCTTTTTGTTTGTCTGTGCCCTGCCCCCAGAGGTGGAGCCTACAGAGGCAGGCAGGCCTCCTTGAACTGTGGTGGGCTCCACCCAGTTTGAGCTTCCCGGCTGCTTTGTTTACCTAAGCAAGCCTGGGCAATGGCGGGCGCCCCTCCCCCAGCCTCGCTGCTGCCTTGCAGTTTGATCTCAGACTGCTGTGCTAGCAATCAGCGAGGCGTAGGACCCTCGGAGCCACGTGTGGGATATAATGTCGTGGTGCGCCGTTTTTTAAGCCGGTCCAAAAAGCGCAATATTCAGCTGGTAGTGACCCGATTTTCCAGGTGCGTCCGTCACCCCTTTCTTTGACTCGGAAAGGGAACTCCCTGACCCTTGCGCTTCCCAAGTGAGGCAATGCCTCGCCCTTCTTTGGCTCACGCACGATGCGCACACTCACTGACTTGCACCCACTGTCTGGCACTCCCTAGTGAAATGAATCCGGTACCTCAGATGGAAATGCAGAAATCACCCGTCTTCTGCGTCGCTCACACTGGGAGCTGTATACCGGAGCTGTTCCTATTCGGCCATCTTGGCTCCTCCTCCTTTAATTCACTTTGATTTGATTTTTGTGTGTGGTGAGAGATAGGGTTCTAGTTTTATTCTTCTGCATATGGATATCCAGTTTTTCTGACACCATTTTTTGAAAAGACTGTCCTTTTCTCATTGTATGTTCTTGGCACTTCTGTTGAAGATGGGTAGGTTGTAGGTGCATGGATTTATATCTGTGTTCTCTATTCTGTTCCATTGGTCTCTGTGTCTGTTTTCAGGCCAGTACCATTATATGATGTTTTGATTACTGTAGCTTTGTCATAAATTTTGGAGTCAGGTAGTGTGATGCCTCCAGCTTTCTTCTTTTTGCTCAGGATTGCTTTGGCTATTCAAGGTATTTTGTGGTCCCATATAAATTTTAGAGTGTTTTTTCTGTTTCTGCAAAGAATGTCATTGGTATTTTGATAGAGATTGCATCAAATTTGTAAATTGCTTTACAAATTGCTTTATAATTTGTAAATTGTAATATTTGTCATTTTAGCAATATTAATTCTTCTAATCCCTGAACATGGAAAATATTTTGATTTTTTTGTCTCCTCTTCAGTTTCTTTCATCAGAGTTTTATAGTTTTCCTTCTGTAGATCTTTCACTTCTTTGGTTAGATTGATTTCTAGATTTTTTTTTTTGTAGCTATTGCAAATGTGATTTTTTTGATATCTTTTTCAAATTGTTCACTATTGGTATATATAAATTGGTATATATAAATGCTACTGATTTATTTATGATGACTTTATATCCTGCAACTTTACTGAATTTATTTTATCAGTTCTAACAGTTTTTTGGTGGAGTCTTTAGGTTTATCTAGGTATAAGATTGTGTCATATGTGAACAAGAATAATTTGACTACTTTCTTTCCAATTTGGATGCTCTTTATTTCTTTCTCTTGCCTAATTGCTCTGGCCAGGACTTTGAGTGTTAAGCCGAATAAAAGTGGTGAAATGGATATCCTTGTAAAGGGAATACTACTGAATGCTGCTGCCCCCGGAGTTCCAACTTAATTCCATCTCTCTGTTTTATGCCAGAGAATTTTGGCATCTCAATTTCACTTATCATAGACCAGTGTTGAGTCCAAATTTTAGTCAATCAAGCAAACTGTTGACTACTAAAGCCAATGCATTAAATACAGATTCCCATATATTGATTAATATATTCCCTATATTGATCAATTCTGCCTTATGCAAGGTTATTTCTATCCTCCTTGGAATCTACTCCTAAACATAAATACATATTTTCTGGGTTTCTAATAATAAAAATGAGCAGAAACACTCAATTCTTTTGGTGTGTATAGCCTATGTCCTCTTGCATGAGACTTTCCTGGGATCTGGTTATAGTTATGAATCTGGAAGCAATAGGTGTATATTGGCATGAGCTTGAGGATTACAGGAATCCTTTGAAAGACAACTAGCAAAGGTTGGCTAGTTTCCCTGGAAGAAGAAGAAGTAACTATTCCTGTTGGTAAGGGAAGCTTGGGGGATTTGGGGGATTTCATTTCTTAGATTCCTTCTAGTCTACAAAATATCTGCATTCAAAGTTGCAGGTTCCTAATCCTCCCATGTCCTAATTTTCACATAGGAGAATTGATGAAGCTATAAATTAAACTTATAATGTAATTCTGCAACATGTACAATCACATTTGGAATCTTATTTTCAGCCATATCTGCTTTATGGCTACAAGAATTAAGGGATAATTTTAGTGCTTCAACGTACTCTCTAGTTCTCTGACCGTGCCTTATTCTGAAAGTTTAAGTCTTTGAATCTGTCATTTTCTTTGTGTAAGCTCTCCAGTTTCATCAGAAATAGCTAGTCTATCTCAGTCTTTACAGTCACTGTCACTGTCGTGACAGTCAAGTACCCTAGCCACTTGGCCTTCCAAAGCCTGGTCTTTAATAGGCACTACATTCCAAACATTCACAAGTGATGATTTGAGAAATTGTAATGGCACCACAAGGCACAAATTTACAATATCTCATTTCCCACATGTAATGAGATGATCACTGCACTCTTACTCAACAGGTCAGCAACCCAACCCCAGGATTCCATTTATGAGGTTCTCTTTCTGCAAGCACTCCTGACACCAAGTACTGATATCAGTCAGGCTTTACTCAGGAATACAGAAACCACTCTAGGTATTTTGAAGAAAGGGAACTTAATAAAGGGAATTGGCTATGTTTTTTTTTTTTTTTTTTTTTTTTTTTGAAGGGCTGCAGAAGCAAAAAGAAGGAAATGTGCTGGAGGAGTCAGGAGGAAAGGGTAACACCTAAAGATTAGAAGCTGCTAATGCCCTGGATTGGAGCCTATTAACAGCATCTGCCATTGTGCTGTTGGAGGAACTATCTCAGTCAGTTCTGGACCCATCAAATGTTGACCTGGGTTGGAACCACAGACAAGATGTTGCTTTAGGCCAAGCTTCTGGAGTTCAGAATCTCTATCTTGACTGTTACTACAACAACAACCAGCAACTGCCACACTGTTGGAGCCAAAAGCAGAAAACTTCCCTCTTTGTCCACTTCTGATCTTCCAACAGTGACTTTAAATTCCCATTAGCAGGATCTAAAATAAAGGCCACTGGCAATGGAAGCTGAGGAATGTATTTTGCAGTTTCCAGCCTTGGCAGCAGAGAACACAGTACTAAAGGGTAGGTCTGAGCTGCCAAGGATGGGTAACAGGGTAAATAACTGGCACACATTGCCATGAGGGAGATTGGCCTGTAATGTTCATTCCCATTCTAAATTCATTAGTTTATTTTAATCATTTATTATTGAAAATTTAAAATACACAAAATCGAATAATTTAATGAACTTCCATGTTTATCAGCCAGTCAGCAATGATCAATTCACAGACAATCTTGTTTCACTTATATGCCCCTCTCTAGACCCTGCCCTTTATTTTGAAGCAATTCCCATAATAATTCCTCAATATCATCAATATTCAGTAAACATTTGAATATTTAACTTTCTCTTAATGTCTTCTCACCCTTTCAACAGTTTGTATGGATCAGGATCCAAATGGAATCCATACATTGCTACTAGCTGAAATGTCTCTCTCTATATATATATCTATAGAGAGAAAGAGAGAAAAGAGTTCAAAGAGTTCCATTTCCCCTTTCCTCGCCTCCAAATTTTATACATTTGTATGTTTAAGAAGCTGAGTTGTTTGTCCTACAGAGTTTAGCACAGCCTGAGCTTTGATCATTGCATCCTCATGGTGTAATTTGACATATTTCTTTGTTCCTGTATTTCTGGGGAATTGGTAGACAGGTAGAGAGGCTTGATCATATTTAGGTTTGAAAATTTATTTGGAGATTTAAAAACTTATCTCTTTGCATTGATTTATAACTTAATTGTATTGTACTTAGAGAATACTGTGTACGTACCAATTTTCTGACAGTTTTGAGGCTTGCTTTATGGTCATGTACATGATACATTTCTATCAGTGTTTCATGAATATGTTAAAAGAATGTATACAGTCCAATGTTGAGTCAATATTCTGTAGCTATTTATTAGATTAAGCTTGTAAGTTATGTTGCTTGCTGATTTTTTGGCTGTTTATTAATTATTGAAAAACAGGTGTTAAAATCTTTCATTATGGTAGTGAACATTTCTTCTTCTTTATTATTATTATAATACTTTAAGTTCTAGGGTACATGTGCACAACGTGCAGGTTTGTTACATATGTATACATGTGCCATGTTGGTGTGCTGCACCCGTTAACTCGTCATTTACATTAGGTATATTTCTTAATGCTATCCCTCTCCCCTCCCCTCACCCCACAACAGGCCCCAGTGTGTGATGTTCCCCACCTTGTGTCCAAGTGTTCTCATTGTTCAATTCCCACCTATGAGTGAGAACATGTGGTGTTTGGTTCTCTGTCCTTGCTATAGTTTGCTCAGAATGATGGTTTCCAGCTTCATCCATGTCCCTACAAAGGACATGAACTCATCATTTTTTATGGCTGCATAGTATTCCATGGTGTATATGTGGCACATTTTCTTAATCCAGTCTATCATTGATGGACATTTGGGTTGGTTCCAAGTCTTTGTTATTGTGAATAGTGCCACAATAAATATATGTGTGCATGTGTCTTTATAGCAGCATGATTTATAATCCTTTGGGTATACTCTCAGTAATGGGATGGCTGGGTCAAATGGTATTTCTAGTTCTAGATCCTTGAGGAATTGCCACACTGTCTTCCACAATGGTTGAACTAGTTTACAGTCCCACCAACAGTGTAAAAGTGTTCCTATTTCTCCACATCCTCTCCAGCACCTGTTGTTTCCTGACTTTTTAATGATTGCCATTCTAACTGGTGTGAGATGGTATCTCATTGTGGTTTTGATTTGCTTTTCTTTGATGGTCAGTGATGATAAGCATTTTTTCTTGTGTCTGTTGGCTGCATAAATTTCTTCTTTTGAGAAGTGTCTGTTCATATCCTTTGTCCACTTTTTGATGGGGTTGTTTGATTTTTCTTGTAAATTTGTTTAATTTCTTTGTAGATTCTCGATATTTGCCCTTTGTCAGATGGGTAGATTGTAAAAATTTTCCCCCATTCTGTAGGTTGCCTGTTCATTCTGATGGTGGTTTCTTTTGCTGTGCAGAAGCTCTTTAGTTTAATTAGGTCCCATTTGTCAATTTTGGCTTTTGTTGCCATTGCTTTTGGTGTTTTAGACATGAAGTCCTTGCCCATGCCTATGTCCTGAATGGTAATGCCTAGGTTTTCTTCTAGGGTTTTTATGGTTTTAGGTCTAACGTTTAAGTCTTTAATCCATCTTGAATTAATTTTTGTATAAGGTGTAAGGAAGAGATCCAGTTTCAGCTTTCTACATATGGCTAGCCAGTTTTCCCAGCACCATTTATTAAATAGGGAATCCTTTCCCCATTGCTTGTTTTTCTCAAGTTTGTCAAAGATCAGATAGTTGTAGATATGCAGCATTATTTCTGAGGGCTCTGTTCTGTTCCATTGATCTATATCTCTGTTTTGGTACCAGTACCATGCTGTTTTGGTTACTGTAGCCTTGTAGTATAGTTTGAGGTCAGGCAGCCTGATGCCTCCAGCTTTGTTCTTTTGGCTTAGGATTGACTTGGCAATGCGGGCTCTTTTTTGGTTCCATATGAACTTGAAAGTAGCTTTTTCCAGTTCTGTGAAGAAAGTCATTGGTAGCTTTATGGGGATGGCATTGAATCTATAAATTACCTTGGGCAGTATGGCCATTTGCACAATATTGATTCTTCCTATCCATGAGCATGGAATGTTCTTCCATTTGTTTGTATCCTCTTTAATTTCATTGAGCAGTGGTTTGTAGTTCTCCTTGAAGAGGTCCTTCACATCCCTTGTAAGTTGGATTCCTAGGTATTTTATTCTTTTTGAAGCAATTGTGAATGGGAGTTCACTCATGATTTGGCTCTCTGTTTCTCTGTTATTGGTGTATAGGAATGCTTGTGATTTTTGCATACTTATTTTCTCTCCTGAGACTTTGCTGAAGTTGCTTATCAGCTTAAGGAGATTTTGGGCTGAGACAATGGGGTTTTCTAAATATGCAATCATGTCATCTGCAAACAGGGATAATTTGACTTCCTCTTTTCCTAATTGAATACCCTTTATTTCTTTCTCCTGCCTGATTGCCATGGCCAGCACTTCCAACACTATGTTGGATAGGAGTGGTGAGAGAGGGCATCCCTGTCTTGTGCCAGTTTTCAAAGGGAATGCTTCCAGCTTTTGCCCATTCAGTGTGTTATTGGCTGTGGGTTTGTCATAAATAGCTCTTATTATTTTGAGATATGTTCCATCAATACGTAGTTTATTGAGAGTTTTTAGCATGAAGGGGCTGTTGAATTTTGTCAAAGATCTTTTCTGCATCTATTGAGATACTCATGTGGTTTTTATCTTTGGTTCTGTTTATATGCTGGATTACATTTATTGATTTGCATATGTCGAACCAGCCTTGCATCCCAGGGATGAAGCCCACTTGATCGTGGTGGATAGGTTTTTGATGTGCTGCTGGATTCAGTTTGCCAGTATTTTACTGAGGATTTTTGCATTGATGTTCATCAGGGATATTGGTCTAAAATTCTCTTTTTTTGTTGTGTGTGTCTCTGCCAGGCTTTGGTATCAGGGTGATGTTGGTCTCATAAAATGAATTAGGGATGATTCCTTCTTTTTCTATTGATTGGAATAGTTTCCTAAGGAATGGTACTGGCTCCTCTTTGAACATCTGGTAGAATTCGGCTGTGAATCCATCTGGTCCTGGACTGTTTTTTGTTGGTAGGCTATTAATTATTTCCTCAATTTCACAACCTGTTATTCGTCTATTCAGGGATTCAACTTCTTGCTGGTTTAGTCTTGGGAGGGTGTATATGTCCAGGAATTTATCCATTTCTTCTAGATTTTCTAGTTTATTTGTGTAGGGGTGTTTATAATATTCTCTGATGGTAGTTTGTATTCCTGTGGGATCAGTGGTGATCTCCCCTTTATCACTTTTTATTGCGTCTATTTGATTCTTCTCTCTTTTCTTTATTAGTCTTTCTAGAGGTCTATCAATTTTGTTGATTTTTTCAAAAAACCAGCTCCTGGATTCATTGATCTTTTGAAGGGTTTTTTGTGTCTCTATCTCCTTCAGTTCTGCTCTGATCTTAGTTATTTCTTGCCTTCTGCTAGCTTTTGAATGTGTTTGCTCTTACTTCTCTAGTTCTTTTAATTGTGATGTTAGGGTGTCAATTTTAGATCTTTCCTGCTTTCCCTTGTGGGCATTTAGTGCTATAAATTTCCCTCTACACACTGCTTTAAATGTGTCCCGGAGATTCTGGTATGTTCTGTCTTTGTTCTCATTGGTTTCAAAGAACGTCTTTATTTCTGCCTTCGTTTTGTTATGTACCCAGTAGTCATTCAGGAGCAGGTTGTTCAGTTTCCATGTAGTTGAGTGGTTTTCAGTGAGTTTCTTAATCTTGAGTTCTAGTTTGATTGCACTGTGGTCTGAGAGACAGTTTGTTATAATTTCTGTTCTTTTACATTTGCTGCGGAGTGCTTTACTTCCAACTATGCGGTCAATTTTGGAATAAGTGCAATGTGGTGCTGAGAAGAATGTATATTCTGTTGATTTGGGGTGGAGAGTTCTGCAGATGTCTATTAGGTCTGCTTGGTGCAGAGCTGAGTTCAATTCCTGGATGTCCTTGTTAACTTTCTGTGTCGTTGATCTGTCTAATGTTGACAGTGGGGCGTTAAAGTCTCTCATTATTATTGTGTGGGAGTCTAAGTCTCTTTGTAAGTCTCTAAATGCTTGCTTTATGAATCTGGGTGCTCCTGTATTGGGTGCATATATATTTAGGATAGTTAGCTCTTCTTGTTGAATTGATCCCTTTACCATTATGTAATGGCCTTCTTTGTCTCTTTTGATCTTTGTTGGTTTAAAGTCTGTTATCAGAGACTAGGATTGCAACCCCTGCCTTTTTTGTTGTTTTCCATTTGCTTGGTAGATCTTCCTCAAATGGTAGATCTTCCTCCATCCCATTATTTTGAGCCTATGTGTGTCTCTGCATGTGAGATGGGTCTCCTGAATACAGCACACTGATAGGTCTTGACTCTATCCAATTCGCCAATTTGTGTCTTTTAATTGGAGCATTTAGCCCATTTATATTTAAGGTTAATATTGTTATGTGTGAATTTGATCCTGTCATTATAATGTTAGCTGTTTATTTTGCTCATTAGTTGATGCAGTTTCTTCCTAGCATTGATGGTCTTTACAATTTGGCATGTTTTTGCAGTGGCTAGTACCGGTTGTTCCTTTCCATGTTTAGTGCTTCCTTCAGGAGCTGTTGTAAGGCAGGCCTGGGGGTGACAAAATCTCTCAGCATTTGTTTGTCTGTAAAGGATTTTATTTCTCCTTCACTTATGAAGCTTAGTTTGGCTGGATATGACATTCTGGTTTGAAAATTCTTTTCTTTTAGAATGTTAAATATTGGCCCCCACTCTCTTCTGGCTTGTAGAGTTTCTGCTGACAGATCCACTGTTAGTCTGATGGGCTTCCCTTTGTGGGTAACCCGACCTTCCTCTCTGGCTGCCCTTAACATTTTTTCCTTCATTTCAACTTTGGTGACTCTGACAATTATGTGTCTTGGAGTTGCTCTTCTCAAGGAGTATCTTTGTGGCATTCTCTGTAATTCCTGAATTTGAATGTTGGCCTGCCTTGCTAGGTTGTGGAAGTTCTCCTGGATAAAATCCTGAAGAGTGTTTTCCAACTTGGTTCCATTCTTCCTGTCACTTTCAGGTACACCAATCAGACGTTGATTTGGTCTTTTCTTATAATCCCTTCTTTCTTGGAGGCTTTGTTCATTTCTTTTTACTCTTTTTTTCTCTAAATTTCTCTTCTTGCTTCATTTCATTCATTTGATCTTCAATCACTGATACCCTCTCTTCCACTTGTTCAAATCAGCTACTGAAGCTTGTGCATGTGTCACATAGTTCTTGTGCCATGGTTTTCAGCTCCATCAGGTCATTTAAGGTCTTCTCTACATTATTTATTCTAGTTACCCATTCATCTAATCTTTTTTCAAGGTTTTTAGCTTCCTTGCGATGGGTTCGAACATCATCCTTTAGCTCGGAGAAGTTTATTATTACCGATCGTCTGAAGCCTTCTTCTCTGAAGTCATCAAAGTCATTCTCCGTCCAGCTTTGTTCCATTGCTGGTGAGGAGTTGTGTTCCTTTGGAGGAGAAGAGGTGCTCTGATTTTTAGAATTTTCAGCTTTTCTGCTCTGGTTTCTCCCCATCTTTATGGTTTTATCTACCTTTGGTCTTTGATGATGGTGACGTACAGACGGGGTTTTGGTGTGAATGTCCTTTCTGTCTGTTAGTTTCCTTCTAACAGTCAGGACCCTCAGCTGCAGGTCTGTTGGAGTTTGCTGGAGGTCCACTCCAGACCCTGTTTGCCTGGGTGTCAGCAGCAGAGGCTGCAGAACAGCAAATATTGCAGAATGGCAAATGTTGCTGCCTGATTCTTCATTTGGAAGCTTTGTCTCAGAGGGGCACCCAGCTGTATGAGGTGTCAGTCTGCCCCTACTGGGAGGTGTCTCCCAGTTAGGCTACTTGGCAGTCAGGGACCCACTTGAGAGGCAGTCTGTCTGTTCTCAGATCTCAAACTCCATGCTGGGAGAACCACTACTCTCTTCAAAGCTGTCATACAGGACGTTTAAGTCTGCAGAAGTTTCTGCTGCCTTTTGTTCAGCTATGCCCTGTCCCCAGAGGTGGAGTCTACAGAGACAGGCCTCCTTGAGCGGTGGTGGGTCCACCCAGTTCAAGCTTCCCAGCCATTTTGTTTACCTACTTGAGCCTCTGCAATGGCGGACGCCAATCCCCCAGCCTCTCTGTCACTTTGCAGTTCAATCTCAGATTGCTGTGCTAGCAGTGAGTGAAGCTCCATGGGCGTGGGACCCTCCGAGTCAGGCGCAGGATATAATCTCTTGGTGTGTCATTTGTTAAGGCCATTGGAAAAGGGCAGTATTAGGGTGGGAGTGTCCCGATTTTCCAGGTACCGTATGTCACTGCTTCCCTTTGCTAGAAAAGGGAATTTCCCGACCCCTTGCACTTCCTGGGTGAGGCGATGCCCCACCCTGCTCCGTGGGCTGCACCCACTGTCTGACAAGCCCCAGTGAGATGAATCCAGTACCTCAGTTGGAAATGCAGAAATCACCTGTCTTCTGCATCACTCATGCTGGGAGCTGCAGACTGGAGCTGTTCCTATTTGGCCATCTTGGAACCTCCTCCCAGATGTTCTCAACTAGGCTTCTTGTATGTCATTTCCTAGCTTCCAGGATGTCCTGGTATCTTAGCTATGTGTCCCCAAGGACCTGCAGATCACAGGGAAGCAGAGGCTGTGAGGATGTCGCCCGGAGCTCCCAACATGGAGAAGGCACAAGAGTAGAACATTTCTTCTTAAGAGTTCTTTTGATGTTTGTTTTACTTATTTTGAGTTATGTTTTAAGTGTGTATGAGGTTAGATTTGTTACACATTCCTGGTGAATGAGACCTTTTATTATTATATAGTAACTTTCTTTGCCCCACTATTCTATGTTCTTATGTTCTAGTTATTTGTTTATTCAAAGTAATATGACTGCATTTAACAACTTTTAAAATTTTTGTGGTATGTAGTAGGTGTATATATTTATAGGGTATATGGGGTATTTTGACACAAGCATACAATGTATAATGATCACATCAGGGTAAATGGGTTATCCATTACCTCAAGCATGTAGCTTTTGTGTTAGAAACAATCCAATTATACTCTTTTAGTTATTTTTAAATGTACAATTACATTATTATTGACTATAGTCATTCTATTGTGCTTTCAAATATTAGGCCTTATTCATTAGTTCTATTTTTTTTTACCCATTAACCATCCCCACTCCCTACCTCACCTCTGCACTACTCTTCCCAGCCTTTGGTAACCATCATTCTACTTTCTATCACCATTAATTCAATTATTTTAATTTTTAGCTCCCACAAGTAAATGAGAACAGGTGAAGTTTGTCTTAAAGGGCATTTTTAAAAACACTGGTTCTCATAATTTTTGTTTATTCCATTTACATTTAGTTTGATGAATTATACATTTGGATTTATTTTTACTATGGATTTTGTGCTTACTATTTGTTTAGTTTTTTTTATTCTTTATCAAATTATGGAAATTCCTTTCTATTCTTAGTTAGCTATGAGTTTTTATCTTAAATTGGAGTTACAATTTTTCAAAGCCTTTTCTGAAATCTCTATGATGATCCCATTTTTAAAATTATTTTGTTACTATAGTGAATTAACGATGGGTTTTCTAATGTTAAATTAGTCTTGCATTCCTGAAACACATATAACTTGGTCATGACTGTTACAATTATATATGTATACAAACAGTTCTCACTTTGTGTGGTGGTACACAATGGTAAAAGTGATTATGCAAGCTGAAACCATGCAAAGCAATCTTAATCCATAGAAAAAATTACAATTTTTCCATGATCTTTAAAAATTTTTTCAAAACACTAAAAACTATCTGTTTGTTATAAACATATAGAGAAATGAAAAAATAGTAAAAGTGATGCTTATTGAGTACACTATAAAACACTGAAACATTGAGCATTAAAGTGTTCTATTTCTTTGCAAAAAAGCTGATCAAAGAGTAGTTTGAATAGTGCTTGCTGTCTTATGGTTATATAATTTTTGAAGCAAGCATCTTTTATATGCCTTGGAGAATTGTCATACAACTTTCTAGGTTTGGGCTAACTTCCAACATTTTGTTTCTTATGCTTTCCATTTTGTGAAATATCTCTGAGAGCTTTTTTAATGTGAAATTTGTCACTAGTGTCACTTTCTCTGGGAACTCTTCATCCTTTTCGTCACAACCACCTTCCTTGTTTACGTCAGTAAGTTTGTCTTTGCTAAGTTTCTCTGATTGTCTATGTATAGTTTCTTGAAGGAGGCAGTGTCATCATTCCCATGACCATCTATTTCTTTTACAACTTTAGTTGCATTCTCTTTGAATTTCACTTTCAGTATTATCACTTTTCATTTCATTGCTGCCCTTTCATCTTTGTTGGCCTATTCCCTTTTAAAACTATCCATTTTTATGTCACATGAGCTTATCACTGAGAGACAAAAAGGCAACACAACTACATGCTTTGCTGTCTGTGTGTGACCTGAATAACAAACGTGCAGTGACCAATCACCAACAGTTTTGAAGGCAGTTATAGGATGAGTCACCAATCATATTGCAATCTGTTATTTACATAGTGATTTGTGGACTGAAGATCTACAGTGAATTTTGTATTTATGTAACTATTAGCAATTACTATATTTGAGGACTGGTATTATTTAAACTGTAGTAACTGAAATGTCTGCATTTCTGAACTGTGCAAAGCAAGACTTGCCCATGTATTGTTGAATACAGTTTACCAATATTTGTTTAGGAGTTTTGCATCTATGTTCATACTAAGATTGGCCTATGATTTTTTAAAATAATATTTGCCTTTTTGGGTTTTGGTATGAATATCAAAGTACCTCATACAATGTGTTGGGGACTATGTCCTCTCTTTTTATTCTCTAAAAAATATATGTGTAAAAAAAGATAAAATTTTTTCTTCCTTGAATATTTTATTGAATTTACCAGTGAAATTATTTGAAACTGGAGTTTTCTTTGGGAAGATTGAGGACTACAAATTCAGTTTACTTAATGGTTATAGGACTATTTGTATATTCTATTTCTTTTCAAGTTCAGTTTGGTAAATTTTATTGTTCTAGAAATTTATCCATTATATATAAATTTCCAAATTTACTGGAATGAGGTTATTTATAATACCTTTCTAATATGTTTAAGATTTGCAATAAAGTCTCCATTTTCACTTTTAACATTTATTTGTGCCTTCTTTCTCTCTCTCTCTTTTCTTGTTTAGAGGTTTATTAATTTGTTTTTTTCTCAAATAAGCAGCTTTTGGCTTTGACTATTCTATTTTATGTTTGTATTCTATTTTATTGATTCCTGCTCTTACTTTTATTATTATTTTTCTTTTCCATTCTTTGGGTTAATGCTTTTATAAAAGGCTTTTATAAAACTTCTCATGATAGATATTTAGTTCATAATTTTCAGCCTTTCTTGTTTTCTAAACTTTTTATAAATATTGCTTAGCTACATCTTATAAATTTTGATATACGGCATTTTTACTATCATGAAGACTATAATATTTTCTAAGTTTTCATTATAATTTTTTAATCTTCAGGCTATTTAGAAGTATAATGCTTAATTTCTAAATATGGTAAATATTTTTAATGTTTGTTAGTTACATTTAGCTTAATTACATTGTAATCAGAAAACACAATCTATGTGATTTCCATCCTTTGAAATTGTTGAAACCTGATTAACAGCCAAGTACATGTTCTTATATTTTTATAATTCTTCCATGTGTGCTTGAAAAGAATCTTTATTATATAGTTGTAGAATACAGTGTTCTACATATGACTGTTAAGTCAAGTTTGTTAATCAAATTATTAAAATATTTTATAGCTTCACTGGATTTATTTGTTCTATCAATTATGGAAAGAGAAATATTAAGATTTTCCATAGTGATTTGTCTTCTGTAGTTCTGTCAAAATTTGCTTTCTGTATTTTGAGGTCGTGTTATTATATACACAGAAACTTAGTGTTACATGTTTCTGGTAAATTGAAATGATCATTATTAAGTGTGCCTCTTTAATTTTCATTTTACTTTATATATTAAAATTTATTGATGGATATTAATATAGCTGCACAACTTTTTCTAAAAACAGATTTCTTGAGGTATAACTGGCATGCAATAAACTGTACATATTTAAAGTATATAATTTGATAGATTTTGATATTATGTATACACCCATGAAATCATCACCACAATCAATATATTTTAAAATTCTCTTGGATTTTTTTTTTCTTTTGAGGCAGTGTATCTGTTGCCCTGGCTGGAGTGAGATGGTGTGAACTCAGCTCACTGCAACCTCTGTTTCCTGGGTTCAAGTGATTCTCCTGCCTCAGCCTCCTGAGTAGCTGGGATTACAGGTGCCTGCCACCGCTCCTGGCTAATTTTTGTATTTTTAGTAGAGACAGGGTTTCACCATGTTGGCCAGGCTGGTCTCGAACTCCTGACCTCAAGTGATCCACCCACCTCGGCCTCCCAAATTGCCAGGATTACAGACATCAGCCACTGCACCCAGCCTGTCTTCGACTTTTTTGCATACTGCTTTTCTTTTTTGATAGTTTCTATTGTTATGTCTTCAAGTTCACTGTTTTTTTCTTATTTTATGCTAATCTGCTGTTAAACTCATCCAGTA
This sequence comes from Homo sapiens, assembly GCF_000001405.40. Taxonomy (NCBI): domain Eukaryota; kingdom Metazoa; phylum Chordata; class Mammalia; order Primates; family Hominidae; genus Homo; species Homo sapiens. The sequence continues at coordinate 112,207,587 of NC_000001.11, read as the reverse complement.
TATTTTCATCTCATATGTTGCAGTTTTCATCTCTAGAAGTTCAATTGGAATCTATTAATGCCTTTTATGTCTTCACTTAACTTTTTGAACATATGAAACCAGTAACAATAGCTATTTTAACATTCTTGTTTGCTAATTCTAACATCTGTATCAGTTTTGGATCAGCTTTGGCTTAACAATTTTTCTCCTCAGTATGGGTCATATTTTCCTGATTCTTTGTATGACTGGTAATTTTTAATTGGATGCCATACATTGTACACTTTACCTTATTTGATGCTGGTTATTTTTGAATTATTTCCAGTATTCTTGAGCTTTGTTCTAAGATGCATTTAAATCACTTGGAAACTGATCCTTTCAGGACTTTGCTTGTATGATTTTTCAAGTGGGAACAGAGTGGTGCTCAGTGTGGGGCTAGTTAGTCCCCATTATTAAGGCAGGACCTTTCTGTGCAATATGCTCAATACCCTGTGAGTCTTGAGGCTTTCCAGTCTGGCAGTTGGAAGAGTCATTATTCTTAGCTGTGTGTGATTGCTGCACACTGTCACTTCTGGTCCTTTCGGGTGATTCTTCTCCTGGCTTTGTGTTGTGTCCTCACATGCATTATGATGATCAATAATCTTGAATGCTAGAGGGACACCTGCAGATTTCTGGAGTTCTTTCTCTGTGCAGTTCTCTCTTCTCTGGCACTCTAGCCTGCTAGATATGTTTTGATCTATCTGGACTCTCAGCTTTATCTTCTCACCTGAAGTCCTTTGGGTTCTGTCTCGGTGTCCTCTCCCTGTGCCATGCCCTGGCATCTCTCTCAGTGCAGTAAGCTTGGGCAGGTGTAAGTTTCATCTTATTTGTTTTCTATCTCTCAGGGATCATTGTACTTTGTTACCTGATGTGCAGGGTTCTGGCTTTTTTTTTTCTCATATAGTTTGTTGGTTTTTTGGTTGTTTCTGGCATGAGGGTAAATCCAGTCCCTGTTACTCCATCTTGGTTGGAAGCAGAAATCTACCAGCTTTACTATGCTTGGTATTAGCAAAGTGTATCTTTTTCACCATTTTCCTTCTTTCTTCTTTCTTTCTTTCTTTCTTCTTTCTTTCTTTCTTTCTTTCTTTCTTTCTTTCTTTCTTTCTTTCTTTCTCCCTTCCCTTCCCTTCCTTTTCTTTCTTTCTTTCTTGAGACAGAGTTTCGCTCCTGTTGCTCAGTCTGGAGTGCAATGATGCGATCTTGGCTCACTGCAACCTCTGCCTCCCAGGTTCAAGCAATTCTCCTGCCTCAGCCTCCTGAGTAGCTGGGATTACAGGCATGGGCCACCATGCCCAGCTAATTTTGTATTTTTAGTAGAGATAGGATTTCTCCATGTTGGTCAGGCTGGTCTTGAATTCCCAACCTCAGGTAATCCACCTGTCTTGGCCTCCCAAAGTGCTGGGATTACAGGCATGGGCCGCCGTGCCTGGCCTTTTCCTTCCATCTTTCAGTGTCCTTATATTTAGTTAGATTTTGTTTCTTCATCTAGTCTGTGTTTATATTTCTCTTTTAACTAAGCAATTTAGTTTATTTATGCTTAATGTTATTACAAATATATTTCATTCCAAATTTACCACTTGTTTTGTGCTTTCTGTTCTCTCTGATATTCTGTTTTTCCTTTTATCTTCTTTTTTATTTTCTTTTGGATTGGGTTTTTAAAATCTTTGCATTTTTATCCTCTACTAGTTTAGATGTTACACATTCTATTTCTATTATTTGAGTGGTTACCTTTAAAATTATAACATGTGATCTTAATTTGTCAAAATCTAAGGTTGGTAAGTTTTTTATTCTTAAACCACCTGACTCAGCCTCCCAAAGTGTTGGGATTACAGGCATTATCCACCATGCCTAGTCTTTCACTGAGTGTTTAAGGGTCTCCGATTTATGCAGGGGCCTTAGATTAACTTCTTACTTTTTATAAGCCAAGGGCCCTTTTTTTTTCCCTTTTCTCCAGGAAAATGCTGATTGAAAAAGGTAACTTCAGTTTGCCAGTGATGAGCAGGTGTCCTCAGGGCAACTGGCTGCTCAGCACTCACACCTCTCTGGGTAGGTGTTTTATGTCTTTCTGATTTTTGAGGACTTTCCTTATTGTCATGTCACCTCTGCTATGCATTATTCACTTAAAAACATATTTGAGGCTGGGCATGGTGGCTTACACCTGTAATGTCAGCATTTTGAGAGGCCAAGTGGGGAGGATTTCTTGAGTTCAGGAGTTGGAGACAGTGAGACCTCATTTCTGAAAAAAAAAAAAAAAAAAAAAAAAAAAAAAGGGGGATGGAGCCAAGATGGCCGAATAGGAACAGCTCCTGTCTACAGCTCCCAGCATGAGCGATGCAGAAGATGGGTGACTTCTGCATTTCCATCTGAGGTACCGAGTTCATCTCACTAGGGAGTGCCAGACAGTGGGTGCAGGACAGTGGGTGCAGCCCACCATGCACCAGCCGAAGCAGGGTGAGGCATTGCCTCACTCGGGAAGTGCAAGGGGTCAGGGAGTTCCCTCTCCTAGTCAAAGAAAGGGGTGACAGACGGCACCTGGAAAATCGGATCACTCCCACCCTAAAACTGTGCTTTTTGGATGGGCTTAAAAAATGGCACACCAGGAGATTATATCCTGCACCTGGCTCGGAGGGTCCTATGCCCATGGAGTCTCGCTGATTGCTAGCACGGCAGTCTGAGATCAAACTGCAAGGCGCAACAAGGCTGGGGGAGGGGCGCCCACCATTGCCCAGGCTTGCTTAGGTAAACAAAGCAGCCGGGAAGCTCGAACTGGGTGGAGCCCACCACAGCTCAAGGAGGCCTGCCTGCCTCTATAGGCTCCACCTCTGGGGGCAGGGCACAGACAAACAAAAAGACAGCAGTAACCTCTGCAGACTTAAATGTCCCTGTCTGACAGCTTTGAAGAGAGCAGTGGTTCTCCCAGCACGCAGCTGGAGATCTGAGAATGGGCAGACTGCCTCCTCAAGTGGGTCCCTGACCCCTGACCCCTGAGCAGCCTAACTGGGAGGCACCCCCCAGTAGGGGCAGACTGACACCTCACATGGCCAGGTACTCCTCTGAGACAAAACTTCCAGAGGAATGATCAGACAACAGCATTTGCGGTTCACGAAAATCCACTGTTCTGCAGCCACCGCTGCTGGTACCCAGGCAAACAGGGTCTGGAGTGGACCTCTAGCAAACTCCAACAGACCTGCAGCTGAGGGTCCTGTCTGTTAGAAGGAAAACTAACAAACAGAAAGGACATCCACACCAAAAAGCCATCTGTATATCACCATCATCAAAGACCAAAAGTAGATAAAACCACAAAGATGGGGAAAAAACAGAGCGGAAAAACTGGAAACTCTAAAAAGCAGAGTGCCTCTCTTCCTCCAAAGGAATGCAGTTCCTCACGAGCAATGGAACAAAGCTGGACGGAGAATGACTTTGATGAGTTGAGAGAAGAAGGCTTCAGATGATCAAACTACTCCGAGCTACAGGAGGAAATTCAAACCAAAGGCAAAGAAGTTGAAAACTTTGAAAAAAATTTAGACGAATGTATAACTAGAATAACCAATACAGAGAAGTGCTTAAAGGAGCTGATGGAGCTGAAAGCCAAGGCTCGAGAACTACGTGAAGAATGCAGAAGCCTCAGGAGCCGATGCAATCAACTGGAAGAAAGGGTATCAGCGATGGAAGATGAAATGAATGAAATGAAGTGAGAAGGGAAGTTTAGAGAAAAAAGAATAAAAAGAAATGAGCAAAGCCTCCAAGAAATATGGGACTATGTGAAAAGACCAAATCTACATCTGATTGGTGTACCTGAAAGTGATGGGGAGAATGGAACCAAGTTGGAAAACACTCTGCAGGATATTATCCAGGAGAACTTCCCCAATAAAGCAAGGCAGGCCAACGTTCAGATTCAGGAAATACAGAGAATGCCACAAAGATACTCCTCGAGAAGAGCAACTCCAAGACATATAATTGTCAGATTCACCAAAGTTGAAATGAAGGAAAAAATGTTAAGGGCAGCCAGAGAGAAAGGTCGGGTTACCCACAAAGGGAAGCCCATCAGACAAAGAGTGGATATCTCGGCAGAAACTCTACAAGCCAGAAGAGAGTGGGGGCCAATATTCAACATTCTTAAAGAAAAGAATTTTCAACCCAGAATTTCATATCCAGCCAAACTAAGCTTCATAAGTGAAGGAGAAATAAAATACTTTACAGACAACCAAATGCCAAGAGATTTTGTCACCACTAGGCCTGCCCTAAAAGAGCACCTGAAGGAAGCACTAAACATGGAAAGGAACAACCGGTACCAGCCACTGCAAAAACATGCCAAATTGTAAAGACCATCAAGGCTAGGAAGAAATTGCATCAACTAATGAGCAAAATAACCAGCTAACATCATAATGACAGGATCAAATTCACACATAACAATATTAACATTAAATGTAAATGGGCTAAATGCTCCAATTAAAAGACACAGACTGGCAAATTGGATAAAGAGTCAACACCCATCAGTGTGCTGTATTCAGGAGACCCATTTCACATGCAGAGACACACATAGGCTCAAAATAAAGGAATGGAGGAAGATCTACCAAGCAAATGGAAAACAAAAAAAGGCAGGGGTTGCAATCCTAGTCTCTGATAACAGACTTTAAACCAACAAAGATCAAAAGAGACAAAGAAGGCCATTACATAATGGTAAAGGGATCAATTCAACAAGAAGAGCTAACTATCCTAAATATATATGCACCCAATACAGGAGCACCCAGATTCATAAAGCAAGTCCTTAGAGACCTACAAAGAGACTTAGACTCCCACACAATAATAATGAGAGACTTTAACACCCCACTGTCAACATTAGACAGATCAACGACACAGAAAGTTAACAAGGATATCCAGGAATTGAACTCAGCTCTGCACCAAGCAGACCTAATAGACATCTGCAGAACTCTCCACCCCAAATCAACAGAATATACATTCTTTTCAGCACCACACCACACCTATTTCAAAACTGACCACATAGTTGGAAGTAAAGCACTCCTCAGCAAATGTAAAAGAACAGAAATTATAACAAACTGTCTCTCAGACCACAGTGCAATCAAACTAGAACTCAGGATAAAGAAACTCACTCAAAACCACTCAACTACATGGAAACTGAACAACCTGCTCCTGAATGACTACTGGGTACATAATGAAACGAAGGCAGAAATAAAGATGTTCTTTGAAACCAATGAGAACAAAGACACAGCATAACAGAATCTCTGGGACACTTTCAAAGCAGTGTGTAGAGGGAAATTTATAGCACTAAATGCCCACAAGAGAAAGCAGGAAAGATCCAAAATTGACACCCTAACATCACAATTAAAAGAACTAGAAAAGCAAGAGCAAACACATTCAAAAGCTAGCAGAAGGCAAGAAATAACTAAAATCAGAGCAGAACTGAAGGAAATAGAGACACAAAAAACCCTTCAAAAAATTAATGAATCCAGGAGCTGATTTTTTGAGAGGATCAACAAAATTGATAGACCTCTAGCAAGACTAATGAAGAAGAAAAGAGAGAAGAATCAAATAGATGCAATAAAAAATGATAAAGGGGATATCACCACTGATCCCACAGAAATACAAACTACCATCAGAGAATACTACAAACACCTCAATGCAAATAAACTACAAAATCTAGAAGAAATGGATAAATTCCTCAACACATACACCCTCCCAAGACTAAACCAGGAAGAAGTTGAATCTCTGAATAGACCAATAACAGGCTCTGAAATTGTGGCAATAATCAATTGCTTACCAACCAAAAAGAGTCCAGGACCAGAAGGATTCACAGCCGAATTCTACCAGAGGTACAAGGGGGAACTGGTACCATTCCTTCTGAAACTATTCCAATCAATAGAAAAAGAGGGAATCCTCCCTAACTCATTTTATGAGGCCGACATCATCCTGATACCAAAGCCTGGCAGAGACACAACCAAAAAAGAGAATTTTAGACCAATATCCTTGATGAACATTGATGCAAAAATCCTCAATAAAATACTGGCAAACTGAATCCAGCAGCACATCAAAAAGCTTATCCACCATGATCAAGTGGGCTTCATCCCTGGGAGGCAAGGCTGGTTCAATATATGCAAATCAATAAATGTAACCCAGCATATAAACAGAACCAAAGACAAAAACCACATGATTATCTCAATAGATGCAGAAAAGGCCTTTGACAAAATTCAACAACTCTTCATGCTAAAAACTCTCAATAAATTAGGTATTGATGGGACATATCTCAAAATAATAAGAGCTATCTATGACAAACCCACAGCCAATATCATACTGAATAGGCAAAAACTGGAAGCATTCCCTTTGAAAACTGGCACAAGACAGGGATGCCCTCTCTCACCACTCCTATTCAACATAGTGTTGGAAGTGCTGGCCGTGGCAATCAGGCAGGAGAAAGAAATAAAGGGTATTCAATTAGGAAAAGAGGAAGTCAAATTGTCCCTGTTTGCAGATGACATGATTGTATATCTAGAAAACCCCATTGTCTCAGCCCAAAATCTCCTTAAGCTGATAAGCAACTTCAGCAAAATCTCAGGATACAAAATCAATGTACAAAAGTCACAAGCATTCTTATACACCAATAACAGAGAAACAGAGAGCCAAATCATGAGTGAACTCCCATTCACAATTGCTTCAAAGAGAATAAAATACTTAGGAATCCAACTTACAAGGGATGTGAAGGACCTCTTCAAGGAGAACTACAAACCACTGCTCAATGAAATAAAAGAGGATACAAACAAATGGAAGAACATTCCATGCTCATGGGTAGGAAGAATCAGTATCATGAAAATGGCCATACTGCCCAAGGTAATTTATAGATTCAATGCCATCCCCATCAAGCTACCAATGACTTTCTTCACAGAATTGGAATAAACTACTTTCAAGTTCATATGGATCCAAAAGAGAGTCCCCATCGCCAAGTCAATCCTAAACCAAAAGAACAAAGCTGGAGGCATCAGGCTGCCTGACTTCAAACTATACTACAATGCTACAGTAACCAAAACAGCATGGTACTGTTACCAAAACAGAGATATAGATCAATGGAACAGAACAGAGCCCTCAGAAATAATGCTGCATATCTACAACTATCTGATCTTTGACAAACTTGAGAAAAACAAGCAATGGGGAAAGGATTCCCTATTTAATAAATGGTGCTGGGAAAACTGGCTAGCCATATGTAGAAAGCTGAAACTGGATCTCTTCCTTACACCTTATACAAAAATTAATTCAAGATGGATTAAAGACTTAAACGTTAGACCTAAAACCATAAAAACCCTAGAAGAAAACCTAGGCATTACCATTCAGGACATAGGCATGGGCAAGGACTTCATGTCTAAAACACCAAAAGCAATGGCAACAAAAGCCAAAATTGACAAATGGGATCTAATTAAACTAAAGAGCTTCTGCACAGCAAAAGAAACTACCATCAGAGTGAACAGGCAACCTACAAAATGGCAGAAAAATTTCACAACCTACTCATCTGACAAAGGGCTAATATCCAGAATCTACAATGAACTCAAACTAATTCACAAGAAAAAAACAAACAACCCCATTGAAAAGTGGGCAAAGGACAAGTACAGACACTTCTCAAAAGAAGACATTTATGCAGCCAAAAAAACACATGAAAAAATGCTCACCATCACTGGCCATCAGAGAAATGCAAATCAAAACCACAATGAGATACCATCTCACACCAGTTAGAATGGCAATCATTAAAAAGTCAGGAAACAACAGGTGCTGGAGAGGATGTGGAGAAATAGGAACATTTTTACACTGTTAGTGGGACTGTAAACTAGTTCAACCCTTGTGGAAGTCAGTGTGGCGTTTCCTCAGGGATCTAGAACTAGAAATACCATTTGACCCAGCCATCCCATTACTGGGTATATACCCAAAGGACTATAAATCATGCTGCTATAAAGACACATGCACACGTATGTTTATTGCGGCATTATTCACAATAGCAAAGACTTGGAACCAACCCAAATGTCCAACAATGATAGACTGGATTAAGAAAATGTGGCACATATACACCATGGAATACTATGCAGCCATAAGAAATGATGAGTTCATGTCCTTTGTAGGGACATGGATGAAATTGGAAGTCATCATTCTCGGTAAACTATCACAAGAACAAAAAACCAAACACCGCATATTCTCACTCATAGGTGGGAAATGAACAACGAGAACACATGGACACAGGAAGGGGAACATCACACCCTGGGGACTGTTGTGGGGTGGGGCGAGGGGGGAGGGATAGCATTAGGAGATATACCTAATGCTAAATGACGAGTTAATGGGTGTATCACACCAGCATGGCACATGTATACATATGTAACTAACCTGAACATTGTGCACATGTACCCTGAAACTTAAAGTATAATAATAATAATAAAAAGCAATTTTGGAGACACTGCAAAATGGAAATCACCCTATAAAGAGTGGGTTGGATTTTAGTTTCTCTATGAAAAAAAAATATCAATTTTAAGTAAAAAAAAAAAAGAAAGAAAGAAAGGCAAATACCACACGTTTTCACTAATAAGTGGGAGCTAAAAAAATGTGTATACATGGATGTAGCATGTGGAATGATGGACAGTGGAGACTCAGAGGGTGGGGGCTGAGGGGATGGGAGGCAGGGTGGAGGATGGGGGGTTACTTGGTGGGTATAGTGTGTGTTGTTCCAGTGATGCCCTGAAGGCCCCGACGTCACCACAATGCAATATATCCATGTAGCAAAATTGCACTTGTACCCCAGGAATATATACAAGTAAATACATAAAAGCTCCAAAAAAAAAAAAAAAGACATTAAATTAAGCTGAGCATGGTGGCATTCATCTAGTCCCAGCTACTCAGGAGGCTGAGGTGGGAGGATAGCATGAGCCCAGGAGTTTGGTTACAGTGAGCTATGATGGCAGCCTAGGCAACAGAGTGAGAGCTCGTCTCCAAGAAAACAAAACAAAACAAAACAAAAGCAAAACAAAGCAAACAAACAAAAAACATACCTGAAAATATTTCACACTACCTTCTTGAGTTCTTTGTACTTTGGTGGTTTTTCAAGATTTCTGGTCTGAAATATGGTCAGGAATTGAAATCAAGGGCTTCCTTTATTTTCTACTCAACTGCTAGCATCTTCCAGAATACTTTTCTATTAACAGCTCTTTGGAAGATTCTGTGCCATGGCAAGCCAGATTTCAGTTTGGTTTAAGAGAGAGCTTTCTGTTAGCATGTCTGGAAGATGGAATGTGCTGAGGAGGTGGTGAGTTCCTGGAGGTTTTAGAGTGCAGACAAGATGATCTTTTTTTGGTAATTTTGGAGAGCAATGTATGCACGATGGATAGAATAATGGAGAGATAAGAAACGTGGATGTTTCTGAAAACCCACAATTCTTTGTTATTGGTGGTTGTCCTAAGGATGAGTACGGTGGTAGAAACACACTAACATTTGCTGAGTACCTATTATATATGTGGCACACATTATATTGGAAACTTACACAAACTTTATAATCTATTCCTTATAACAATCTTATTGTTGTAGGTATTGCTATCCCTAATTTATAGATGATATAAACAAGGTTATGAGAAAATAAATTTCTTAAGGTCACATATTAAGTGACTGAGCCAGAGTTGAAATTTGTCAGTTGGCTTCAAAGCTGAGGTGCTTTCTTTCACACTATGCTGCTGATTGTCCCTGTAATAGGACAGCAGAGACAGATGAGGCTGTCATAACCATCTCCCAGGGGTAGCTGAACAGATTCTTTCCTGCCCTTGCCTTAAGCTCCTCCCTTTTTCTCTGCTTAATTCCCCACCATTCAGATTTTCAATTGCTGTTTGAAAGACAGAAGTATACACAACCTCAAATCAATTTTGGCTAAAAAAGGAGAGCTTCCAAGTACATGCCACTGGAGGACCACCTAATGGCATCAGTTTGATTTTTACTGCAAATGCTTAGGGATAAATGCGGTAGTAAATATACTATGTTGTTTAGCAATTTAAATATTCCCTGCAAGCTCATTAGGTTCTGTCACCTTATGGCTGTTCCTTGTGTGGGAGTGACACTCCCACCCCCATAGCCTGCTGTTCCCAAGACAGGTGTTTCTGGGGTGAGAGCTTGGGGGGATGCTCGTCACACTGAGGGTAGAAGAGTTGGGAGGCAGCTCTTTAAAGGAATTACTGATAGTTTTGGTGTAATAAAGAATCTGACTCCATTTGTGGTGTTTGACTGCTGACAGCTTCCTAGCCCCACCAATCCCTTTTCTCTTTCTACCCTCTCATCTGGGGAGGCTTATGAGAGCCAGGGTGCTTTTTGCTTTCGTATCAGTGGGAAGCTCAAACCATGCAAGCCCAGGCCCTCACCCCAGCCCCACTCCATAATCACCATAAAACTCCAACTCAGTTGTCCCTTGCTACTCTCTCTAAAAACCATTTTTGACCCTACTTGGAAGTCTATCCTGCTTTTCCCAGAGAATCTCATTATATGAAGAATAAACATTTTTACCCTCTTGGCATGTGGGTGTATGGCATCATCAATCTTGACATCTGGAAGCAAATTCTGGGTGAGGAGGGATGGCTCATTCTGCCTCTGTGGGGTAATCACAATACAGTCATGCACCACGTAATGATGGAGATCCTTTCTGGGAAATGCATTGTTAGGCAACTTCATCACTGTGCGAACGTTACAGAGTGCACTTGCACAACCTAGATGGTAGAGCCTACTAGACACCTAGGCTATATGGCAGAGCCTTTTGCTCCTACACTACAAACCTCTACCGCATGTCATTGTACTGAATACTGTAGGCAATTGTAACACAGTGGTAAGTGTATGTGCATCTAAACATAGAAAAGGTGCAGTAAAATATGACATAAAAGACAAAAAATGATATACTTGTATAGGACTCTTACCATGAATGGAGCTTGAGGACTGGAAGTTGCTCTGGGTGAGTCAGTGAGTGAGTGGTGTGTGAACATAAAGGCCTAGGGCAGTACTACACTACTGTACACTACAGTCTACACTACTGTAGACATTATAAACACTATCCACTTAGGCTACACCAAATTTATGAAAAAAAATAAAGTAATCATGCTACAACATTATCATGGTAATGACGTCACTAGAAGATAGAACTTTTTCAGCTCCATTTTAATCTTATGGGACCATGTCACATGGTCTGTCATTGGGACCGTGTCACATGGTCTGTCATTGACCAAAACGTTGTTATGTGGCATATGACAGTGCTGGTAATGGAAAGATTGAGCAAGACGTGACAGATACCTAGGTTTTTGAGTCCCTGGCTGTCTGTGCCAGACATTGACAACTCTGAAGTGTTCCTGAAAGCAGTGTGTGCAGAGGGCAAGGTCAGGCAAATGCTCCAGTGTTATCACTGTGAGGCTGTGGCACTACATCTCACAGGCTCTTCTTGTATGCCATATGGATGACTCCTTTTGCCTGGTGGAAGGCAGCTCAGAACCAAGAACAGAGAGAAGTTGAGTCTCTGAGCCTCATCCTACCTAAGTCTGTACCCAAGTATCATGGCTAATGAAATTGGAGAAAGTTAATTTTAGAATAGTTCTATTTCTTCTTTTCCAGTCTGGGTGCTATTTATTTCTTTAGCCGAATTGCACGTGGCTAGTATGTCCAGTACTCTGTTGACTAGGAGTAGGGAGAGAAAACATCTTTTCTTTGCTTCTGATCTTAGGATAAAAAACTTAGCTTTTCATCATTTATTATTATGCTAGCTGTAGGTTTCCCATGCATGACCTTTACCAGGTTGAGAAAGTTCCCTTCTAAGTTCACTGAGAGTTTTTATCATAAATGTGTGTTTTGAATTTTGGCAAATGATTTTTGTGTAACTATTGAGATGATCATATGATTTTCCTTTTAGAATGTTAATATGGCCACTACACTGATTTTTTTTTTAATTTTCTTTTTCTCCCCCATGTCAAATGGGTAAAGTGCCAATGTAACAAAGTTCAAGGGAGGCACATCTCACACATGAGTGTGAAAACCTAATCACCACGCCTTGATACATTTTTTTAAATGTTAAACTGATCTTGCATTCTGGAGATAAACTCCACTTGGTCATGATGTATTAGCTTTTTTATATATTGCTGGATTCAATTTGCTTAAATTTTGTTAAGGATTTTTGCTTCTATGTTCATGGTGGAAATTAGTTTGTAGGTGAGTTTTCTTAGAATAACCACCTGGTTTTGGGATCAAGATAATGCTTAAGTAATAGAATGAATTCAGGGTGCTCCCTCAAATTTTATTTTTGGAAGAGTTTATGTAGAATAAATATTACATATTTCTTAATTTTGGTAGACTTCTTCAGTAAAGTTGTTTAGACCTAGAGTTTCCTTTATGGGAAAATTTAAAACTACAAACCCAAATTTCTTTAATAGATACAGGGCTATTCAAGCTATTTCTTTTTTAGTGGTTTTGACAGTTTGTGTCTTTAAAGGAGTTTAAACCATTCACATTTAAAGTGATTATTGGTATAGTTGGATAAATATCCACCAAATTTGTAACTGTTTTCTATTCTTGCACTCTTTTTAAATCTTCCATTAATCTTCTGCCTTCTCCAATTTTAATTTTATATTATTTCATTTTCCCATTTCTATCTTATCTAAAGTTATATTTATTGACATAAAATTTTTATATTTGTTTGGTCTCCTTTTAATGTTGGTAAGATCTATAGTTATGGCCCTTCTGTCATTCAGGATGATATTGGTAATTTGTTCTGTCTCTCTCCTGATCAGCCTGTCTATAAGGTTATCATTTTTATTGTTATTTTTAAAGAAAGAGGTTTGATTTCATTGGTTTTCTCCATTATTTTTCTGTTTTCTATTTCATTGATTTCCACTCTTTACTATTTACTTCCTTTCACTTTGGGTTTGGTTTTATTTTTCTAGTTTCTTAAAGAGGAAGCTTAGTCATCGATTTTAAATTTTTCTGTTTTTCTGATATAAGATTTAATGCTACAAATTATCCTGTAAGCCCTGCTTTAGCTTTTTTTTCAAGGAGAAATTTTAATATGTTATGTTTTCTTTTTTTTCAGTCAAAATATTTTCTGATTTTCCTTGCAATTTATTGTTTGGCTCTTAAGTAAGTTGGGTTACTTAAAAGGAGGTTTCTTAGTTTCAAATTTTTGGATCTTTTTCATGTATTTTTTTATTGACATCTACTTAAATTCCATTGTGGTTAGAGAATATGCTCCGGATTATTTTAATCCTTTTAAATTTTTTGAGACTTGTTTCATGATGTAGAATACGGTAAATATTGGAAAATATTTAGTGTATACACTTGAAAGGAATGTATTTTCTTCTGTTGGGTAGGATATTCTATAAATGTCAGGTCAAGTTGGTTGGTAGTGTTGTTCATGTCTTCTATATCTTTATTTTCTGTTTATGGGGTTTATCAATTATTTAGATAGCAGTATGAAATCGCTGACAATAATTGTGGATTTGTCAATTTCTTTCTGCACTTTTATTTCTGCTTCATGCATTTTAGAGCTCTGTTATTAGGCACATAAATATTTATTATTGTTATGTCTTCTTGATGAATTGACTTCTTTATCAGGGCTAATTTTTCTAGTTCTGAAGTCTGCTTTGTCTGAAATTAATATGGCTACTCCTGCTTTCTTTTAATTAGTGTTAGCATGTTATAGATTTCTCCATTCTTTTACCTTTTTATTGTAGCAAAAAACACATAACATTAAATTTACCATTGTAACCGGTTTTAAGTGTACAGTTCAGTAGAGTTAAGCATATTTACATTGTTGTGCGATTAATCTCTAGAATTTTTTCATCTTGCAAACTTGAAACTCTATACCCGTTAAACACTAATTCTTTCCTCCCCCTGCCCTGCTTCCATTCCTTTCCTTTTAATCTATATGCATCTTTATATTCAAAAGATTTCTTATAGACAACTTATAGATGGGTGTTTTTTTTTTTAAATCTACTCTGATGTTTCTGTCTTTTAGTTGCTGTACTTAAACCATTTCCACTTGAAGTGATTATTGATATAGTTGGACAAATATCTACCAAATTTGTAACTGTTTTCTATTATTGGACTCTTTTTTAATCTTCCTTTCTTTTGCTGCCATCTCCTATCTTAATTGAACATTTTATATGATTTCATTTTCTCTCCTCTCTTATCAGTTATACTTCTTTTCCAAAAATTAGTTTAGTAATTGTCCTAGTGTTTGCAATACACATTTACAACTACTCTGAGTCCACTTTCAAGTAACACTATACTGCTTCACAAATAGTGTTGGCATTGGAAGGTATTTCTAATCTCTCCCTTCTATTCCTTATATCATTGCTGTTATTCATTTTACTTATCCATAAGGTATAATAACCTAAAGAATTGTTGACATCTTTATTTTGAGCTACCAGTTATTTATTAGATCAGATAAGAATAAGAAAACTAAAGATTTTATTATGGCTTCATTTATTCTTTCTCTAGTGCTCTTTCTTCATGTAGATTCAAGTTTCTGACATATATGCTTTTCCTTTCTCTGAAGAACTTTTACTTTTTCTTGCAGACCATGTCTACTGGTGGAAAATTTTCTCAGTTTTTATTTGCTGGACACAGAATTCTAGGTTTGTTAGTTTTGTTCTCTTAACCTTATGTATTTTAATACGTTCTTATAATCCTGCCTTTTAATCCACGTGTTTACACTATTTACATTTAATATGATGATCAAATATAGTTGGGTTTAAGTTTGCCACCATAATATTTCTTTTTTATTTGACTCATGTGTTCTTGTTCCCCCTCCTTTGGTTTTACTTTTATTGACTTTAAAAAATTAATTTTATATCTTTTATGATCATTTTATCTTCTTTATTGACTTATTTGCTTTGCTTTTGCTTTTGTTTTTCAGTGGTTGTTCTAGGGTTTGTAGTACATACTTTTAATTTAACACAGTCTACCTTCAAATAATATTAACCATTACACATATTATATAAGAACCGTATAATAGTAAATGGTTCCATTTTTATTTTTCCCTCCTGGCCTTTATGTCTTTGTTGTTACACATTTCACTTTTACATATGTTTAAAAAGACCCCAAATGTGTGTTAATATTTTTACTTTAAACAGTCAATTATTTTTTAAAGAGATTTAGAAATAAGAAAACACATCTTTTATATTCACTCTCATATTTGCCGTTTTTGGTGCACTCCATTCCATTGTGTAGATCCTAATTTGCATCTTGCATTGTTTTCCTTCCTGTAAGAAATCTGAACATTTCTTACAGTGCTACTCCTCTGGTGATAAATTATCTCAGTTTTTGTATACCTTAAAAACGCTTTATTTTGCCTTCTTTTGTTAAAAGACATTTTAACTCTGTACAGAACTCTATACTGACAGGATTTTTCCTTTCAGTTGTTTAAAGATGTGACTCCACTATCTTCTGACTTACACTGTTTCAGATGGGAAATCTGTTGTAATTCTAAGTTTTGTTCCTCTGTATGTAACATATCTCCTCCCACCCCCACCCTCCTTTGGTTTATTTTAAGATTTTATCTCTATTACTGGTTTCCAACAATGTGATGATTTTTGATATTCTTTGGTGTGGTTTTCTTTATGTTTCTTTTGCTCAGGACTTATAGAGCTTCTTGGATCTGTGGATCTGTAGTTTGATTTTTTAAATTTTAGGATAAATAAGAGGTGGTTTTCATAGGTCAGGTTCCCTGGAAACACATCTTTGGATGTAGATTTTCATGCAGGAGGTTTATTGGGGTACACACTCAAGAACAACAACTGACAGGAGCAGCATTGGGCAGAGTGAAAAATCTGAACTGCAGTGCACTGAGAAGAGAGCTACTAGCCGATCCTATGGGGACCTCTGAAGCTGAAGTGGCCTTTCAGAGTTGTCTAAAATTCAGACAAGAGGGCTAAGCCCCACACTGACTGATCATTGAGTGTGGGCTGCCCTTACGAAGGTGGCATAACCATAAGCGAGGAAGCTGTCTTTGGCCAAAAGAAAATTCTGGAGAGGGATTTAGCTGTAAATTATCTACAGTCCACAATCCTGGCAGTTGGGGTATTAAGTTTTGCACTCCCAAAGGTGAAATGTAGGCAGTACACACAGTACCCTCTATAGAAGTGGTTTCTAGTAATATGAACTTGAAATCATCAGTGCTAGTGGTGAAATAGGCTCACTACAGTATAGCTTACTCCTACTATGATTTTTGGCACTTCCATCAACGATGATCTTAAATTTTTACTCAACAATTTCATGTATGTAAGTTCTCAATGAAACTGTAAACTTCTAGAAAACATTTTACCAATCTGTAGCCCCCTAAGTGACTTTCAGAGTATTGTGCTCATTTACTAGTGAAGTAATTAACCCCCAAAAGAAGCTTTTGGATTACCTCATCCAGACTCTACATTTTACAGCTGGGTAAACTAAGACTGAGACAAGTCGTACAGCCAATAAGTACCTTACTTGAGACTAGAATCCAGATCTCTTAACCTGTAACTCAATAAGTACTGCTTTCACTGTGCCTGGCTATATCACAAGGGGTCATCAGTAATTAATACATAAATACAAATGAGTATTTACTACTCTACCTCTGGTGAATAAATAGCTCCAAGAAGGCCGGGCGCTGTGGCTCACGCCTGTAATCCCAGCACTTTGGGAGGCCGAGGCGGGCGGATCACGAGGTCAGGAGATCGAGACCAAGGTGAAACCCCGTCTCTACTAAAAATACAAAAAGTTAGCCGGGCGTAGTGGCGGGCGCCTGTGGTCCCAGCTACTCGGGGGGCTGAGGCAGGAGAATGGCGTGAACCCGGGAGGCGGAGCTTGCAGTGAGCCGAGATCGCGCCACTGCACTCCAGCCTGGGTGACAGAGCGAGACTCCGTCTCAAAAAAAAAAAAAAAAAAAAAAAAAAAAAGCTCCAAGAAGACTTTAAGCAAACATGAGTGGTATTGCATAGATGTTTTAAGGTAATGTAGGATTTGAAGAAGACTCAAAGTTTTACTAATACAATAAATTACAAGTAATATATTTTATATTTGTAAACAAATATAGATTTTAAGTGTTTAAATACAAAGGAAAAGGACTATAAAGATATACAGTTAGCTCTCCATATCTGTGGGTTCTGCATCTGTGAATTCAACCAATAGTAGATTGAAAATATTCAGAAAAAAGGATGGCTATATCTGTATTGAACAGGTACAGATTTTTTTGTCATAATTGTTCTTAAACAATACAGTATAACAACTATTTACATAGCAGTTATATTATATGAAGTATTATAGGTAATCCAGAAATGATTTAAATTTTATAGGAGGATGTGCACAGGTTATATGCAAATACTACACCATTTGATATAAGGGACTTGAGCATCCGTGAATTTTGCAGAACATCCTCGGGTGTTCTGCAACCAACTTCCCATGGATATTGAGGGATGACTGTACCCTACATCAACATTTTAGCACTGATTATCTCTGAGTTGTGAAATTAAGAGCATTTGTTTTCACTCACCGCTAAAAATTTTTAAACAATAAACATAGATTAATTGTGTAATTTTAAATGAAGCTAAATCAAATATCTTGTCCAATGAGCCATTTCAGAATTGTGTTGTTATTCAGCATCCCTGTGACAAGTTGCTTACCACCTCTGTAGCTAGCCTAATCCATCTTTAGATATTACTGCCTCTTAGAATACCCTCATGTTGAACTGGAATCTATTTCCCTAGAGTTTTTGCCTTTGATCCTTTTTTTTTCCCTTGTCATTCATTGGAAGTTTTATTTTAATTCCACATGAAAGGCCTTCAGACACATAAAGACAGTTAGCCTATTCTTGTTCTACCCAAACATCTCCCCCTTCTCATCTTCCCAACTTCAGGATATTTGGGCATGTCCTTAGTCATTGGGGACCACCCCAAACCACACCTCAACAAGTCTCTGGGAGCATCAAGCCAGACTGTTAGATGGATCCGGAGTGGCCACTGCTAGTTTATTTACTCACTAAACTAATCAAACACTCAACATGTGTCATGCTGTGGGCTGATGGTACTGGAATAAGTATCCAGATGCTTCCCCTGGGATTCACAGTCTGGAAAAGGCAGATTTATGACAGATGTTGATCATGTATTAATAGGTTAATGAAGATGTGAAAAGAGATCAATGGAAGCACAGAGTTGTGACAGCTCTCCCTGGGGGAGTGCAGAAAGCAGTGCAAAGGAGATGGCATTAGAGCTATATCTGAAAGGGAGAGAATGAGTTTGCCTTGGTCCAACACAGAGAAAGAAAAGCTGAGGCCACCAGCTTTTCCCAAGGGAGTTATGCTTCTTCAAATACAGTGACAAGTTCTTAATGGTTCCCATCCAGTCACAGTGTGTTGGCTAGTTCACGTCTTGGGCAGGATAAGGTATGGAAATGGAAGCATGGCATAAAGCAATAGGGAGGTGTTGTAATCTACTAGGCAGATCCTTAGGCATTTCCCTCCCTTTGCTCCCAATCTGAACAGAGTTTCCCTAAAGGAAGGTAAGACAACAGAGTCAGCTTTTCCCACAGTGCTTGGCAAATCAGGTTCAGCCCAGTGTGGTATTCAGCCAGATCCTCTGAACTAAGTGTGTCAGTCATTTCTTCCTCATGCCACCTCATTCTTAGAAAACCTTCCCATTCACAGCCTGAAATGGATGGCTTTAATTACCATGTGTCTTTACATCAGTAATATCTGATTACATAGTGTAGACAGCTGGTCCTAGCTGAGCCAATAGATGGCTCTTGTAGGGAATTTAGAATGAGAGTGCAGAGATTGAGTCATTAATTTGTGGGAGCATTCCTGCAAGATTCCATTAACTAGGGGCTGAGATCACCATTTCAGGGCATTCATGACAGACTGTGTAAAAGTGGCATCATGAGTACAGAAACTGGTCTAGGGACAGAGAAATATTATCATGAAGATAACATGGAAGATGTGAAAGACATGCGGTTTGAGGAGGAAAGAAGATAGAAGGAGGAAGAGAGGGAACAGCAGCATGTCAACTCCCCATTTCTTCTAAGGCTCATTATAATTTTTTCTGACAATTTTGCTTTAGGAGATCTCTCTGATTTTTTTTAAATAAATTCTATTTTATTCAAATTAGCTTGAGTGAACATCTGTTCCTTGCAACCAAAATATCTCTAAGACATCTCATTTACTCAGTTTACCTCTTTAATTCTTATACAATGGCTAGTATAATTAGATTGAACTACTAGCCCCTTCTCCAGACCTCCTGTAGTCCTGACCCAAAAGCAAGAATCCTGTTTAAGAGAAAGGCCAGCCTCTGTTGGGACTGTATTTGGCAAGTAATAATTCATAATGCCAATTTATAAATGTGATCTTGGCTATTCCTGACTACTTTTTGCTCTCTTCAAATCTGTTTGGTCTCACAATATGTAGGAATCACAGGCAGCTGGCATGAGAAACTCATGGTGGCTTTGAGACTTCAACAATATGCCTGTTCCCCTGGCTGTGGCCTGAGAAAGCTGTCAATTTCCTCAGAGGGTGATGGCTGAGTCTCATACTGCAGCGCTTGAGAAATCAGAAAGTAGTTGCCTACCTTGTAGGACAGAGATAAAGATACGCTCAGTGTCCCTTGAGACATTTAACTTCATTTCTCCTCAGCCCAGGTGGTTTCAATTGATTTGCAAGTATTTATTGAGCATCTACTGTGTATCAATTATGTCATCTTTCTTTTCCCTATTGCCCCTTCTCTAACTCCTATCCCTCAATTTACATTCTGAGAACATTGTCTTCTGCAATACTCTCTTGGGTTACTGACGCACATCTCTGTTTTATTGCTGAATTTCTTAAAGAGACATCCTCAGTTGTTATCTCTACTTCATAAACTTTCTTTCACTAACTTCTTATCTCTGTGCCATCTATCTTCTGCTTTCCTCATGATACAATTTTTTTCTCTGAATTTTCTTGTATCTTTAAATAAATGCCTCTCTTCTTAAGTTAGTTGGAGTGATTTTCTGTTCCTTGCAACTAAACAGCTTTTGAGACATTCTTATTTCCTCGGTTCACCTCTCCAACCCTACACAAGACTAGCATACTCCGACTCAGAGTGTTTTTCCCTCAAGCATCTAAAGGAATGGGGATTTCTCTGTTAAAGGCCAGGTGGATCTAGAAATAGTCAAATCTTGCCTTAACTTAGCCACAAATTGTCCCTTAATGTGCCTGAGATGGCTATATACATACATGGCAAATGGGAAACCATGAAGCACTCTGTTATTGGTCGAGCTAGGGCTTGATACTTCAGCTGCTTTGAGTAAAGTCAGTTAGAGTATGCATCTTGAGCTTAAGCCCAAGGAGGACCTCTCTGCAGTTGGTCTTCAAGCTTGAGTGGGTGGGCTCAGTTATTGTTCCTGAGACAGGAGGCAGAAGAGAGGGTCAATCAATAGCCTGAAATCAGACCAGTGAGATCAGAATTTGACTCATTCTCCATGGGGCCTAGGAGAGGGAGGGATAGGGATGGTGGTGGAGACCTCACTTGCCAGAGAGAGACCAGAGGGAATTTATTATGAAAATTATTTTTCTCTAGGGTGTAGAGATAAATATGTAGGTAAAGTGAAGGAACAAAATTTGATACCACCTGTTGACTATAGACCATTTTTAGTATAGACGTTGATATATTTAACCATCTATTTGCACTTCAATTACTCTTGTCCCAATCAAATAATTATTCTCAAAGTATATAAATTGTTGTATCATTTATTCATGGAATTGTTATATCAATTCATTCTTTCACTCAGCAAATGTTTGCTGAGCTAGGTAGCAGAGAGAAAAAGTGAATCTGCAAGGCAAAATCCTTAGTCTTAAAAGCTCATAGTCTATGGGTAGGGTTGGGAATGGGAATGACAGGTTTATAAATGGGTAAGTGCCACAAGGTGTTGTAAGAGAAGCCTGAAGAATGTACAAGGAGAATACAAAGAAGGGAGGCTCTGAGCAGCCAGGTGAATACAGGAGACTCCACTTCCAGCCAGCTGGTATCACAGCAGGCCCAGAACAGAGGACTAACCAAATCCTACACTGTTTGTATTAGGGGACCGTGAGGAATCTTCTAGTTCAACTTCTTCAGCTATAGGATAAGAAAACAGACCACCCTTCACCCTCCCAAGGGAAGAACATAGATTGGACTAAAGTCTCAGAGCTGGTCAAGGGCAGGGCCTGGATCCCTGTTTTCCCAGCCCAGTGATCCCTTCTCTAACGTGCCTGCCCCAGGCATCCTTATACCCAGGTTGGGAGCCCCCAGCTCTGGAAGAGCTGCCTCTCTGGAAGATGTAGTACAGGGTCTCCAGCCCAAGCTCGGCCATTCACAGGCCGCAACCTAACTTGTGCTCCCTGTTCTTCCATTTCCAGAATTCTCTCTCTGGTCTCCACTGGGTGTGAAGCCCCCGGGTCAGCTCCTGGAGCTGTTCATTCATTTCCTCATTTTTCCAATTTGTTCTTGATAGCTTCCTGCTTCTCTCAGCCCTAACTAGTTCATCCTTGGTCTGATCTAGTTTTTCTAGTCAGCTTCTCTCTCCCCTTGGCTGTTTCTCCTCCAACAGCTCCTGCTTTCCCAGTAGCTCCCTCCTCCCCAGATGCAGCCTCCAGCTCCTCTTAGAAGCTCTTAACCTATCCTGAGACACAGACCCTCCAGCTGCCTGGCAAAGCCTGTGCACCCTTTGTCACAGTAATGATTTTAAATACATTAAGTAAACTCTATAGGACAAAAAAGGAAACATGTTATTTTGAAAAACAGTTACAAAAACATAAAAAACCAAATTTGTACTATAACAATAGATATACTTTAAAATCAGTGTGTTAAATAAGAAGATATAATGGTGAGTCTAATGACTTCTATCATGTTGAGGTAGTGATGAGCACAAATGATCTTGCAAGGTATCTGTGATGGTTGTAACATGTATGGAAATATCTGTAAATTCTATTGTTCACAAAAGTCACAGGTACTGCATATACTGCTGTAGGTTGCTGCCTACAGTCAGTCATAACTGAAAAAAATGCTAAATTTCAGGTAGAAGTTAGTAAAAATGAAGATACAATATTTTTTCCATTCAGGTTTATGAAATCCTTTATGCACAGATCCTTGGCCACTATATTCTCCAAGTCAAGAAATTCTGTATTAGATGTTACCATGATTTGAGATGCTGTACCTGTGTAGCTATTACCTAAATTAGAATTTTCAGACCAGTAACCATTTGGATACCTCACAGGCATCTAGAAAACTTAAGAGGTCAAAAAATAAGTTTTTGATCTTATCCTCCAAAATAGCTTCTCCTCATTTTTCTCATTTCAATAAATATCACCTTCAATCCTGGAATTCTCTCTCTACACCTTCTTCCTTTTCATTTTTACCTCAAATTTATAAGTCATTCCATCATAATTTCATTTGACAAATATTACCCAATACCCACTATATGCCAAGCACTGTTGTAGGCAGTGGGACTCAGCAGTGTATAAGACAAGTCCTTGTCCTCATGGAGCTTATGTTCTAATTGTGAAACATTGACAATAAATAAGAAAATACATTCAAGAAATTTGGTGGCAATAACTGTATCTCAAATATTATATCTCCCAAAATATTTCTCCAATATTGTCACTTCTCTGCACATCCATTGCCACTCCTTTAGTCTAAAATCTTCCCTGCCACAGTCTCCTAACTTAACTCTGTAGCGGGTCCAATCTTTCCCCATGCAGCACTCAAAGTGAAGGGTGGATTATGTTCCTTCTCTGCTGAAATCCTTCAGTGACTTCCTACTGTGCTTAGAAGAAACCTAGACTTCTAAGAAACCTGGAGGGCCCCACACTATCAAGTCCTCACCTACCCTCCATCTTCTTCTCCTAACAATCCCTCTGCCTCTACACTTGGGCCGTCTTGGCTTTGCAGTTTCTTGCAGGCACCAGTTTCCTATATTGGGGCCTTGTATGTCTCTAAGGCTGCCTGACTCTTACTGGCCCTTCAGGTCTCAACCTAGTTAACCTTTGTTTAAAATGCCATGTCTTTGAGGAGCCCTTTGCTGACCCTTCAATCTAAATTATGTGTGCTTCTCATTCTCCTTCAGAGTAATGTCTTCTTTTTCTTTATATAGCAAGCTACTTGTTATAATTATTATTTAACATAATATTCAAGTGTATACCTAATATCTGTTTCTCTCACTACACTGCAAGTCCCAAGAAGGCAAGAGCTTTGTCTGTTTTGGTCACCAGTAGCATAACAGTTCCTGGGATATGGTTAGTGCTTAACACACATGTAGCTGTTGAATGCGTTATGAGTTACTGCACCTTTCATCTCTGACATCTGCCCCCAAGCTCATCACATATTCCAGGTTCGTACTTCCTCTTTTATGCACAGGCATATTAAAATCTCTGTCTATATTTAAGTTGTTCCTCACCTAATCAGGTACAGTTATACTCAAATTCATTTATCCATCCATTCATTTAACCATTATTTATTGTGTACCTTCTAATTACAAGGCACTATGCCAGGCACCATATAAGATTAAAAGATGAATAAGACATGGTTCTTGTTCTCAAGACATTTGCAGTCTAGAAGGAGATTTAAGACACTGTCAGATAGCTATAGCAGGAAAACGGGTGCTATGTGCAACCATCAGCAGAGTCAGTGGCAATGAAAGTGCAGAAGAGGTAATAATAATATTTCCAACTAGAGGTTTCAGGGAAGCTTTTATGGAGAAGATGGCATCTGAGTTTGGCCTTGATGGGTGGGAGGAATTTAGACAGCCATAGATGGTAGGTAGTGTCCCAGATGAAAAAGCAGAGTAAACAATGTGTAGAAGCAGAAAAACACAGAGCATGTAGAAGAATGATTGGTCCATTACCTAGGTTATGTGTAGGGGAGCTGTAAAGGCAAGGATGGAGCATGTGAAATTTTGATCTTTATTTGATTTTGCTGGGGAGTCAACAAATATTGTTGGACAGAGGAATAAAATAAGAGTTAAGCGGGAGCACTGAAAAGATATAACTGCCTGCCTATATGATTTTAAGTTACATAGATTATCCTTATTCAATTAAGAGATAATCAAACAAAACACGAGGACAGGAAGAGTCCAGGGAGGAAAGATGTCTCTATGAGCTGGAGCAGATGAGGAAGTCCTGTGGAGGAACTGGACATTCCTTTGCCTTCAAACTGGAACACTGACTTATGGACATTAAAGGAGTCAAATTCAAAGTTATGACGGCCACTCTCATCTTTGGACCAAGAGGCCACTGGCTCCACAGCTGGGACTTATTGGTTCAGACTGCTCTAACAAAATACCAAAGAGTGGCTTAAACAACAGAAATGTATTCTCACAGTTCTGGAGGCTGAGAAGTCCCACATCAAGGTGCTAGCTCCTTTGATTCCCAGTGGGGGCTCTCTTTCTGGCTTGCAGATGGCTTTTTTCTTGCTGTGTCCTCCAATGGCCTTTTCTTGGTACACGCTGTGGAGAAAGAGATATTGCTCTTTCTTCCTCTTCTTGTAAGGCCACCAATCCTATTGGATTAGGCGCCTCCCCACCATGATGTCATTTAACCATTACCTCCTAAAAACCATATCCCCAATTACGGTAGCATCAGGAATTAAGGCTTCAACATATGAATCGCAGGGGGCTGGTGGGAGAGACACAATTCAATCCATAGCATGGGGCAAACCAATCTCTGAATCCTTTATAATCAAAGACTGTGAGAGCTTCTAACTCAGTAGCTTCCAAGCAGTGTTTCTAGGAGCATTGGGCATCCCAAGGAGCACTTTCTGGCGACAAAGTAAAAGTGGGCTCTACTTTACCTGTTTACTGTATTAGACCTCCATATAAATTTCCATAGAAGACAGGGTTTTACAGATAAAAACATATTAGAAAACCCCTGATCTGGTTTGATGACTTGATTTTATGAGAAAAAGATAGGATATTGAGATTTAGAAAGGAAAGGAGACTTGCCTACAGTCACACAGCAGGTAGGGACAAATTCTAGTAGCCAATGAGTAGATCTACGATCTTGTGTGTGGATTCCTAGTCCAGTGTTTTGTCCATTGTTCTTCTTAGGTCCCTCCAGGTCCAAGGGGGGAAGCCCCAGATGTGCTCACCGGGAGCGCTCACCGGGAGCATAGTGAATGGGGAACCCTCCTGGCATACCAAAGAGTGGTTGCTTACTGAAGGTCTTGTGCAGAGCAGATTCAGTGACCCGGGGCTCCAGCAGGGCACTGATCTTTTATTTATTTTTCCTTCGCCATCTGGTTCACATGCCCAGACTTTATAATGAGTTGGCAGGAGTTGTGGACTATTAAATAATTAAGGTATTTTTCCTAAATAAATATGCCCAGAAAATTATGCCATAAATGCCTAAGTGTCACCCTAATGGGCTGCTGTCAGACACTCAGAGGAATCAGAAGAGGTAAATGGTTTCCTTTCTGGAGATGGGAGAGACAAATCCATGCCACCTAGGGAGAGATCAATATGCTGAGGTTCTTCAGATCAGTTCAAATCCTTCAAGAAGTCAAAGACACACAATGAAGATACAGAACAAAGCTGTTGGAACAAAGAAGAAACCTGTCTGGTATTCCTTCTGAGGTCCAAATACCCAGACTTGGAGTGCAAAAGTTACATTTGTAGACAAAGAATTCATTTTTAAAAATTTGTTTTCCCTTATGGCTAAAGGGGTGTGTGAGAAAGTGGCAAAGAGCTCCCTGTATGATCCATGGAGTGAGGGACCTCACTTTCCCTCATCCATGGATACAGACCATCCAGGGGGCCAGACTCTTTCCCTTGGGCCATCTCCCTTTCACTTTTCACTCATCAGCCTTCAGGTTGCAGCTTAAATGTTTTGTCTTCTCTTCAGAGAGCCATTTCCTGACCATCTTGTTGCCCCATTGTTAGTCTCAACAAGTTATTTTCCCTTTTCTTCAGAGCAGTTAATTCAAGGTATAACTACATATTTATATGTTTGATGTTTGCCTGTCCCAGACTGTAAGCTTCACTCAAGTGCTATGCTAAATGTCAGGGTATTATGGGTGCTTGACACTATCTGGCACAACATAGGTGCTCAGTATTTACTGAATGAAGGAGTGGTTTATTTCCACTAATGTGGAAGTTTTGTTGTTTTCTCTTGTTTTGTTGAAGATCAACCGTCTGTATCTTCCTGTTACATTCTATAATTTCTATAGCTATGGATTTGCAGCCTAGAGCCAAAAACAAGAAGGAATGTGAGAAATGATTTTAGTCTGTAATTGGCTAATGAAAAATCAAATCCTGGAATGGAAATTCCTGTGATAAATTCACTCATTTAGTTTTTCAACAAATATTTATTGATCAAGTACTATAATACTTGCACTGTAAAGTACAAGGGATACATCATGAACAAGATATAGTCTCTGTCTTCACAGAGTAGAGAGAAAAAAAGGAATTAAGCAAAGTTGTTGAGAAAATCAGCAGGATGATGAGATGGGGTGTAAGTAGGGCAGACTATGTTGATAGGGGGCCACAGAAGGCTGCCTTATACTAAGACCTGGAGGATGAGAAGCCACTGGTTGTATAAAACATAGACAGAGGGAACAATAATGTAAGAGCCTTAAGGTGGGAATGAGCTTAGCATGTTGGAAAGACAGAAAGGAGACGAGACTGGCCAGAGGAGAGTAAGCAAGAGGGAAGAAGTGTGGGCCGAGATGAGTGGTCATGAAGAGCTCTAAAACTGTGCTAATGAATCTGGATTTTGTAAGAGCAATGAAAGATTTTAAACAGAAGAGTGACACGATTTGGTCTATATTTTAGAAATGTTGCCGAGTAGAGAGTGGTTTACAAAAAGCTAAAATAGAACCAAAGAGACAACTGAGTCTGATGGTAGTAGTCAAAGAAGAGGAATAAGGGCTTGACCTTAGGTTGTGACAGTGGGAATGAAGAGAAGTGGACGTCTGAGATTTATTTGGAGGCAGAACTGACAGGACTTAGTGACGGATTGAGTGTAGAGGGTGAGGGAGAGGGAGAAATTGAGGATGACTCTAGTATGATAAATGGCCCTTTCTTTGAAGTCATGCATCTTTTCAATTTTCTACTGACTTGATCCACCCTGCTTTCCATCGTTATAAACCATTAAGGCTTTCACTATTCTCTCCTTGGCATCACTTAGTCTCCATATTTAGCATCTTAATTCAATAATGTACAATCTGTATGGCTCATATCTTGATCTTCACAGCTCATTGAGCCCCTTTAAATGGCCTGCAACACACATGAATTAAACATGGTGGGCTAAGTGAGAGAGGCTCTAAGTGGCAGATATTCTGGCTCTTTTAGCCAAATGTTCTGAATAGAATCCAGGTGGGACTTATGACTGCAAAGTAATGCTGATGGCCACTGTCTCCCCAGGTATTTTCAGGAAAGATGGAGAAATTAAAATGTATCAAGGAGAAAAGGATATGGGGAAATGGAGGGAGAGAGAGAGAGAGACAATTTCTGAAATACCAGGGACTGCCTGATCAAGTATCTTGACCAATTTGAGATACTAAAATGGATAAAGTAATCAGTGTTTTATTAAGTCAGGCTATGAATGCGTGTAGACACACACAGTCAAAGGGAAAATGAGAGGGAGCTGGGCGTGGGGAAATGAGACAAGTAACAGGAATAATGTGGCCACCATTTATTGAATTTGTCATGCATTATGCTAAACCCTTCAGACAACACATGCGGTGTAGTCCTCACAAATCACCTATGAGGATTATCTCCATTTCACAGATAAGAAAACTGAGCCTCAGAAGATTTCAGTGACTTGCTTGTAGAAAAACGGCTAGTAACTGGTAGAACAAGGATTTAGCTCCAGATTAGCATGACTGCAAAGCCTGTTCAATCAATTATACTACACTACCTTCTTAAAACTGGGAAGACTCAATGAAAGACAGAGGTGGCATGTAAAGAGAGGGAGAGAAAGCCTAAGAGGACAAGTGTAACTGATATTGCAAAAAAAAAGTAGTTGACTAAAATGAAGGGGAATCTAACCTGAAGGAAAAAAAAGTAAATTAGTATATGACATGAGAGTGAATCAAATCTTATGAAATTTCTAGAGATGAATATGGTGTGTTAGCAGCTTCCCATTCTATTTCCCTGCTGGCTGTAGACTCATAACTTCTGTCTTTATTGCTGTTTCTGCTCCCAGCCATGAAACTGTCTGTCTTGAGATAAGCCAACAGCACCTTACTTCTCTGACCCAGACCAAGGATCACCCTGGGAATGAAGGGGCTGGGGAGGATTGCAGTATGAACCTCGATTCCCAAGTGAAGGCAATTCATGCCAGATGAAGGACCCCAAAGGAGCAGTACTGAGCTGTAATTAGCTGAGATTTGTAACTTGGCACAAAAACTGCTTATGTTAGATATTCAATTTCCCTGTTCTTGTTCCAGGTTTTCAAAGAAATTCCCCTAGCATCCTTGTCACTTCTGCATTCCAGGGGACATTCCAGGAATAGGCTGTTTTACTACTTGAAGAAAGAGGACTAGAATAAGTGAAGGGTGTCTCCTGTATCTATGTCCTGAGTTCACCAATCTCAGTATATGGGTAAATATTTATTGAGACCCAACTAGATGGCAATTAGTTGACTCATTTATACTAGTGTATGTCATTACCACAGTCAATGTGGATGTACCACATCCTGTACTAGATAGCGGAGCTACACAAGGAGGAACATGAAAGATACAGGCCCTGTCCTCATGATGCATGCAGAGCTGGATAGATATTGGATAAGAAATTATAATTGCCAAGGTGCACTTACAGTGGAGGAGAAATAATAATAAGCATTTTGGTGTCAGAAGACCTCAGTTTATGCCTTTAGTAGTTCTTTGGCCGTGGCTAAGTACTTTCTAATCACAGTGAGTCTCATTCTCCTCATCTACAAAGTGGAGATCATTCATTCATTCAACAGATGTTTATTGATTACCACTGGGATTACTGTAGCTTGAGTCACAAGAGAAAGCCTCTTTGGACATGGCATTTGAGCTGAGATCTGATTGATGTGAAGGCATCAACATGTAAAGGGTGGGGGTACAGGAGAGGTATACCAGATGAAGGGAACAATCTTGCAAAGGCTGTAAAGTAGGAATGAGTACAACCCTGTCTACCAAAGCCCATGGGCAGAATAGTATGAACTGCTAGTCCAAGACTGATTTATTATTGTTTTTGTCCTCAATATTTTCACATATCATTATTATCCTAATAGAATATACCCTACCCTTAAGGAGCTTCCTTTATACTTGGGGAGGTAACATCTGGAATATTTAGAGAGGAATATAAGATGATGGGTAGCAAAGTGCCAACTGGCGAGAATTCGAATATGCTGTGAAAGGTGGGGGCAGGGGGAGGTTAGTCTGGAAAGGATTAGGTGTATTCTCTTTGTCATGGGAGATACACCAAACAGTGACTGTGGGAGAGCCAGAGATGCTCCAAGCAGTGGAAACCACAGATGTTGCCCTGCAACTGGTAGCTTCATTTTTTTCTTTTGCTAAGCCTGCTCCAAGAGTGGAGGGGTCTCGTTGTCGTCATGGTTTTGATGATCTCTGGAGACATTAGCCTTGGGGAGAGACCTTATGGGGCATGGGGTGGCAGAGGATGAATCCAGAAAGAAGTAGAGGGTAGAATGAGAATAATCAAGGGAGCCAATGAAGCAACCCCAATAATTAGGCATTGGCTCAGTTGGTTGGATCCTTGGTGGCCATCAGAACTTAAGTTCTCTCCTGCCTTCTGCTCCTCTCTAGAGTGCTCAGGACTGTAGATGGCGTGGTTCTTGGGACTGGCTGTTTAATTCTGGCTTCATTTTAATTCCCAAGATTATTTTTCTTGCTGTAGCTTGTGTTGAAGACCATATGGGCATTTCAGACATCCCATGCCCACAAACCAATAAATATAAATGAAAACAAATGAGCTCAAAATACGTTCTCTCTGTATCTTGCAGGCTCGTCCCCCAGTGGCAACAACTAGAGAGGAGGTGAGGATCCCCGGCGCTGCCATCTGATAGGCTGTCTCCCTAGCTCCTCTTGCACTGGCAATCCTTTCATCACACAGGCCTTGTTTTGAAGGGACCTATTCCACCCACAGTCGTTTCTCACCTCTAGGAGGCCAAAAAGCTGTAGTCATTGCTGTGGTATCAGGAACTCGAGTTCCTCTCAGAGGTGTTGTGAAGAGCTTCCCTTCCAACAGTACATGGCCTAAATACCAGGGAGGAAGTTTCTGACTTTTTCCATCTTCAGTAAAACAGAACCTCTGTTGTGGATGCAGTGGCTTTGCAAGGAGAGTGGCATTGTCTCTTGGTGAATGTAGTTGTTCAAGTCATGGGGAGGAGGCAGGTTTAGTTTTGATGCATATATTTTCACTATTAGTTCTCAATAGTGAAAATCTTAATTCACAGATGAGCCAAGATAGAAGGGCATCTTCCCAACATAAATGAGACACAAAGACAATGTGGGTAAAAGTGAAATCAGCTTTATTGTGAAACTGTAATCAAAGAAGAACTGGCTATTGGTGCTACCACCTGGATTCAAGAAGATGGACAAAGTGACCTCAGAATCAACCCACAAGTACTTACTGACCACCCACAGTTTGTCAGGTACTCTCTATCCTAAGTCTGTTTCCTCTAGAGCTGTGCTGTTACTCTAGAGCAGGGACCAGCAAACTATGGCTCTTGGGCCAAATCTAGCCACCTGCTTCAGTCAATAAAGTTTTATTAGAATGTAGCCATGCCCATTCATTTACCTATTGTCTGTGCCTGCCTTCATACTACACTGGCAGAGGTAAGTAGAGTCATGAATCACAATGGGATAAAGTTTGAGAAATGTTGGGCAATTTCCTAATTGTGTGAACATCACAGAGTGTACTTACACAAACCTAGATATATAGCCTACTGCACACCTAGGCTATATGGTATAGCCTATTGCTCCTATACAGCATGTTACTGTACTGAATACTCTAGGCAATCATAACACAAAGGTAAGTATTTGTGTATCTAAACATAGAAAAGGCACATAAAAAGTATATAATATAAATATAAGACATAAGAAAGTATTATAATCTTATAGGACCACCATCATATACATGGCCTGATGTTGGCTGAAGTGTGTCATTAGCACACGACTGTAATTGTAACAGAGACTATATGGCCCACACAGCTAAAAATACTTACTATTTTGCCTTTTATAGAAAATTTGTTGACCCTTACTATCAAACCTTGCATCTTGACAAAAAATTCCACAGTCAGGTGGTAGTTGTGAGGAGAGATGAGTAGAAAGGGAGAAGGGAAGTAACATTTATTTATGTGTTTTGAATAGGTCCAGTAGTTAGGAACACAAGCCCTGGAATAAAAAAGAACTGGGTTCAAATCCCAGCTCTCTCACTTACTAGTTGTGGGTTTGGGGAAAGTTACTTTGCTCTCTATATCTTAGTTTCCACATCTGTGAAATGGCTCAGACAATTATCTCACAGGGTTGTCATGAGGATTGGAGTGATTAATGTAAGCACTGCCTAATGTACAATAAGTACTCAGGAGGGGGAAGCTGTTGTTTTTACCACTAATGCTGTATACCAGGCAGTAGGTTAAACACCTCATGTATTTAATGTCAGTTAATCCCTATGAGGTAGGTATTATTATTTCCATGTTACAGAAGGGATTTGTGGCATAGAACATTGCTTTAGGTCACAGGACTTGTAGGTGGCAAAGTGGTCTATGTGAACATATATCCTGTGGATCCCTAAGGAGAGAAAATGATATAGCAGTCCCAAGGAGTCACAGTAGGGGCTGGGTAGGGTCCAAGGAGAATCAAACCACCTCCTTTCGAGCTCATGTCAGTGCCAGTCCCAGCTCCAGGAGGAAACTGACTAGGCACAGAGGCATGGGACTTCTTGAAGGGTGAAGGGCAGAGTTCACTCTCCAGCCTAAGGAGGAAATAGGCCTCAAGTAATTTTATTGTGAGAGATGGAGCAGAAGTGGCCAGAGCCCTGAGAATCCTTGAATCAGGTAGTTGATGAGGTCTGCTTTGGAACATGGGATGGAATTGTATGGTTTCCTCCATTTTCTGTCACTATCACCTTTAATTTTTACCCATGGCCTCCTCACGTTATCCTGGGACTGGACCAGAAGTACCTGGGTTGGGAAGGGGAGGCTAGAGCTGAGATGAGGATGATGTTTAATAGTCACAGTAGATTAAGAACAGGGGAAGGGAGGGCAGCAAAGCTACCGGGTGCTGTCTTGAGGCTATATCATGCATATTTAAAGGCAAACTCTGGAAGTTTTATTCAGTTACCTGGGTCTATTGATGTCACTTGGACTGGATCAATATATCTTCCTGGATAAGTCAGAGAAGAAAAATCTATGTGGGACCTACTCTGTAGGGAGAGCACGTTCGTGCCAGAGTGACAGCTCTGTGAGGAGAGTGTTAAGCACTCACGCACTGAGGACCCCGCCATCTCCCTGGCTGGAGCTCTACCTTACCATCCAGATGGAATGAGCAATGAGAAGGGGAGTGAATGCGTGGGAAGCTGTCATACATTTACACACAAAAGGATCCAGCATCAACTGAGCTCCTGTGGTATGCCAAGCTGCATGATGGACACTGGAATCACAGGACTAATGAGGCACCATGACTGCTCATATGGGACAAACTCTGGTTTGTTTTGCCCCGGGACAGGCTCCTAGGGAGATCAAGATGTCAGGGGCCCCAGTAGGGCAGGGATGTGGAGCTGTCTCCTTCACCAGCTGCTGCAGCGATGCTTTATGGGATGGCAAAAGGGATAGTTTGTTTCTTCAAAGCCAGCCTCCTCCATTTCCAGGGTACAACACAACCTCCAGCACTGAGTCAACAGGGCTGTTTAGTCTCACATTTTTTCCCATCTCCTTTTTTTTTCTGCACCCACAAGTGGGAGAGCTTCATTAAGCTAATTAAAAAGGCACCAGGGAGAAAGCATGACAGAAAACCACTTGGGCTTTCTTGTGTGGCATAGGTGGGAGCATTGGCTCTGCTTTCCTTTTCTCCAGTTTGGGCTTCTTCTGGTCCTGTGGCTGTGGGGTGGGGGTAAAGACAGAAGCAGCAGCAAAAGGATGAAGTGAGAGAAGACAGAGACATTTCTCAAGCAGCTGAGCCAAAGCCCAGGCTTCCAGGCCCCAAGGAAGTCTCCATACCCCTTCTTCTCCCACTTGTACAATTTTCTAACACACTGCAAGAAGTACAGTCTGAAAATTGCTGATGGGCTTTGGAAGGAGCATGCCCATGTAGAGCTGTTGCTTGAGAACCTTTATAAAATAAGATGTCACAGATTCCTCAGCCAATATGTGGAGCACCCACATGTTGGGACAGGCCTTTCTTATATTTAATCCAAATCTTTTTGTTGTTGCCCAAAATCACATGTTTCTTGGAGGGAAAGAATGGAACAGATTTGGCATCGTGATCATTGTTCTTGCTTGGAAACAGCTCAGGAGGGCTTTTCCAGCCTGACGATTTGCTCCATTCTGGATGTGGCATAGGCTTTGTCCTGCAGTGGTTCACAGTTTATAATGCAACCTCATCCAAATGGAGACTCCTTTCCTGGACCTGCAGGGTGGACAGTGGAAAGAGGTGCAACCCCTGCTGTGGCACAGCTGGAGGGAGGGAGGTGGTAGGCTTAAGGTTGCCTCTTGGTGGCTGAGGACAGCCGTGTTTACTTTCTCTCCATCCTGGGGCTCCTCCAACTGCTCACTGGCTTCCAATCTTTCCCAACCGCCTGCCCTTAGAGCACTTCCTATGTAGCTTTTGGTCCCTGAGAGAAGGCAGTTATTGGAGTGCCCCTCCACCCCTGAATGAGCCACACACCCACTCCAGGATTCTGCTAGCCAAGCTGCTGAAGCAGAGTGGGAAAGGGGGTGAGGGAAGAGAGAGAGAAAGAAAGAGAGAGAGAGAGAGAGAGAGAGAGAACGCACAGATCTGAACTGTAAATTTCTGTGCTCTTTAAAGCCAGGTACACAAACACTAGGCACTACATTGTCATTTTTCAACATTTTATTATAGAAATTTAAAAGCATACATAACGTTGAAAGAATTTCACAATGAAGAATTTTACAATGAAGATCTATATACCCACTACCCAGCTTCTGCCATTAGCAATTTAGTATATTTATATTATTACATAATAATCTCTTCATCCTTCTTTTTTTTTTTTATTGACAGTTTTGCTCTTGTCACCCAGGCTGGAGTGCAACGTCTCAATCTTGGCTTACTTCAACCTCCACCTCCCAGGTTCAAGTGATTCTCCTGCCTCAGCCTCCTGAGTAGCTGGGATTACAGATGCCCACCACCACACCTGGCTAATTTTTTGCATTTTTTTTAAGTAGAGACAGAGTTTCACCATGTTGGCCTGGCTGGTCTCGAACTCCTTCTAACCATCTATCAAACCACCTCAGTCCCACTCCAGACCACAGAACAACTGAATCAGAAGCTCTACAGTGGGACAATGATCTGTGGTTTAACAAACCCTCCAGGTGAGTCTTCCAGGTGAGTGTTCAAACTACAGACACACTTAAATATCTTGGTGCATTTCAAGATAAATTGAAGATATTGGTATACTTCCTCCTAAATACTTTATTCAATGATTATTTATTTATTGATCACTTACCAGGTGCAAGGCACTATTCTTAATGATAGAGACAGCCTTTCACAGCCTGATAGACTTAAAATAGCTGTCGTTAATAGAGAAGAGAGAGCAGGTGGGGAGGGAAGGGGAAATAGAAGGAAAAAGGCATATGGGCAGGAAAGTAAGCAAGTAAAGCAAAGCTGAAAAATTTTATATGGTTATTGGCACATGCAAGTAACTAGAAGTAAATAGATCAGAAGCCCATTAAATTTTAAGGGACTTGTAATATCAAGGAACTTTACAATGCTTGCCTAATGGGATTTATAAATTTGTCACAGATCAGGGAATTCTGTGTGCCATTTATTCTTCCTCCTTTTCACTGGGAATGATTACCACAGTTCCATTGTCCTTGTTCCATCTCTGAGTGTAGCACAGAGGCCACTCTCCAAGGTGCTGAAGTTAGAGCCCATCAGTCTCTGCCAAGAACTGACCCAGCATGACGCAACCCTAACTATTGAGTAGACATTTAGGGCTCCCAGGCAAATTTTCAGAAATGACCTTCTTGGGATTTTCAAAAAACAAACTGCTCTCCAGGTTCCATCAAAGCATAGAGGGGAGGGAAAGAGAGAGGGAATGGGAGAGTGAGGGCTTGAAACTGAGAGTTTCACTGTACTTCATTGTTTCACACTGAGTCAGGCAAATAATTAAGCCTAAATAAGTAGAACTGTCTGGTAGCCAGTGAGGGATGTTTCTCATAAGTAGAAAGGTTTAGGTGAATTGGTTTTGATATGTAAGTAAAAGCCTTTGTGACACTTTAGAGCTGTGATTTTTAAAGTATAGTCCCTGGGTTAGCATCATAAGCATCACCTGGGAATCAGTCGTGAGTGCAAATTCTCAGCTCCCACTGCAGCTCAGCTGAATCAGAAACTCTGGAAGCAGGCCCTAAAATCTGTGTTTTCACAAACTCTCAAGGTAATTTTGGTGCTTACTAAAATATGAGAACCTCTGCATCTAGAGTGATGGTTCTCAACACTGGCTGCACTTTAGAATCACCTAGAGCCTTGTAAAAATATTGAGGCCAGGTACCAGCAGCTTGCCTCAAAAATAGAATCTGAATATGTAAGAATATTGTTCAGGCTTTGGTGTGTTTTAAAAGTTTCGTAAGTGATTCTAGTGTGCAGCTAGGTTGAATCACTGCCTTAAATTTTTATTGAAAACACATAGAAGCATCTACTGAATCAACAAGGGGTCACAACTCCCACCGCTGTGACTTCTGGTGGCCAGCCTTGGCCCTCTGGGCCCTGAAGGCTTTCTGGGGTTTCTTGGAGACTGACTAGACCCATCATAGCTGCACAAGGACATCACACTGATATGAAGTAGGAGTGTACTGAGGATATTTGTGTAGAATTGACATAAATAAGTGGGGTTTTGCCATCAGAGATTATAAACACTAATTCGCTGCATCGTTTGGATTGACATCATCATATTACAGCTCTCTGATGAGGTCACCAGATTTTGATTCATCTTTGATTTTCCCCTTCTATCCCCCTGGATTCCCTGATTCTAAATGGAATGAAAGACACAGCCATGTGGAGCAGAAGTCATGAAACCAAAAGAACGCAGAAACTTTTCTAAGACATCTTGTGGAATGAGGATGGGGAGCTCTCAACATATCACCTCTGGTTTTTGTTATTCAAGAAATGTGAACTACACTTCTTGCAGCATGTGGTTGGATCTCCAGTATGACAGGCTAAAGAGAAAAAAGATATGTGTAACTGGTTTGTAAACTATACAGAATTATATAAATGTAAAGCGCTATTATAACTTTTTTCTTTTTATACTAGTTATGATGTAGTTAGAAGCCTGATCTGATTCTAGAATAATCTGAAAGATGCACATCGAATGAAGGGTCTTAGCAGCATTTCTAATATATTAGAGTTCTTAGGAGCTGTGGACTCTGTTGAAAGTTGAATATTTAAGACCAGCCACAGTTTCATCTCCCAGTCGCTTCTCTGGGTTTTCTTTCCTTCCTTCCTTCCTTCCTTCCTTCCTTCCTTCCTTCCTTCCTTCCTTCCTTCCTCCCTCCCTCCCTCTCTCTCTGTGTTTCTTTTCTTTCTTTCTTTCTTTCTTTCTTTCTTTCTTTCTTTCTTTCTTTCTTGCTTGCTTGCTTGCTTTCTTGCTTTCTTGCTTTCCTTCTCTCTTTCCTTCTTTCAGACATAGTCTCGCTCTGTCACCCATCATGCCATCATGTTGGAAGCATGTTGAGATACTCGCTATCAGGAATACATGTGCATTAAAAGAGGATTTCTGGAAAGGCAATATTTAACCCAAAGAAAGGTCTATTTCAATGTTGGTGAGCTCTTCTTGGTCTTTACTAAAGCATTTCTTGTTTGTATCAACTACTAGTCACCTCAGTGAAATCACAGGTTCCCTCAGAGAAACTTCTGAATATTCCCCGTGGTTCCTACTTTGTTTTGAATCAAATAGAAGCAAATTAATATGCTGATTAACTGAGAGTCTACAGACAAAAGTTCAGATATCAATGAGGTGTATATTTTGGGAATGGGGTCCTTCTTGAGCTAAAGTGTGTGTACAAATAACCATCACACAGGATAGAAAATGGAAGCTATAGGAGAGGCATCCTTCCTGATGTAGGAAGAGGAGATCATCCCTGTAGTGAGGAATCAGGGAATATTTTGTGCTTGAAATGGGACTTTGAGCTCAGTCTTACAAAATTAGTAGAATGTGGACCTGCAGAGGTGAGGGCATGGACATTCCAGGCAAGTGCAATAGCATAAATAGAGGCATGGAGACCAGAAAGCATGAGGTATATAATGTGGAATAACCAGAGGTTCCATGTGACCAAAGGGAAGAATTCATGGAGGTAATGGAAAATAAAGTTGGAAAGAAATGTTAGAGCCAAATTATGAAGGACCCTGAATATCATCCTGAGATCTATGGACTTTACAGATAGACAGTGATATGACCAGGTTGAGTATATTCAATTTGAAGAACATGGGAAAGGTCCCATTCACCTGTAACATGTCTTCCTTGAGCTCATTAGAGTTTAATTTGAGTTTCCATTAGAGATTAGTGCATTGGGAGTAACAGGTCCTGTAGGGTTGACAGCTCCTGAATATAAATCTTTATTCACACATTAACTTAAACTAGTAAAATGGCCACTTTGTTTTCTAATAACTCATGAAAATTAGGCAACTGGGCTACATTTATAAAAAGAGGAACTGTCCACAGAGGGCAGGCTTTAACAGGGCTCTCTAGTATGGTACTTGGGGCAACAGACTAGGAACAAGAAAATGCCTGCAACACAGGAGGTAGCTGTGGGATAATATTTACCTATGTTGTTAACTAATTTACAATCAACAGATCAGTTTTACCTCCAATATTTCATTTTGTTCTCACAAGAGCTTTAGGAGGGAGATGAGACAGTGATTATTTTACGAATAAGACACTGAATATCACAGAGGTCAGCTTTCCTATCTAAAGGTGAGCTGACAGTATTTGGATTTGAGCCCAAGTCTCTGGAATGTAATTGCACTTTTCACCATTTTGCCATGCTCACATATTTCATACTCTTGCCAAAGGTCAGCCCGTCCAGGAGTTAAACCTTTGGTTCTTCCATTAAATGCTATCATGTAACTGAGACTGTAACCCTCAAAGCCATGGACATTGATACATCTCTGAGAGGCAAAATCAAGGAGGCTCAGACAGCCCTAGCTCTTGGCCTTCCTTCCATCTTTGAACTTCTATTTATTTTCTACTTGTCGGTGGATTTTCAGAATAAACGGAGTACAAAGAAAGGATATGAGTGATTACAGAGAGCAAAAAAGGTATTATTAATTTAATAAAAACACTGAATATTTAATATTACAATTATTGCTTAGACAGGTCACTGGCACTTGTAGGGAGAGGACTCTGATCCAAACCATTGCTAGAGTCCTTATTGTGCAGTTATTAATATGGCTGGCTCATATGCTCATTACTCCCAAACCCCAAGCAACTCATTTCCTGTTGGGTCTCCACTTTACGCTTCTCCCCATGGAGATTTTGCTTCCTGAGACTGAAGCCTGGAGCCGGGAACAGATGCTTGGGGCCCTCATGACAGCCCCAAGGGATATTTCAGAAAGCTTGGAGTTGGTGTGTCAAGAAAGAAAGCCCTTTGTTAAGCACACCCTGGCACTCAGGGAGGCAGGGAGGAGGGATTTGCCAAAACAGAGAAAGGCAATGACTCATACAGTAATAGTTGATAGAGTGTTTACACCCAGGTTATCTCATCGGGTCTTCACAACAACCAGAGGAGGCAGACAGGGTGGATAGAACCTTGAGGAAAATGAGGCTCAGAGAGGCTAAGTGCCTTTCCCAAACCATTTGGCTGGAGGACGTTGAGGCTGGCATATGAACTCAGAGCACCCCAGCCTGGATCTCTGTGCTTTCTGCTATATCACCCTACATCTCTAGAGAGTGGAAATTGTCCAGACTTAGGGAGCATTCCTGTCCAATTTCAATGGCCTATGGTGATTTCATTTTAAAATATTGGCAGGGTGCACCCTTAATTCTAAGCTTAAAGGTTCAGCTCTTGTGTGTACCATCTCTAAGAAGTTCTCCTTCCTAACCCTTGCCTCTTGGCCTGGGTTTAGTTGTCCCTCCACTGTGCTATCACCCTAATCTTTACCTCAATTGTAGAACTTATTGCTTTTGTTTACGTACCACTTGTTTATTTACTTGATAGCAGCTAAGCTGTGAGTTGCTCTGGATCTGGGTCATATTCCCTGTTTCTCCCTGGTGCTCAGAACAATGCCTAGGATGTGGTTGGTGGACAGTACAATGGAAATTGGATGAAATTAAGCTAAACAGTAGAAGGTAACTCCAACTGCCCTTGTCCAAATTCTTTGTTACTGCACGGAGTTAGACCCTCTCTGTCTGCTCAATTTTCATGTCTCCTACTGCCCACTCAGAAAGGATCCATTGCTCCCACTTGTCCTGAGGCATGAGTGACTGAGAAGGTTGAATGCTGGGTCCCTTCTTGGGGTGTTTGCCAATGTAGAATTTCCAGCATTGGAAGCCCCAGTTTTTGGTGGTGGTGGTTGTAGGGGGCGTTGGAGAAGGAAGGCTGATGATTCCCTGATGTACCATTGCAATGCAAAGTGTCTGGGTGAAGAGTGGCATCTCTTACTTGTGAGAGCTTGGGGGTGCATCTGTTGGAGCATGCTGTGAATGCACATGTAACTGTGGATGCTCTCGTGAATACTTGAGCTCCTAGAGCGAGAGAAAAAAAGTGTGAAGATGAACCGCACATGGTCTACTTCTCCTCCAGAAGCAACACCATTAAAGGAAGGGCCCCAGAGGGAAGACACCTGATGCAGTTGGAGCCAGTCACCTTCCTCGTGCCTCCCTCTCCTCAGTCCTCTCTTCCTTCTGACATAATGAAGGCCCTGGCCAGATATTGTATCTGTCTTGAATTTGGGAAATGATCTAATCAGATCAACACTGAGCTCCCAAATGAGTCCAATAAACTTCTATAGTGCAGAGGGCAACATGGGCACAGAGCAGGCTGGAAGAAAGGACTGAATAGATAACCTGGGACAGAGAGCTTGGCACACCATTCATTCACTTCCCATGGCACCATCAAATTTGAATGCCCACAATGTCTGCTCAGGTCACTCATTTTCCTGTCCTAGGCATGCATACTCTCCTGGTCACAGGCACGTTTGTTCACTATTGGTTCACACCATTTGGTGCATGCTCTCTCTGTGTCGGGCACTGTGAGGAGTGCTGCACAGGGTGAAATGTGCTGCGCTGTCCCAGGACACCATCTGCACCTCTGTTCCTGCCACTATTCTCATCTTTGCTTAGGTTTTACGCTCCCGAGGGCAGGATCTAAGTTCTAACAATCTCTCTCTTTCTCTAAATACCTTATGCAATACTTTACCCACAGATCTCACATATATATTTCTTGAATGCGTAAATAAATAAGTTAATGAATAAAGTACAAGATATGGCCTCTACCTCTAAGTAGTT
Source organism: Homo sapiens (assembly GCF_000001405.40). Taxonomy (NCBI): domain Eukaryota; kingdom Metazoa; phylum Chordata; class Mammalia; order Primates; family Hominidae; genus Homo; species Homo sapiens. Next base: position 112,166,937 of record NC_000001.11, on the reverse strand, counting down.
CACAGTCTATCAGGGAAAAAAATATCTAATTCAATGAGTTCCAGATGCCTCCCGATTTTATGATTCTGTTTTTATGAAATATCTACAATACAATGCAGAATGCAATCCATTCCATACAAGAATATGTATCTTTACAGGAGAGAAGAAACTCAGTTTTCATTCAACCAATTATTGAGTATTTGTGGTATTCCAGGCACTCCTGAATTATTGCTTCCTTTCATCATCTTTTATTCAGGGTGCAGTATAGTTTAGTAACAGTAGATACTGTTCATCAAGTCTTGCTATGTGCCAGGCAATAGGCTGAACTCAGTGTGAATGATCTCCCTTAATCCCCATAACAAGCCTGTGAAATAGGTAGCATTATTTTCCTACATTAGAGATGAGGAAAGTGAGGCTGAGGAAGAGGAAATAACTTGTCCCTGGAGAGATGGTGTCAGTTACTGGCCTCGTAGGAGTTTAAAGTCCTGTTTGACATCAATCGCTGGGTGTTGAATCACTCTGTCTGGGATGTGCATGGACTCTGGGGCATGTCCTACATCTGATTCCTGGCCCCTTAATTTTTTGTTTTTTGAGACGGAGTCTTGCTCTGTCACCCAGGCTGGAGTACAGTGGCTGATCTTGGCTCACTGCAACCTCTGCCTCCTGGGTTTGAGCGATTCACCTGCCTCAGCCTCCCAAGTAGCTGGGACTACAGGTGTGTGCCACCATACTGGCAAATTTTTGTATTTTTAGTAGAGATGGGGTTTCGCCATGCTGGCCAGGCTGGTCTCAAACACCTGACCTTGTGATCCGCCTGCCTCGGCCTCCCAAAGTGCTAGCATTACAGGTGTGAGCCACTGCCCAGCCTGGCCCCTTACTTTCTAGCTATGTAATCTTGAGAACTTCATCCTCTCTGAACTTCAATTCCCTGACTTGCAAAACAGGGATAATAGCCACTACCATGAAAGATTGTTGTGAGGATTAAATGAGATAATCTGTGTATATGCCTGTCACATAGTAGGTGTCAACCCATGTTGGTTCCTTTAAAAAAAAAATAGGGTAACTTTCAAAAAATGAACCAGCAAATAACAACTTGTCCTTCAAACCTGCCCTGTTGGATAACCCTTCTCTGCCCCTGGACAGATTCTATAGCTTTTCCAGTCACTTTCAGATATTAGAAGTTTTATTTACAGGTATTAAAAAGGCCAGGTGGATCTAAATCAATACTTTCATTTCACATCCAATTTAAGCTTTTCTCTTTCCTCCCAACTCAGGCCCTACTCATGCTTAGCCGCCTGAGGTGGGGTGGAAGGTGGCTGTTTATTTCTTAAGCTCCCTGTTCCATCCCATCCCCCCTACTGGCCACTGCCTGGGGCTCTTGCAGGGCCAGGTGGGAGGGGAAAGCAGAGAGAAGGACACATCTAACTAGATTGGTGCTGCTGCAGTTTGGTAGCAGGGACCTGTGCGAGCTCTTTGGATGTCCAGATGCTGGCTCTTTCCCTCATGGGGTGCTTTCGTGGGTCCTTTAAATGTTTCCCTCAGTGTTCTCTAACATGAGGACTTCTGGATGACCTCCAATGACTTCTCCTAAGCTCCTTCTCCAGGATCATGCCCCCTACCCAGCTTCTCTGCTGGGGTCACTTTATCCCAGCAAGCAGTCCTTTAGGGCAGGTTCCTCTTAAGATAACTCTAATCTGGCTCTTATTGTGACATCGGCTTATCCCAGGGAAAGCCCCACTAGACTCGGGGCTCCCAGGTAGCTCTGACAGGCAGCTCCAGCCGGCCCCAACCTTCTGCTGCCAGGTGAGGATCAGGTGCCAGTCCCTAGTCTCTGTGCCCCTCAAACTCCCCAGATGTAGTTTAGGTCCTCCAGAAGCTCTTTCCCTGCTTTGCTTCAGCCTTATGGAGTGAAGGTTTCCTTCTGCTCATTGCAGATGGCCTATGCTTTCTAAATGTGTTTCTCTGCAAGACTGAGGTGAGAGGACAGGACTCCTTACTAAGTAAGGTAACAAGTCCCAGGAAATCCGCTCTCTGAACCATCCTTGATTTACCTGCTTTTATTTATGGGACTGAAGCAGGTGATGGGGTGAGGGTCACAGATGGAATTTTCCTGTGCAAACCCTGAAGATGAGATGTGTCTAAGCACTCTCTCAGAATGTGTGGGCATTTCACCATCATTTTTCTCAGTTTTGGAGCCTCAGCCCAAATTCCAAGACAATAAAAAAAAATTTCATGTAACATACTGTTATAGTTCTCACAACCAGCCTGCCCACCCCCACTTCTAATCAGAGTGACAATGTACATAGTTTTAAAAGTCAAATGGAATTCACAAGATTAATAACAGAAGAAAGCAGTTGCCTCTCCTATTCATCTTAATGCTGTGTCCCATTTCTCAAAGGCAAACATCCGACTTTTTCTATTTCTCTTGATAATTACATTTTTATTTCTAAATAATGTAAATGTATAACCACTTCTGGATTTAAAAATTTGTACTTATTATTTATTGCTTTCCCAACACAGAAGGGGAGAATTGGATCTTTCACCACCCTCTCTCCCTCCACCCACCGTACCATAAATATTTCCTTCCCCCAATCTAATATAGTTATTTAATACTTTTGATTAGATAGTGTATCTGTTATTGTTGCCATGCAAATGTTAACAGTCAAGCTGTAATGATTACATTTCTGTTCTTGAATAACTTTTTGTTTTCCCTGGGATCAATCTTTGCTCATTTTGGTTGTTTGTTTAATATGTAATAAATACATAATTCATCTTCAGACTCCTTAACAAAATTATCAAACTCCCCTCAGTAAAGTTGAACACATGAGGTAGTCTGTGTGTCCTAATGAGTTCTTCCTAGGATGAATACCCGCCAGGAGGCTTCAACCAGCCTTGTCCCTGGGCTGCTCACTCTCCAAGGTTCACTACACTGCCATGACCTTGGGATTTCCCTTCACTCTAATCCCAAGAAATCATGCCTTTGAACCATGTTAGACTTTCTGTTTCCTGGACTTGATATCTTCTTCTTCTTTTTTGATTTATTTGTGGCTTTTTTTTTTTTTTGAGAGACAGAGTCTCACTCTGTCTCCCAGGCTGGAGTGCAATGGCATGATCTCAGCTCACTGCAACCTCTGTCTCCCATGTTCAAGTGATTCTTCCACCTCAGCCTCCCGAGTAGCTGGGATTACAGGCATGTGCCACCACACCCAGCTAATTTTTTTGTATTTTAGTAGAGACAGGGTTTCACCATGTTGCCCAGGCTGGTCTTGAACTCCTGACCTCAAGTGATCCACCCACCTCAGCCTCCCAAAGTGCTGGGATTACAGGTATGAGCCACCATACCCTGCCTTTTTTTCACTTTGATGGAGGTTCCTGAGAAAGATTTATGGTAGATCAGTCTTTTTTTAGACCTTGCTGAACATGTAAGACAGAGTAAGAGAAAGTTTGGCTGGCTATTGAATTCCAGGTTAGATAAAATTTATTTTTTCTCTTGGAATGTTAAAGATATTGGTTTGTTATCTCCTAGCTTCTAATATTTTTGTAGATGTATCAAATGCCATTTTGTTATCTGATTTTTTAAATGTATTTTTCCCTCTGAAGTTTTTCTCTTTATCCTTGTTCTAAAATTTCATGAGCATGTGTCTTGTGTGGTTCTTTTAAAACTTATTATATTAGGCACATTCGGTATCCTCTTATTCTTTCTCTGGAAGTTCTATTAGCTGGATATTGGACCTCTAGATTGATTCCCCGCTTTAAAAAAAGATAGCTTTCCATCTGTTTGTCTTCTTGTTTCAGTATCAAAACAATTCCTCACTTCCCCCCCAATCTATTAAAACTTTTATTTATGCTATTATATTTTTAATTTCCAAAAGTTCTTCTGTGCTTTCAATTTTTTATAGTACTCTGCTCTTGTTTCATGGATGCAATATCTTATTTTTTTGGGAAATTGTTTTAAAATGGTTCTTTTCTGTTGTATACATTGTCTCTGTTCCCTTCAAGTTTATTGTCTTTATTTGTTTCTTTGGACTTTGTTTTCTAATATTTAGATGCTCAATCTCCACGTTTTCAGTAAGATTACTCAGCCCTGCCCTCAGTGGTGTCTGGTATCCTCAAGTTCAAAGTCTTATTGAAACTTTTCCAGGCCAGGAGTTTCAATAAGAGTTTGAACTTGAGGATACCAACTTGGGAGGCTGAGGTGGGATTATCGCTTGAAACCAGGAGTTTGAGACCAGCTTGGACAACATTGCAAGACCCTATCTCTACAAAAAAATTTAAAAATTAGCTGGGTGTCATGGTACGCACGTGTAGTCCTAGCTACTTGGGAGGCTGAGGCAGGAGGATTGTTTGTGCCCAGAAGTTTGAGGTTACAGTGAGCTATGATCATGCCACTGCACTCCGGCCTGGGCGACAGAGTGAGGCCCTGTCTCTCAAAAAGAAAATAGATAAATAAGCTTCTCCAATGCATAAACTTTACTCAAGACTTATGCAGGGTGGTAGAGGTGCAGTTGCCTGGCATCTGGGACTGGAAGGGGATCTGAGAGCATAAACTTCTTATATAGATTTTAAAAGACCCTCCTGTTTTTAGCCCCATCCCTCACACTTGCCTTCAAAGATCTCTGGGGGCTATCTGTCCTTGATTATTTTTCTGGCTTTCTGGTGGTATCTCAGCATGATTAAGAAAACATAGCCTTTATGTACTGTGTTATAGTAGGCAGCTCAATCCCAGGAACAAAGGAGTAAGGGAAAATGGGAGTGAGGCAGGGGTAAAGGAGAGCAAACACAAAATGTGTTCCTGTGCTGGCCATCAAATAAATCAAAAGCCACAAATAAATCAAAAAAGAAAAATATATCAAGTCCAGGAAACAGAAAATCTAACATGGTTCAAGAGCCACTGACTCCTGCAGTGGAGTCGATGGCTTTTAAATATGACTGCACCTTGGTATAATCTATGTGAGGGAAGGAAGAGGGATGAATTTACTTACTAATCTCTTGATCACACCGGTCAAAAGTTCACCTAAAGGGAGTTAACTTCTCTGCAGTTCTGGGTTGTGCAGGATGGGCACTGAGCAAGTCCCATAGTGTCAACAGGAAAGCTGCAGGGCAGCGCAAACATGAGGTGAGGCACTGGTGGCTGGTGCCTGCATGAATCTGTTTAGATCCTATGAACAGCTGGCTATGGCATAATACATGGTGAGGAGTAATTGGCAAAAGGCAAGACCAGGAGGTTGTGAAGTGATGCGTAGGAGGCATTTGATGCAGGTGGGATGCCTCTCATTGTTTCTTCACCATGGAACTTAAATTTCACTGTCCTGGGAAATCAGTTGTTTCCCATCTGCTTTCCAGGTTCAAAGATTATGTGATATTTCTCATTTACTATAGTCTCTACTTCCATGATCTTTGTCTTTGTGAATTTATATTTTAAAAATAATTTGTAGTCATTTTAGAAATTTGACATTTTGAGAAGAAATAGATATAACCATGTGCATTTATTCTGTCATGAGTCAATGTTCACAGCAACCTAGGTGAAATGATGTTTATGAGCACCTCAGTCTCCTATGCCCACCCTGCCATTGATCTTGATACCCAAAGTTCCATGATTGTTTCCTCTTGTCCCTGGTATGAAAAGAATCCCTTTTGTCTGTGTGTGGAGGGGTCCAACATTGAGCTTTCTTGGTCACCTGATCCAATAGATAAGGGAAAATCTCCTTCGCATGTGGGGTAGGGGATTCTAGAAGGCATCCTGAGACAGTGGAATCTTGGCAAGGACTCAAAGTGTGCCTGTGATCCCCAAAGGGGAAAACAGGATGTGGAGGCAGGTAGGACTTTCCCAGCATATGGAAGAGCAGGGAGAAATGATAGAGAAGGGGAAAGAACACAGTATTTGCAAAGACTGGAAATGAGCTATCATTGACCCAATATTTGGGTACTGTGGGATAGGAAGTTGGAAACATTGTTTGTGGAAGGTCTTGAAGCCAGGTTAAGGGGTTGGAACTTCATTTTGTATAAAATGGGAATGTTTGAGCAGTGAGTGACCTAATTGTATCAATACTTTGGGAGGATTAACCCAGTGGTCACGGATTGGGCTGATGGAGGAGGAAGATCTGGAGGCTGTGAAAACAACTTGAGTAATTGATAAAAATGTGGAAGAGAGGAGGAACCAAGATGGCCGAATAGGAACAGCTCTGTTCTACAGCTCCCAGCGTGAGCAATGCAGAAGACGGGTGATTTCTGCATTTCCATCTGAGGTACCGGGTTCATCTCACTAGGGAGCGCTAGACAGTGGGCACCCACCATGCGCGAGCCGAAGCAGGGTGAGGCATTGCCTCACTTGGGAAGCGCAAGGGGTCAGGGAGTTCCCTTTCTGAGTCAAAGAAAGGGGTGACAGACCCACATGGAAAATCGGGTCACTCCCACCCGAATACTGCACTTTTCCGACAGGCTTAAAAAACGGCGCACCACGGGATTATATCCCGCACCTGGCTCGGAGGGTCCTACGCCAACGGAGTCTGGCTGATTGCTAGCACAGCAGTCTGAGATCAAACTGCAAGGCGGCAGCGAGGCTGGGGGAGGGGCGCCCACCATTGCCCAGGCTTGCTTAGGTAAACAAAGCGGCCAGGAAGCTCCAACTGGGTGGAGCCCACCACAGCTCAAGCAGGCCTGCCTGCCTCTGTAGGCTCCACCTCTAGGGGCAGGGCACAGACAAACAAAAAGACAGAAGTAACTTCTGCAGACTTAAATGTCCCTGTCTGACAGCTTTGAAGAGAGCAGTGGTTCTCCCAGCACGCAGCTGGAGATCTGAGAACGGGCAGACTGCCTCCTCAAGTGGGTCCCTGACCCCTGACCCCCAAGCAGCCTAACTGGGAGGCACCCCCCAGCAGGGGCACACTGACACTTCACACGGCAGGCTATTCCAACAGACCTGCAGCTGAGGGTCCTGTCTGTTAGAAGGAAAACTAACAAACAGAAAGAACATCCACACCAAAAACCCATCTGTACATCACCATCATCAAAGACCAAAAGTAGATAAAACCACAAAGATGGGGAAAAAACAGAACAGAAAAACTGGAAACTCTAAAAAGCAGAGTGCCCCTACTCCTCCAAATGAACGCAGTTCCTCACCAGCAACGGAACAAAGCTGGATGGAGAATGACTTTGATGAGCTGAGAGAAGAAGGCTTCAGACGATCAAATTACTCTGAGCTACGGGAGGACATTCAAACCAAAGGCAAAGAAGTTGAAAACTTTGAAAAAAATTTAGACGAATGTATAACTAGAATAACCAATACAGAGAAGTGCTTAAAGGAGCTGATGGAGCTGAAAACCAAGGCTCAAGAACTACGTGAAGAATGCAGAAGCCTCAGGAGCTGATGAGATCAACTGGAAGAAAGGGTATCAGCAATGGAAGATGAAATGAATGAAATGAAGCGAGAAGGGAAGTTTAGAGAAAAAAGAATAAAAAGAAATGAGCAAAGCCTCCAAGAAATATGGGACTATGTGAAAAGACCAAATCTACGTCTGATTGGTGTACCTGAAAGTGATGGGGAGAATGGAACCAAGTTGGAAAACACTCTGCAGGATATTATCCAGGAGAACTTCCCCAATCTAGCAAGGCAGGCCAACGTTCAGATTCAGGAAATACAGAGAATGCCACAAAGATACTCCTCGAGAAGAGCAACTCCAAGACACATAATTGTCAGATTCACCAAAGTTGAAATGAAGGAAAAAATGTTAAGGGCAGCCAGAGAGAAAGGTCGGGTTACCCTCAAAGGGAAGCCCATCAGACTAACAGCAGATCTCTCGGCAGAAACTCTACAAGCCAGAAGAGAGTGGGGGCCAATATTCAACATTCTTAAAGAAAAGAATTTTCAACCCAGAATTTCATATCCAGCCAAACTAAGCTTCATAAGCGAAGGAGAAATAAAATCCTTTACAGACAAGCAAATGCTGAGAGATTTTGTCACCACCAGACCTGCCCTAAAAGAGCTCCTGAAGGAAGCGCTAAACATGGAAAGGAACAACCAGTACAAGCTGCTGCAAAATCATGCCAAAATGTAAAAGACCATTGAGACTAGGAAGAAACTGCATCAACTAACAAGCAAAATAACCAGCGAACATCATAATGACAGGATCGAATTGACACATAACAATATTAACTTTAAATGTAAATGGACTAAATTCTCCAATTAAAAGACACAGACTGGCAAATTGGATTAAGAGTCAAGACCCATCAGTGTGCTGTATTCAGGAAACCCATCTCACGTGCAGAGACACACATAGGCTCAAAATAAAAGGATGGAGGAAGATCTACCAAGCCAATGGAAAACAAAAAAAGGCAGGGGTTGCAATCCTAGTCTCTGATAAAACAGACTTTAAACCAACAAAGATCAAAAGAGACAAAGAAGGCCATTACATAATGGTAAAGGGATCAATTCAACAAGAAGAGCTAATTATCCTAAATATATATGCACCCAATACAGGAGCACCCAGATTCATAAAGCAAGTCCTGAGTGACCTACAAAGAGACTTAGACTCCCACACATTAATAATGGGAGACTTTAACACCCCACTGTCAACATTAGACAGATCAATGAGACAGAAAGTCAACAAGGATACCCAGGAATTGAACTCAGCTCTGCACCAAGCAGACCTAATAGACATCTGCAGAACTCTCCACCCCAAATCAACAGAATATACATGTTTTTCAGCACCACACCACACCTATTCCATAATTGACCACATACTTGGAAGTAAAGCTCTCCTCAGCAAATGTAAAAGAACAGAGATTATAACAAACTATCTCTCAGACCACAATGCAATCAAACTAGAACTCAGGATTAAGGATCTCACTCAAAACCACTCAACTACATGGAAACTGAACAACCTGCTCCTGAATGACTACTGAGTACATAACAAAATGAAGGCAGAAATAAAGATGTTCTTTGAAACCAATGAGAACAAAGACACAACATACCAGAATCTCTGGGATGCATTCAAAGTAGTGTGTAGAGGGAAATTTATAGCACTAAATGCCCACAAGAGAAAGCAGGAAAGATCCAAAATTGACACCCTAACATCACAATTAAAAGAACTAGAAAAGCAAGAGCAAACACATTCAAAAGCTAGCAGAAGGCAAGAAATAACTAAAATCAGAGCAGAACTGAAGGAAATAGAGACACAAAGAACCCTTCAGAAAATTAATGAATCCAGGAGCTGGTTTTTTGAAAGGATCAACAAAATTGATAGGCTGCTAGCAAGACTAATAAAGAAAAAAAGAGAGAAGAATCAAATAGACACAATAAAAAATGATAAAGGGGATATCACCACCGATCCCACAGAAATACAAACTACCATCAGAGAATACTACAAACACCTCTACACAAATAAACTAGAAAATCTAGAAGAAATGGATAAATTCCTCGACACATACACTCTCCCAAGACTAAACCAGGAAGAAGTTGAATTTCTGAATAGACCAATAACAGGATCTGAAATTGTGGCAATAATCAATAGCTTACCAACCAAAAAGAGTCCAGGACCAGATGGATTCACAGCCGAATTCTACCAGAGGTACAAGGAGGAGCTGGTACCATTCCTTCTGAAACTATTCTAATCAATAGAAAAAGAGGGAATCATCCCTAACTCATTTTATGAGGCCAGCATCTTTCTGATACCAAAGCCGGGCAGAGACACAACCAAAAAAGAGAATTTTAGACCAATATCCCTGATGAACATTGATGCAAAAGTCCTCAATAAAATACTGGCAAACCGAATCCAGCAGCACATCAAAAAGCTTATCCACCATGATCAAGTGGGCTTCATCCCTGGGATGCAAGGCTGGTTCAATATACGCAAATCAATAAATGTAATCCAGCATATAAACAGAGCCAAAGACAAAAACCACATGATAATCTCAATAGATGCAGAAAAAGCCTTTGACAAAATTCAACAACTCTTCATGCTAAAAACTCTCAATAAATTAGGTATTGATGGGACATATTTCAAAATAATAAGAGCTATCTATGACAAACCCACAGCCAATATCATACTGAATAGGCAAAAGCTGGAAGCATTCCCTTTGAAAACTGGCACAAGACAGGGATGCCCTCTCTCACCACTCCTAGTCAACATAGTGTTGGAAGTTCTGGCCAGGGCAATTATGCAGGAGAAGGAAATAAAGGGTATTCAATTAGGAAAAGAGGAAGTCAAATTGTCCCTGTTTGCAGACGACATGATTGTATATCTAGAAAACCCCATTGTCTCAGCCCAAAATCTCCTTAAGCTGATAAGCAACTTCAGCAAAGTCTCAGGATACAAAATCAATGTGCAAAAATCACAAGCATTCTTATACACCAACAACAGACAAACAGAGAGCCAAATCATGAGTGAAATCCCATTCACAATTGCTTCAAAGAGAATAAAATACCTAGGAATCCAACTTACAAGGGAAGTGAAGGACCTCTTCAAGAAGAACTACAAACCACTGCTCAATGAAATAAAAGAGGATACAAACAAATGGAAGAACATTCCATGCTCATGGGTAGGAAGAATCAATATCGTGAAAATGGCCATACTGCCCAAGGTAATTTATAGATTCAATGCCATCCCCATAAAGCTACCAATGCCTTTCTTCACAGAATTGGAAAAAACTACTTTAAAGTTCATATGGAACCAAAAAAGAGCCCGCATCGCCAAGTCAAACCTAAGTCAAAAGAACAAAGCTGGAGGCATCACACTACCTGACTTCAAACTATACTACAAGGCTACAGTAACCAAAACAGCATGGCACTGGTACCAAAACAGAAATATAGATCAATGGAATAGAACAGAGCCCTCAGAAATAATGCCACATATCTACAACTATCTGATCTTTGACAAACCTGAGAAAAACAAGCAATGGGGAAAGGATTCTCTATTTAACAAATGGTGCTGGGAAAACAGGCTAGCCATATGTAGAAAGCTGAAACTGGATCTCTTCCTTACATCTTATACAAAAATCAATTCAAGATGGATTAAAGACTTAAACGTTAGACCTAAAACCATAAAAACCCCAGAAGAAAACCTAGGCAATACCATTCAGGACATAGGCATGGGCAAGGACTTCATGTCTAAAACACCAGAAGCAATGGCAACAAAAGCCAAAATTGACAAATGGGATCTAATTAAACTAAAGAGCTTCTGCACAGCAAAAGAAACTACCATCAGAGTGAACAGGCAACCTACAAAATTGGAGAAAATTTTCACAACCTACTCATCTGACAAAGGGCTAATATCCAGAATCTACAATGAACTCAAACAAATTTACAAGAAAAAAAAAAACAACCCCATCAAAAAGTGGGCGAAGGACATGAACAGACACTTCTCAAAAGAAGACATTTATGCAGCCAAAAAACACATGAAAAAATGCTCACCATCACTGGCCATCAGAGAAATGCAAATCAAAACCACAATGAGATACCATCTCACACCAGTTAGAATGGCAATCATTAAAAAGTCAGGAAACAACAGGTGCTGGAGAGGATGTGGAGAAATAGGAACACTTTTACACTGTTGGTGGGACTGTAAACTAGTTCAACCATTGTGGAAGTCAGTGTGGCGATTCCTCAGGGATCTAGAACTAGAAATACCACTTGACCCAGCCATCCCATTACTGGGTATATACCCAAAGGACTATAAATCATGCTGCTAGAAAGACACATGCACACGTATGTTTATTGCGGCATTATTCACAATAGCAAAGACTTGGAACCAACCCAAATGTCCAACAATGATAGACTGGATTAAGAAAATGTGGCACATATACACCATGGAATACTATGCAGCCATAAAAAATGATGAGTTCATGTCCTTTGTAGGGACATGGATGAAATTGGAAGTCATCATTCTCAGTAAACTATCGCAAGAACAAAAAAACCAAACACCGCATATTCTCACTCATAGGTGGCAATTGAACAATGAGATCACATGGACACAGGAAGGGGAATATCACACTCTGGGGACTGTGGTGGGGTGGGGGGAGGGGGGAGGGATAGCACTGGGAGATATACCTAATGCTAGATGACGAGTTAGTGGGTGCAGCGCACCAGCATGGCACATGTATACATATGTAACTAACCTGCACAATGTGCACATGTACCCTAAAACTTAAAGTATATAAAAAAAAGTGTATTTAGAATGAATAAGATCTAGTACTTGATAACACAATAGGTGACTTCAGTCAACAACAATTTATTGTACATTTAAAAATAACTAAAAAAGTATGATTGGATTGTTTGTAACACAAAGAAAGAATAAATGCTTGAGGTGATGGATACCTCAACAAAAAAAAATGTGGAAGAGAAATTAGCGGACAGACTTGGGGGATCTCAAAAGAGGGCTTAAAGATTTGCTGAGCAGTGGAAAGCCTGAGGGTCCTCGCACATGTTCCCTTCACATGGCCAACTCCCTCCCCTCCTTCAGGGGTCAGTTTGAGGCCAGGGGCCCTCCTCTGCACTGCTATCATCCACTGGCTTGGATCTACCATAATACTCCTTATCTTAAACTCTAAGTATTGAACTTGTTTGAAAGGTCCTTGTGCATAGGGCCTTTGTTTTATCCAACACTGTTTGCCCAGACTCAGGAAAGAATCTCTTCAATAATAAATGCTCAATAGGTATTTGTTAAGCAAATAGGTGAATAAGTCTAGGGGTTCTCCATTAAAATGTGTTTGCTGACTTTCTCTGGCCTGTGGGCAGTCATGGAGGAGGCAGTCAATGGAGCAGGGCTAAGATCAGGGACTGGCGTGATGGCTCTGAGAGGATCAAGGCATTGGGGGTCCAGCATGTCAGAGGAGGCAGCATCAAACCAGACCACAATGAACTCAGGCTGGATCAGGAGGAACCACTCAAGGACACAGATAGTGGTTGTACTTATCAGTAGCATGTATTGATCACAGACTGTATTTATGTCCCTGTGACACAAGCTTCTGAAGTATGAAGGGACTGTATTATTATATTCATTTTACAAGTGAGGCCATTGAGGCTCAGGGTGCACAGGGATGCTAAATATCAGAGGCAGAACTCAAACCCATACATTCATCTCCTTGTTCCACATGGATTGAGTTTTGTCACTCACACCTATGCTGACACACGCATGCATGCTCAGGTGCACAGGTGAGCACAGGCAAGCCTGCACACACAGAAATGCACATGGACACACACCCTAAAACTAGAGGCTTTTATAATTTATTTCACTGTGAGTCTTCCAAAGACCCATGTCTCAGGCTGACAGACTGCATAAGCTGCTGGAGAAGGAGGGGAAAAAAAATCAGAGTCTCCTTGGCAGCTCCCATTAAGTGAAATATGAGGTGAAACAGAATGAAATAAAATGGGGAAAGAGATGACAGGGTTTTTCTATCTGACGGAAAATATTTTCAAGCCCTTGGCCTGATTGCAGCCCATTCATCACCACTGAGGCGGGTGCAGACCCCCTCTGCAAGTCCCTTCCTCACACTTGCCACGGAGACACTCTTTTCTGAAAAGGGATATCCCTGCCAAATCAGTTCAGGAAAGCAATTTGTGTCATGGATAGGCTTGAGGCCTCCTACATTCACTAGCTTTCCAACTCCTTGCACTAAGCTCCATTCCAGTACGGCCCTGTTCCCAGAACATCTCTTTCTGGTTCCTATTTCCCATAGTCTCCACCTTCCTAGAGCAGCTCTACATGCCCGGATCTTATTCTCCCCTTCCGAGCAAGTCCCCCTATTCGAGAACACTCCAGAATCAACAGTGACCCCTTCCTTGCATCACCCTGCCTTTCCAGATCATCCCGTATTCCAAGCTCATTTCTCCCACTCTTAACTCAGACTCCCATTTTCAGGGCAGCCCCTCATTCTCAGAATCTAGTACCCAATTCAAGGAGCATTAGCATAGTTGTCCCAGATCACTCTCCCTGTCCCCTCTGTATCTGGAGCCCACCCCTGGTTTGTGGGGACGTTGGTAGCTTTCCTGATCACCTTAGTCTCCCTCTCCCAAACCAGCCTCTTCCTTTTCTCATCATCCTCCATCCACAGGTGAGTGGGAACCAAAGAGCAACACACCTAGGGTGTGAGGAGCTATAAGGTCACTGAGACCTAAAACAGGTCCAAGCAAATCAGCTCATCCATTACTTGTAGAGGTTCTTTACTTGTCTTTGAAAGCTTTATTTCACTCTGAGCCTATGAAGGGGCTTGATCCTTTTCTGCTTTCTCCACCCCTGCCCACTGTGGTAGGGTCAGGAGATGCTGCCACTTCCTACTAGGACTAGATATTGGAATAAACTTCCCCTTTTCCAGCTTTCCTCTTTAATCTATCCTTATCATAGCAATTCAAGTCATCCTTCCCAGGTGCCATTTTTATTCCATTAATCACTAACTAATATACCTATACTGGTTCCTAATTATTTCTCCTTACAGACCCTTACAAAACAGTCACTCTTTTCTCTCCCCTATATAACTACTGTTTTGCACCAGACGTCGGAAGGATTAGTTATTAGTCTCATCTTTTGAGCACTAGTGTCGTGACCCTGAGAAAGTCCCTAAGCCTCTGTGTTCTCACCTAAATTGAAGGGTAAGAATTCTTTTTTTTTTTTTTTTGAGACGGAGTCTCGCTCTGTCGCCCAGGCTGGAGTGCAGTGGCGGGATCTCGGCTCACTGCAAGCTCCGCCTCCCGGGTTCACGCCATTCTCCTGCCTCAGCCTCCCAAGTAGCTGGGACTACAGGCGCCAAGAATTCTTATCTTTTAGGGTTGCAACGAAGTTCAGTTGAGACTGTGTGCAAGTGCCAAGCTCGTGGTGCCCCATAGATCTGGCTTTCTCTCACTCTCTGGGCTCTGTCTACCTGTGCCTGCTCTGCTCAGGACCATCAGCTTCCTACCTCCAACACAGGCTTGCTCTCTCCTGGCTTCATGCTTCACCAGCAAGAAAAACAACACTCAAACCAGCTCACGGTGAAAAGTGGGCTCACAGGAAGCACACATAGGTATCTCCTTGGCCATGGAACTTAAGGAAGGTGGGGAGCTGGAGGCCCAGACCCCATCTGTCTGGGCTGTGTGGTGTGTGGCCTCTTCTCTCTGCTTCTGCTCTGCCCCTCATTACTCCCTGCAGACCGGCATTCTAGGCACTGTGTGCATGTGGCAGAAATGCCCCCTCCCTGCCCTACTACCCATGCTCCTTTAGTGCTGGTGCTCAAAACCAATTAACCTTAATCTCTGGGTCCTAACTCACACCTGTCAGGGAGAGAATTCAATTGGTACTGCATGCCTGGTTTTCCCCCTATCTTGGCACCTCTTCAGTCCTTTGCAGATGTATCCACCTTTGCCTCTTTTGTTCTTGTTCTATGCTAGCTCTCTTGGTGACCTCATCCATTCCCATGGCTTCAGTGACTACACTGATGATTCCCAAATGTATAAACCATCCTAGACATTCCTTCTGAACTCAAGACCCATACATCCACTGGCCTACTTGATTGCTCCATTTTTTAAAAAATTTCAAAGACAATTCTAATTTTATATATGCAAAACAAAGCTCACACTCTCTCCACCCACCTTCCTCCCCACTCCCACCCCACCCAGTTAGGTAGTTTTCTAGTGTTCACACATTCTTATCCATTCAAGAGTGAGCTCTTTGTCATTGTCCTTGACATTTTCCTTTCCATGGGTGGATATCCTTATTGTCATTGTCCTTGACATTTTCCCTTTCTTTATTCCTTACACCTAGTCCATCATCAAATTTATATATTTTATTTCCTAAATATCTTTTCTCTCTATCTTCCTTGACATTTCCTTAGTTCAAGCTATTAGACTGCCTAGATTAATATGATAGCCTCTTAATGAGTATCTCCACACCATTTTTACACTCTCTCTAATATGCTGACCATTCTCTATATTGGGCCAGAAGAATTTTTTTTAAAATACAAACCTAATCAAAGCACTTCATTGTGTAAATGAAAATAGACTTAAGATTCCGATTTAAGATTCCTCCTGGGATTAGAATAAAATCCTAAATCCTTGACATCCTACGTTTTCTGGCCCACCTGTCTCTCCAATCTCATATTTTGGTGCACTCTTTCTTCTCCCATTTCTGCCACACTGGCTTTTGCTTAGTCAAGGCTACTGAGGACAAACTCAGTGGAAAAACGTTTCTGGGCAACCACTCATGAAGGTGTACTGTTAAATCACCTGTGCTGGTAACTCATACTGGCTTTCTCTCTCTCTCCTCATCTCTTGCTGGCCTTCATTTTCAATTCTTTAAAATTAGAAAGCTCCCTCCAATATTGGGCCTTGTGTTAGTCCTTTTTCACACTGCTATAAAAAACTACTTGAGATTGGGTAATTTGTAAAGAAAAGAGGCTTAATTGACTCACAGTTCCACATGGCTGGGGAGGCCTCAGGAAACTTACAATCATGGTGGAAGGGGAAGGGGAAGCAAGGCACATCTTACATTGCAACAGGAGAAAGAGAGAGAGTGCATGAAGGGGGAATTGCCACACACTTTTAAACCACCAAATCTTATGAGAAGTCACTCACTATCACGAGAACAACATGGAGAAAACCACCCCCATGACCCAATCACCTCCCACCAGGTCCCTCCCCTGACATGAGGGGATTGCAATTTGAGATGAGATTTGGGCAGGGACACAGAACCAAACCATATCATTCTGACCCTGCAGTCTCCCAAATCTCATGTTCTTCTCACATTTTAACACCAATCATGCCTTCCCAACAGTCTCTGAAAGTGCTAGCTTATTCCAGCATTAACTCAAATGTCCAAGTCCAAAGTCTCACCTGAGACAAGTCCCTTCTGCCTATGAGCCTGTAAAACCAAAAACAAGTTAGTTACTTCTAAGATACAATGGGAGTACAGGCATTGGGTAAATGTTCCCATTCAAAAAGGGAGAAGTTGGCCAAAACCAAGGGGCTACAGACCCAATGCAAGTCTAAAATCCAGAGGGCAACTATTAAATCTTAAAGCTCTGAAATAATCACCTTTGACTCCATGTCTCATGTCAAGGGCATGCTGAGGCAAGGGGTGGGCTCCCAAGACCTTGGGAAGCTCTGCCCCTTGGCTCTGCAGGGTGCAGCCCCCATGGCTGCTTTCACAGCTGGCATTGAGTGCCCATGGCTTTTCCAGGTGCATGGTGCAAGTGTTGGTAGATCTACCATTCTGGGGTCTGGAGGATGGTGGCCCTCTTCTTACAGCTCCACTAGGCAGTTCCCTAGTGGGGACTCTGTGTGGGGGCTCCAACCCCACATTTCCCCTCTGCTTGACCTAGTAGAGGTCCTCTGTGAGGGCTTCACCCCTGCAGCAGACTTCTGCCTGGATATCCAGGTGTTTCCACACATCATCTGAAATCTAGATGGAGGTTCCCAAACCTCCACTCTTGTCTTCTGTGTGCTCACAGGCCCAACACATATGGAAGCTATCAATGTTTGGGACTTGCACCCTCCGAAGCAATGACCCAAGCTGTACCTTGGCCTCTTTTAGCCATGGCTGGAGCTGGAGTGGCTGGAACACAGGGTGCCATGTTCTGAGGCTACACAGAGTAGTGGGGTCCTGGGCCCAGCCCATGAAACCATTTTTCCCTCCTAGCTTTCTGGGCCTGTGATGGGAAAGGCTGCTGTGAAGATCTCTGAAATGCCCTGGAGACATTTTCCCCATTATCTTGGCTATTAACATTTGGTGCCTTGTTGCTTATGCAAATTTCTTCAGCCAGCTTGAATTTTTCCCCCAGAAAATTGGTTTTTCTTTTCTACAGCATGGTCAGGCTGCAAATTTTCCAAATTTTTATGTTCTGCTTCCCTTTTGAACATAAGTTTCAATTTCAGATCATCTCTTTGTGAATGCATATGAGTATATGCTGTTAGAAACAGCCAGGTAACATCTTGAATGCTTTGCTGCTTAGTTATTTCTTCCTCCAGATACCCTAAATTATCTCTCTCAAGTTCCAAGTTCCACATATCTCTAGGGCAGGGGAAAATGCTGCCAATCTCTTTGCTAAAGCATAGCAAGACTGACCTTTATTCCAGCTCCCAATAAGTTCCTAATCTCCTTCTGATACCACCTCAGCCTGAGTTCATTGTCCATATCACTATCAGAATTGTGGTCAAAACCATTCAACAGTCAGTAGGAATTTCAAAACTTTCCCACATCTTCCTGTTTTCTCCCAAGCCCTCCATACTGTTCCAACCTCTGCCTGTTACTCAGTTCCAGAGTTGCTTCCACATTTTCAGGTATCTTTATAGCAGTACCCTACTCTTCTAGCATCAATTTTCTGTATTAGTCCATTTTCACACTGCTATAAAGAACTACCTGAGACTGGGTAATTTATAAAGTAAAGAGGTTTAATTGACTCACAGTTCCATATTGCTGAGGAGGCCTCAGGAAACTTACAATCATGGTGGAAGGGGAAGAGGAGGCAAGGAACATCTTACATGGTGGCAGGAGAAGAGAGAGAGAGCTTGAAGGGGGAACTGCCACACACTTTTAAACCATCAGATCTCGTGAGAAGTTGCTCACTATCACAAGAACAGCTTGGAGGAAAGCACCACCATGATTCAATCACCGCCCACCAGGTCCCTCCCCTGTAACATGGGGATTACAATTCAAGATGAGATTTGAGCGGGGACACAGAGATGAACCATTTTAGGCCTCTCCCCAGAAAACTGCACCCACTCACTCCACCATCTTTAAATCCTATTATCCATCTGCTCTGAGCTAAAACGTCACTTCTTCAAGGGAAAACTTTCTTGCTGCCTCAACTTACATTAGGTCAACTTTATCAAGCAATCACATCCTGTCCTGTAACTGTCATCTAGGATACTCAATCACAGCTAAATTTTATAGTTTTATTATCATTTGATTGATACCATTCTCCGAATGTAGGATGTGGTTTAGACAAAAATGGATACTCTTTTTGTTCATTTTTTTATTTTCCCTGTCTGGCACTAGGGCTTGCATTCCTAGGAGTTCAATAAAAATCTGTTACATGCATTAATGGCCCAGCTTGAGTTGGATCCATGCCTAGCCCCATCACCTGAAGCCACAGGGATTGGAACCTGAGACCAAATCTACACATCTACCATGAGCAACAGATACAAGACTGGGAAGCTACTGTATAAATTGGACACCATGCATGTTAGGAGTCTCACATTTGTAAAAGTCTGGGTATCTCTCTAGATTTCAGTGATGTATAAAACAGTCAATATGAGAATAAAAAGAACACAATGGAAAGTGTGCTATAAGAAAAGGGCTCACCATTCTTTATCTCCATTGGTATAATGAGGGCTTAGTTACTCATTCAACAGATATTTATTGAACACCTACTCTAGCCTGGCAGATAGTAGAAATCTACGGCAAGCAGGATCTACATCAGAGCTATTTGGTATAATCCTGCTTCCACACCAATTCTGGGTCTCTCAAGATTTCCCAATTTGTCAGCCTGACAGTTAAAAATATTCTTCTTCCTGTGGGTATAAACTCATTTTCTTCTTGATTCTGAGGATCACCTATCTTTATCCAGTAACAATCTCCAATTAATAGAGCCCTGCTGGACCTCTAAGTTCCTGCCATCTGAGCAGTAGAGACAAAAGCAAAGCTGCCACTAACCCAAATCACAAACTAAAAACCCATCCCCCATAAGCCTTGCTTAGGGATGCTCTAGCAGTCTGGATGGAGGGTGCTTTCCACCAGGGCCCCTACACTTGCATGTTCTCAGAAGGCAGGCAGGGAAGGAAGGAGAAAGAGAGGGAGGGAGGGAGGGAGTGAGAAGGAAGGAAGGAAGGAAGGAGGGAAGGAAGGAAGGAAAGAAGGAAGGAAGGAGGGAGGAAAGGAGGGAGGGAAAGAAGGAAAGAAGGAAGGAGGGAAGGAAGGAGGGAGGGAGGGAGTGAGGGAAGGAAGGAAGGGGGAAAGAAGGAAGAAAGGAGGGAAGGAGGGAAGGAAGGAGGGAAAGAAGGAAGAAAGGAGGGTGGGAGGGAAGGAAGGAAGGAAGGAGGGAAAGAAGGAAGCCTTCTTTATTCCTGGCTCAGACCTCTGCTCACACTCCTAATTGTGATTCCTATGAAGTGAAGATGCTCAGAGCACCTGGCTTTTCTTTCCTACAATAGTGTCTCATTTATCTTCCCTGTCTGAGGTAAACATCTGTTGAACCAAATTGACAACAATAGGGGAGGTGTTATTGACATGGGGCAGGGTGCTTTGTGTATCCAGATGCTTAGAAGCCTAGTCCTGGGCAATTTTCCTGGATGATGGGGAAGAAATAGCCAAGGGGGGCAGGCTGTGTGATGGGCCACATGGAATTCTTAGTTACACAGCCCCTTGGTTCTTGCTGCTCCCCTTTGTGCTTGTCACTTTCCATTTGCCTTCCCTTTGTCTCAAGTCAATTCATATTACTCTTCCTATTGAGGCATGATGTTACCTGGTACCATTCCAATTCTGAAGCTGCCTGCATATTAATCTTGACAATGCACCTGTGGTTTCACTCATTCTTATTTTAGCTGCTAATCCAAACAGTCCCATCTGTGCTCTGTATCACCTTGCTTATATCAGAAGAAGAGTTGGGAGCAGGACATACTGATTCACACTTCCATTGACCATGGGCCAAGGTAAGCAATTTGTCAGGCATTTGATATGCTGGTAAGGGAGGCCACAAAATTGGTGCTCTGGGCCCACAGGAGTTTTACCTTTTGAGGCTACCTGGTTCCTTGGTCCCTCTAAGGGAATGTTTTCCAAGTGCTCACCTTGTGTCAGGGGTCTATTCACAGCTGACAGGGACCTGGCATCTGCCCCTTTGCACCCTTTTCTTGGAAAGTGTTTCTCAGTGGAAACATGGAATATCTAAGTGTGCACTTCCTGGAATGAGGGTGGAGGGTGGAGCAGGGCTTCCACAGACTCAGTGAATGTGAGTGTCTGGGAGTGGGGTACAAGTCTCTGATTTAACAAGCTCCCTAGGTAATTCTGATGCGATCCAAGTTTGACAACCACTTTGTTGAAAGCACTGATGCAGCATGATGAAGACCAGAGACTTCCCAATCTCAGCACTCTCGACATTTGGGGCTAGCAACTTTTCTTGTGGCGGGGGTTGGGGGGCTGTTAATGTAGAATGTTTAGCAGTGTTTCTGGCTCCTATCCACTAGAAGCCAGTATAGCAATCCCTCCCATAGTTATAATAGCCAAAACTATTTCCAGACATTGTCAAGGGTCCCTTGTGGGGCAAAACCACCCTCAGTTGAGAGCCACTGATGTAGAGGAGAGAGCAGAGAAGTTACAGTCAGACAAAAAGAGATTCAAATCTGGTCTCTCACTGACTCGCTGCAAAACTTCAGGCAATTTACTGCACCTCCCTAAGCCTCAGTTTCCTCATCTGTAATTTGAAGAAAATAATAATACCAACTTACAGGATTGCTGGGATTTCCAGTCAGTGATCAGCAAAGATAAATGTCTGTCTTCTCTGTTGGAGAGGATGGCAGCTCTGGATGACTGCATGATTGGGGGTTAGGTTGAAGGGCAGGAAACCTCTCCCTTCTGGGGACTAGGAGGCATCTGTGGGTGGCATAGAAGAGTTCATAAGCAAAAAGTGAATGCAGTTGTAGTCTTTGGGGGGAATCACGGAGGCCAGAGTGAAGAGGCAAAGCCAAAGGAACCTCGGATGTACCCAGGTGCCCACTGCTGACCTCCCTTCTCACTGGCTCTGGGGGTGGCAGCCATAAACCATCTCACTGCCTAAGTGTGCTCTGCAGCCTCACAATTTCTGTGACTCTGTAGCCTGCTGTGTGCCTCCCAAGTTACTGATGGACCTGCCAGCCTTGAGCGTCTGCCTGTGTTCCTTCTGCCCCATCCTCCCCCTGCCCAGCTGGGGCCACACAGCTTCAGACCCCAGGGTTCCTGAAGCCCCTGCCCCTGCCAGCCTGCAGTCTGTGGGGCACAGGAAGGCTGCATTGTCAGAAGTGTATTTTTAGCTTGCCTCCTGCTCTGAGCTGCCCCAGCCTCCTGATGCCTATTTTTAGCACCCAGCTGCATCTCCATGTTCAATGGGAAGGTGGAGAATGGCTCCTGACTGGCATGTTTCTTTGCTAGTCCAGCCAAGTTGGCACAGCTTCAGGCAAGATAATTAAGTAGTAAACTCTAGATTTCACAGTTCGAGCTTCACTGAGCCTATGGGGATCACCATTCAGGAGAGTTCATTTTCCCTGCACAAGATTTGAAAACCCTCTGACACCATAATGCCCCAAGTCTAAGCTTCCAGGAAATATTAAATAGCCAAGGAGAGAGATAGAGGAAGAAATGAAGGCTGAGACAAAGAGACCCAGAGAGCACAGAGGAGAGAGAGAGGAACTAAAAACAGAGACAAACTGACAAAGACCAAAGCAGAGAGAGATACTAAGAAAGGTTTAGTGATGGGTACACAGAGACAGAGGCACAGACCAAAAGAGAGCAGAATAAAAGAAAAGGAGAGAGAAGAGAGGACAGCCCCAACAGTTAATGCTTAGGGGAAACTTCCAGTGTGCCAGGCGGGGACCAGATCTCGTTATATACATTCTCTTTATGGTTTTACGCCCATAACACTTGATTGTCAGTATCATTTCTTAAGGGGGGGAAGGTGAGTAATTAAGTATCTTGCCCAGGATTACACTGGGATTGAGTGGTAGAGCAGGACTTGAGCCCATGCCTGACTTCAGAGCTCGCACTCAGACAGTGTGTGCAGCAGATGGCATGGCCACACATAGGAACCAGCAGAACCAGAATGGGGGATAGGGACAAGTACCTACTGCCACTGCAGAGACTGCTGAACCGTTTGAGGCTAATACCTTGTCTGTTTCCCTGGGAAGACAGCTCCAAAATGACACTATTGATCGAGGTGTCAATGCTGAATTACAACATTTCCCAAAATGTGTGTCATGCTGATAAGGTCCCTGTGCCACAGTCAAGGCTGCCAGACGTGCTTCATGCCAGAAACCACAGCGATCGCAGCCCAGCTGTTTTCACTGTTTGAAAATACCATCTCCCACCATGTCATTAAGCTAATTGAACAGGCCAACTTTTCTCAGGAAGGCGGTGATGGCAGGGGAGCAGGTAATAATAACTTTGGATTTGGCAATTGTCATTCACATCCTGACCGACCTCTGCCACCGTTCTTTTCTGGAACTACTAGATCCACCAGCCCCTGCCAAGGGCAGGGATGATAAATGCTATGCATGGGGAAGAATTATTCTTGCTAATGATCTCCGCCTTAGAAAACCTCAGCCCCTGATGAGACCCTCAGTTCATCTTTCTACATTTGTTGAGGCTTCAACCAACAGAGGCAACAAGAAAGCCATTTCCAGCAACAAGGGCCTGCCTGTGTCGACAGCAATCGTAAGTCATCCCTTCTGCTACTGGCTCTCACCCCTCCCACCCCCATGCAGCCATCCATCTCTATAAATCTCCTGAGCAGGTAGAAATTTATATAGGAACTGAGGCTGCCCCTGTCTGTTGGCCCCTCTGATTACCTCTGACACTTCCAGGAAGAGAACCATGGGATTATTATACTATATTATATTATAATATATTCCTAAATCAGAATCTATTAATAGGTTGGTGCTTCATAGGGAGATGTATACTGGGGGAGCAGAGAATGGAGACTGGATTCCCCACTTGTCCAAAGATGTGTTGGGGGACAGAGAATGTGGGGATCATTTTTGAGACCTGATGGGCTGGCAAAACAGCATTGTCATTTTTTGCTATCTTGGGACTCTTTGCAGACTTGCTTTCTCTTTTGAAAGGGGCAGATGCTTTCTAGAACACCTGCTCTTAGTGGGGTGACAGGGTACGTGGGAAGGCAGGATATGTGAATGCAGCAAACCAGTTGTTGAAATATTAAGCCACTTCCATGCTAGTTGGTAAATCGTATAAGTTATTGAGCCACCATTTGATGTTGAGCCGCCATTTGATGCTGCCCAGAGGTGGCCACAGTGGTGGATAATGAGGTCTGGGAACAGCGGGGAGCAGATCTGGGGACCTTGGGCCACTGCTGAGCTTACTGAGATCAATCATGGGGGTGTACACAGCCTTCGCCCCCTTCTCCAACGTAGCCCATTGTTGATGAGACATGGAAGAGGGCATAGGGTAGGCAGGGTTGGTGGTGGCATTGTTGGGGGACCTAAGACAGGTCCTCAGATTTAGGTCATGTGGTAAGCGTTGGCATCAGGTGCACATCCAACCATGGTGTGACTTCTGCACGAAGATCTGACCCTGGGGACCTCCGGACTAGCAAGTGAATAGGAAGGTTATTGGAAGAGCTGATGCAGTTCTCTATGTCCAGTCATAGACAGAGAGGGCCATCATTTAGCTAGTGACAACGGCATCAAACAAAAGATCACAACAGCTTTAAAAAAAATCAACAAATAGGATGCTATTGGAGTTGTTTGATGAATGACCTGCAGTACAGCTTGCACCACTTGGTAAGCTTAAGTTAAGCTTACCTTAACTTACCTTAACTTAAGGTAAGGTAAGTTTAAGTTAGAGAATAGATTTAAAGGGAACAGATTTAGAAATTCTTTATTGATATATTGACTTGTGTGCTGCTTTATATTACTATACTGGCTATTAAATATTTTGAATATTTAATGTTACCCTTGCCCAGATACAACCACCCTAACTACAGGAATAGTTTCATGGTCAAAATAACAGACCCAAGCCTGGTACCCTGATCCAGCAGCAGCGACCAGTGAGTGTCAGCATGACCATGCAGTAAGAGGTAAGGGCGAATGGTCAGAGTCAGAGAGGGCTTCCTGGAGAGAGGAATTTTAAGTCAGGCTTGGAAGGTCAGCAAGGACATTCTAGGACAGAACATTGTGTGCGTGGGGCATGGGGGAGCAGGAGTTTGGCACAAGACATCTCTCCCTCTTGCAGAGGACAAAGCTGGGAACATAGGGACCCTCAGGGCTTGCCAGTGATTGCACCAAACACTTGACCTCTGACAGCCCTTTGAAACCTGGGAAGAAAAAGCCGCCCTGGAATCCTTGAAAGGCTGGGAACAATTACAGTGGTTACCGCGACGGTGAAGGAAATAGGATGAGGGAGATAGTGAGAGAGTCTTAATTAATAGTTTCTTGTGGCTGTAGTCCTGCTTTGATCATGAGGCTGATATTTCCGCAGTCTATTACAAACTTCATTAAGTTTATTTGCCTGCCAGGCACCTGCCCCTTCTCCCGTGCTGTCCTGTCAAAGATAAATGGCTCCAGTGGCTCAGCTGATCCCTTCTAAGCTTTGCCTCAAACCGTGGGCTGCTGGAGGACACCTGAAGGGAAGCCACAGTGCAGGAGACCCAGAGGAAACCAACGCATCAGATGATCCTCCCAAGTCAGTCTTTTCCACCACGATGGAGAGACAGTGTTCATTGCCAGGTGACCAATGAGAACTGAATTCCAAGTGCTTATGCATTCCTGTGAGGTTCTTTCTAAAGTTGAAAGTGAGCCCATAATGTGGTCTCTGTGGGCTCCAGGCTGTATTCAGGCCAGTGAGTTGTATTGGGGAAATAATTTATCATGAGAATTGTGGAATGTCCGCCTTAAAAGGCATTGGAAAGGTCACCTCCAGCCACCCACCCACAGCTCCAATCTCTTCTGCATGAGTGATTGCAGACTACGCTTGAACTCCTCCAGTGACAGGGAGCTCATTATTCCAGAGGTAGCTCATTCCCTCCTCAGACAGCTCTGACTGAGCCCGAAATCTGTTCCTCTAACTTCAAACTTATGATCCTAATATTCTCAATGGAGTCAATAAGTTTAAAAAGATAACAACTAATTTATCTTCCACAAACTTCATCATATATTTGAAGACAGAGATTCTGTCTTCCCAGGAATTTTCTCTTTAATCTGGCTAAACATCTTCAATTTCTTTATGAATTCTTCATGTGACATAATTTATGTCACTTTAAGTATGTCATTCCCAGAATTGACAAAATACAGTCAGACCAGCATAGGAAAGAACAGGACTATCACCTCCTTTGTTTTAGATATTATGCTTCTACTAATGCAGCCAAAATCACAACCGCTTTTGTGTCAGCCACATTACTCTGTTAATGAAACTTCTGAGATTTAAACATGGGCCAAAAATAACAGACTATAAAGTGTGCTAGTTTATCAGCGCCAGGAAATGGCTTAATGTAATAGGTAATGATATTCTGTGTTATGGCTGCTGATAGCAGATCAAACCCTGAAAGCTCTGCCAATTTAGAGGATTGTGGCTCAGTAAACTGATGGTTATTTTTTCAAAGGTTTTAAATTATATTAATTAATCTATTAATTGATTATGTTTAAAAGACTGGTTTTAGAAATGTTTTGAATATGTTCAAACCCGAATTAACAGGTAACTTGTTTGTCATTAGGACAATCATCCAAATAATAAGCTATTAAATTCACATTAACATATAATAATTGTGTAAAGAATAGCTAAGCAATTAGTTAATATCTAATGTAATTCATAGTAAATTAGATGGCAAGACTTATTAAATGTCAATTAGCCATATTAGCTACTGACACCTAAGCAATTCAACATGCTAATGCTAATTAATTTCTTATTTCTTACAAGCTTAATGACTTAACACAATGTATTTACATATTTAGAGGTTCTTAAAGTCACCAGACATCCAGATATGAGTGGCTGTCTCTATGGTGGTTTGGGAAGGAGATTAGGGAAAATTGATTAGTGTTTTATTTGGGGCCTCTTCTCAGCATCCTTTCTTACTGTATTCCTCTTGGAGAATTTTATAGGGAGGAAGAGTATGTAAAGAGTGTATTGGGAGGTGATCCCAGGAGCACTATGAGGGAATGGGGAGTAAGTCAGAGAAGGGATGGAGCCCATAAAGCATGCCTTAATGGGCAGGTTGCTGCTGTGGGCAACCAAAGCTCTCTCTTTATAGGGACCCCCTAGAGATGAGGTGAAATGAGAGGCAGTGTCAGCTGCCTGAGGGACAAGAAAGCTACTGTTTTGTTTTTTGTTTTAATACCAGCTCCCATCCAGGAGTTAGTTCTGACTGTTTTGGTTAACTGAATTGACCCACTGCTCTTGTGCCATCTAAGTTCAATGTGGACATTCTTTGAAGGCATTCATTCATTTGGTCATTAACATGCTTAAAGCCCAAGCTGCCAGGAGCCCAAGACCGTGGTTGAGTTTCAGGAGCACTTTGAACCATGACCCCTGTGTGCTACCAGGACTCTTCATCCCTCCTTTACTCTCCGCTATCCCTGACTGGCTTTCTTCACACTTCAGAAACATGGTCTCGAGCTCCAGGCTTTACATCTTTAAGATACAAGCCACCAGGACAAAATGGCTCTGAAGTTCTCTCAGTCTCGGGAAGAGGACATGGGCTTACTTGGATCAGTTGCCCATATTCTGGACCAACACAGTGGCACGAGCACCTACTGTGTCATGCTTCCAAGAGAAGAGCTGCTGGGTGCTGGTCAGACAATCCCACTGAAGTCTGTGATACCTCCTTGGACTAGGCACTAGACTGGAGGTGGACCTGCACAGCTGAGCAGCAGTTATTCCCTCTACTCCTGTTGCTCACAGCCTAGTGACAGAGAGAAGCAGGGCAGTGGGACGGGTGTTCAGAGAGGTATCTCAGGGAGCTACCTAAACACAGACATGGCCCCTGCTGAGTATTGTAAGGACTAGGGAATAGGGTGGGTGTAATGCCTGAGTTAATCTCCTGGGAGTTAGCTACTGGAAAGGTAAGGGCAGGCTGTCCAGGTGAGAGTGAGGTCTTCAGGGAACCTAGGGAAATTTTGCATGACTGGTTTGTGGCATCCCAAGGCAGTTGGCCCGTTCCATCCACCTCCTCAACCCACACTGGACATGAGAGTATAGATAGGACACTAAGTAGAAGTCTCCACTGGGACTCTGTCCATACAGAGACACAGAATCAAATGCTTTAGTTAATATATTCTTGTAATCCTTGGTATTGAAAAAATGCCTTCCAGAATAAGATAACTTTTTAGTGAGTGAATCAGTTTGGACTCTAATATTATACTCTATTGGTCTCATCATTCTTAACTGTATGTATGTTATATTGGCCAGTTTCTTTACTGATATGTTGAATTCTCGTAATAACTTCTATGATATAGGTGTTATTATTCCCAATTAACAGAGAAAGGCACTGAAATTCTGAAACTGAGTACATTGCCTAAGGTTTTAACCTAATCTGTGAGTTCTAGAGCCTGTCTTCAAACCCAGATTTGACTGACTCCAAAGCCCATATTCATTCATTCATTCAACAACACTGTGTAATAGGCATACTGCGCTATGCCTATTACATAGTGGGATAAAAAGAGCATGACACTGTCCCAGACTTCAAGTGGCTATAGAATAGCTTCAACAGTGAGAAAAGTGCTAGGATGTAGATAGACACAGAGTCAGTGCAGTCAAGACACTGGAGTCAGTCAAGGGTAGGGGGAGTCATCCAGAGGTAATGATGCTCAAATTCCAATGTGAAGACTGAAGGGGTGTCAAGCAGGTGAAGAGCAGGTGAAGGGGATGTGGTAAATGTATTTTAGGCAGAGGGAAGAGTGTGTACAAAGTCTGGATGGGAAAACAAGCAAGTGGTCTGGTGGAAAGTGTGGAGGGAAAGGCATGAAGGCAGGAGACACTGAGAGGTGAGAATGTAGAGATAAACAGGGACTAGATTATAAAGGACCTTGAAGGTCTCCATGAGGGGCTGGACCCAAGTTTTATGCCACCTTCACTAAAGAGTCTGAGAGTTTTTGACCCAGTTCTGGATTCTGGACTGAGGGCTCTAGTTGGTTGGCAGGAGTGTGGAAGTTGACACATGGGTAGAAGAATTCTTCCTGAATTTGTGAGCCCTCTTCTTCATGTAGGGAAATGCTCTTTAAGATAACCGTTCATTGCAGGTGTCCTCTCTGGCTAAACATAATCATAAGGAAGTATATAGAAAGATAAGGGCATGCTGCATAAGAGCAACAACAAACAAACTTCAGTGCAAGTCTTGGCTCTGCTGTTTACAAGTTGTGATGTTAGGCAAATTTCTTAGAGTCTCCCTTATCTA
Source organism: Homo sapiens (assembly GCF_000001405.40). Classification (NCBI taxonomy): domain Eukaryota; kingdom Metazoa; phylum Chordata; class Mammalia; order Primates; family Hominidae; genus Homo; species Homo sapiens. The sequence continues at coordinate 112,137,909 of NC_000001.11, read as the reverse complement.
TAAAGTAGAGGACTCAGCAGGGCAATTATGAGAATTAGATTAGATGTATAGGAAGTATCTGTAAACAGGGACTAGATTATAAAAGACCTTGAAGGTCTCTTGAAATCAATGTTAGTTCTCTTCTCCACAACCCCTTCAACATTCAGAAATCACAATACATAAACACCAGTAATTGTCTACGCACATAACAGAAAACCTATGCAATTGCATCTTCAAATATTTGAGGACAATTATCATTTGTCTTATTAAGCTTTCTCTTCTTCAAGCCAAATATTACCTTTCCCCCAATAATTCTCCATATGACATGCTTTCTAGACCCCTACCATGCTGACTATCCTCTTCTGAATAATTTCTAGTTGGCAATTGTTCCCTGCCAGGTGTCTTGGCTGGAACTGGACCAGAAGTCCAGATATAGTCTGAGCAACACAGAGCACAGCTGGGCCAACACAGTCCTTGTTCTGGATTTCATAATCCTATCAGAGCAGACTCAGCAACCATTTCCTCTGGGTAGCTACATCTAACTGGAGGCACATATGGAGTTGGTACCTTTTCCTCCACCTTACCTCTCACTTCCTGAGGTAAAATAAACCTACTAAACTTCCAGAACCTGAGGAGAGGCTCCGTTTTGTACAGCCCTGGCTACAGCTCAATACCCATGCACATTATTGGGATTATATGCAAATGTGGAGTCAGTGTGCTGTAGTGGAAAGATAGATCTGGGTTCAAATGTCAGCTTGGAAATCTACTAGCAGCAAAACTATAGGCAATTGAGTTAATACCTCTGAGACTTAACATTGTCAACTATAAAACGAATATAATAGGGCTGTTATAAACCCAAATGCCCATCAATGATAGACTGGATAAAGAAAATTTGGCACATATACACCATGGAATTCTATGCAGCCATAAAACCAAATGAGTTCTTGTCCTTCGCAGGGACATGGATGAAGCTGGAAGCCATCATTGTCAGCACACTAACACAGGAACAGAAAACCAAACACCGCATGTTCTCACTCATAAGTGGGAGTTTAACAATGAGAACACATGGACAAAGGGAAGGGAACATCACACACCGGGGCCTGTCAAGGGATGGGGGGCAAGGGGAGGGAGAGCATTAGGACAAATACTCAATGAATGCGGGGCTTAAAACCTAGATGATGGGCTGATAGGTGCGGCAAACCACCATGGCACATGTGGCAACAAACCTGCAGTTTCTGCACATGTATCCCAGAACTTAAAGTAAAATTTAAAAAAAGAATTAAATAGGTTTTGGATGGAAGGTATTGGCACCTGTAGGCATTCATGAAGTCTTTGTCTTTCCCTGTACGTGACCCTAGCCTCCTGAGATATCAAAGTGAGGCTTATTTTCTCACCTAGAAAAACTTATAAGAAGGGAAGCAGACCTGGTTCTAATAAAATGTATGGTATATGGTGATAGATGTAAGCTCAGGGAATGGTGAGATTGGCATATAGTAGGTTCTCAGTAAGCATTTGCTGAAGGAATAAATATTTCGCCATCAAGCCAGGTATCCCAAATCTTGTAATTAGGCAATGGATTTTGAAGAAATCTAAAAGCAGGGTTTAACATTTATCTGGTTAAGTTGATCTAATGGTTTTGTTGTTACAGCCCATCAAAATATTTTTAGTCTTCATTCTATCATACAATACATTAGCTATTGTGTTTAGCTTTGTGTCACCTAAAGGGGTGATGTCTCATTCAATTATCGACAGATATGTTGGCCAGGATGTTGCAGGAGATAGATCTGTGGCATCCTACTAAAGACTTCCCTTTAAGATGTTCCTATGAGCCTAGGATACCAGGGCATTAAAAAAAAAGCTACTGGAAAAACACCCTGTAGATGTTGCCAGAAGTCCCTTCCTAGGGCCCAGCCTTGTATGGGGCCAGGCAGCCATAACTTCCAAGCAACAGCAGCTCTCAATCAGCATCCTATTCAACCAATGAGTCAAAGGGACTGGCCATGCCTCTATTGCCATTACCTTGCGGAGCACTTTCTAGCCTATCTTTTTATAATCCACCTGTCACACTGCTCCCAAAGGGATCCATAAGTAAACTGACTGTCACTCACCTGCTTAAAACCCTTCTGTGGTGGGTTGCTTGATACATGAACTCCAATTTCGTTAATTTAATACAAAAGGTCCTCCATGGTTCAGCTCCTGCATATTCCTCAGCCTTATATCCTGACACTCCATTTTTCATAATTTAAACTCTAGTAATTCTTAATTGGTCATATTTACCCATATATCTTAATATTCCACTGCCATACTTTTGCTGAAGTCATTCTTTCTGTATGGGCTATTTTTCCCCTCTTCCAACCCCCTTCCCTAGTTTATTCTATTTAGTGTTCCAATTCAGGGGTCATCTGCTTTGCCCATATCCAGAGGGTTAGCTGGCCCTCTGGGCTCCATAGACTCCTGTGCATAGTCTAGTATCTGCACTTAGTATATTGATGGTAATCATCTACCCTACTAAATTTGAAGCACCTTGCACAGAAGGGCCAAGTTTCAGTCATCTGAGAATTTCCACCTACTCACTTAAGACCTGGTACATGAGAATTGTGAAATAAATGACTGTCGGAGAGAGAGAGGGGGAGAGAGAGAGAAAGAGAGCGTATTCTCAGAGCAATTCTACTAAGTTCTAATGATTTCCCTGAGAGTCAGAATAAAGATAATTTTGGGGTGGAAGCTGAGTCGTAGAGAGGTTGAATGAGTTGCCCAAGTTCTCTTGGCTGGGTTTAGAGTCTAATTTTGACTCCTAGCCCATAATTTCCATCAGTAGGCAGTACTGCCATCCACAACCTGATCCTTTAACATTCAGAACTGCGTGTATTAATGGCCCTGGCTCACTTGGGAATGCCCAGGCACTATTTTGGAGACAGGAGGTGCATTTACACTGGGCTACAGGTCACTGCATTTTTCTCTGGTGAGGGCATTTTCACCCTAATGGAGGACTCTGGAGGCATTTTGCTTTACCCCATTGGAATTTGTTTTTACTGGTAAGATTTCAGACACTCTGGCCGGTACTCTTCCTAATACAGGAAGTGCTGCCAAGCAGTAGATCTTTTGGTGAATGTGAAATCACACAGCACAGGTAACTGGCTTCTTCAGCACCTGTAGAGTCAGTTCAACTTGAGAGACCATCTTAGGTAGTCCTGAGGAGCTGGCCAAACAGTAGGCTTAAAGGTTAGAGAGCATATTGGGAGCCTGATGGGAAAGGGAAGGGTGGACTGGGGAGGAGAGAAGAGAACCCTGGTGTATAGCCTTTGAGAGCAGAAGTCAAAGGTTTTACCCATCCCCCAACAAGTTCACGGAAAAGACAAGCTCCCAAAGAGCCTCACATCTGTTGAATGTAGGCTGCATTGCAGTCCTCTGAAGGATGACTGGCATCAATAAACTGGCCCTCTCTGGAACAAGAACACCAGAAGTCTCTCACACAGACAGGATGCTTATGAGGTGGCTCTTAACATCTTCAAGGCAGGCTTTGACCTCAGGTTCTTTACCATGGTGGAGTGTTTGATTATAGCCTAAGGCTGCTTCTAGTGTTGTCACTGCAAGCAGTTTTAGTCCTGTGTGTCCCATAGTTACAATGCTATCAAGGATCAGGAGGCTACACTGAATTTGGAGCCCAGGGACCCCAGACCAAGAAAGTTCATATGATCAGCCCTATTTGGAAGGTGTCTGGCAGAAATGGAGTCGGCAGAGAGAATGAGGCAAAAAGAGCACAGAACAGAGCCTGTGTCGATCATTCAAAATCAAGAGAATTGTATGGGACACTACTCTGTACCTTCAGGCTAGCAAAGGCACCTCGGGGACTGGCTATAAGATGAAGACAGATTGCTTGAGGCTAGCTTCCCCTCTCATCTCCACACCCCAAACCTGCAGACCTCAATGACTGCCCAGTTCTCTGGTCTCCCAGGAGGTGAGTCACCTTCATGTTATAATTCAAATGTTAGTCTCCACATTATATCTGTAGAATTTCTCCCAGCCAGAGACAATTCTGGTGACTTACAAGTCATGCTGGTAACACAAGAGGAGGGAGCTGGAGTGAGGGAGCACACTTGTTTTCAGCCTTCAGCCTGGCTTCCACCTTCCTGGCTGGCTAGCAGAGTGCATCCTTCTATATCAGCTCAGCCTCTCCTGACTGCCTTTATTTTTGCCACTAAAAATCTGGAAATTTCTGGGACTTCCTGGCTAGGACCTTGGAGAGCTCTGAACCCAGCCAGTCTCCTGTGAGGTGCAACCACTTCTGGGGCTGGCATTACTGCTCTATGGGGCCTCCTAGACTATCCTTTAGCATCCCCACACCACCTCCAACCCCAATGTGCCTGCTCACCAAAGACACGGGGCTGGAATTTTCCTTGCTGTCCACTCCAAAGTCCTGTCTTTGGACATGGCCCACAGGCCCGGGAGGTGGTGTAATTTTATAATGGAGGAAAGAATCTTACAACTCTCTCTCTCTCTCTCTTTTTTTTTTTTAAGACAAAGTCTAGCTCTGTCACCCAGGCTGGAGTGTAGTGTCGTGATCTTGGCTCACTGCAAGCTCCACCTCCTGGATTCACGCCATTCTCCTGCCTCAGCCTCCTGAGTAGCTGGGACTACAGGTGCCCACCACCATGCCCAGCTAATTTTATTGTATTTTTAGTAGAGACAGGGTTTCACCAAGTTAGCCAGGATGGTCTTGATCTCCTGACCCCGAAATCCACCCGCCTTGGCCTCCCAAAATGCTGGGATTACAGGCGTGAGCCACTGCGCCTGGCCAAGAATCTTCCATCTTGATTGGGATTATTCCTTTCATCTCCTATTTACTCTTTTTTGCTTTCCCAGCATCAGTTTCTCTGATAAGTGTGGCTGACAGCCTCTCATGGGCCTAGAGCCTTTGGATTACAGAGCGGGTATGAAGTGCACTCATTGTCATTTTGTAAGGGGTGGGAAAAGATAGAAGGCAGAAGGTGCAGTCATGGCTTGAGATGAGAAAACACTCCCCAGGGAGTTTTTGACCCTGATTTCTTTTTAAGGACTCCTCTCATCCTGCCCATGAGCAGAACAGGCTTCACATAATCCAAAGGTGAAATATGTAGCACCTCCTAAGTTGGGAACACGTGTGGAGATAGAAAGATGTTAAGGAGGGGGAAGGGAAGTGGAAGGGTAAAAAAACAGTTTCCAAGATCAGAACTGATCATCCTGCAAATGACTTAAGGTTATTGGACGAATTAAAAGGGAATGTGGAAGGGCAGGGAGTAGTGGGGGTCTGAGCCCCTGGAACCTGATTTGTGGTCTTGCCTAGTGTGTTGGTTAATAACGAGTGTCAACTTGATTGGATTGAAGGATGCAAAGTATTAATCCTGGATGTGTCTGTGAAGGTGTTGCCAAAGCAGATTAACACTTGAGTCAGTGGGCTGGGAAAGGCAGACCCACCCTTAATTTGGGGGGCACAATATAATCAGCTGCCAGCAAATGTAAAGCAGGCAGAAAAACATGAAAAGGCCAGACTGACCTAGCCTCCCAGCCTACATCTTTTTCCCATGCTGGATGCTTCCTGCTCTCAAATATCAGACTCCAAGTTCTTCAGTTTTGAGACTCAGACTGGCTCTCCTTGCTCATCAAGCTTGCAGATGGCCTATTGTGGGACCTTGTGATCATGTAAGTTAATACTTAATAAACTCCCCTTCATATATGTATATATACTATTTCTTCTGTCATATATATATATATATATATATGTGTGTGTGTGTATATATATATACACACACACACACATGTCCTGTTTCTTCTGCCCCTCTAGGGGACCCATAAACTGATTTTGGTACCAGGAGTGATTCTAGAGGAACAGATATTAAGGATGGAGTTCTTTCGTTGGTTTTGGGGTTTCTGGAGTTGGCTGCTTAATATGATTAGACCCAAAAATGCTAAGGACTGTACTTCTAATAGTATGGAGAACACTGATAGTCCTTGGCATAAACTGTTTAGAGAGTTATGCAAAATAAATGCATTTGACCCTCCTGATTCACTGCTCATGAGAGGCAAGGAGTTTAGTGACTCTATACATAATACCTTTGACAGTATGTGTAGAACCGAGGAAAGTAATGAAGCTGGTTGGTTGTCCTTAAGTTCAGTGGACAAAGTGATGAAAGAAAATGATGAACTCTCAGGGATTCTGTCTCCTGGCTTCAGAAGCAAATACTGAGTCTCAATCTGCTAAGATTGCTCTTAGTGAGAGTCTTATCTCCTGTAGAGAAAGAGCTAAAATTGTGGAAAAACAGAAACAAGCTCTTATCATGTGAGTGGCTGACATGCAATGAAAGGTGCTTGCACAGCCTTGCCAGGTGTCTATTGCTAAAGTGAGGGCATTGATAGGAAAACAATGGGACCCTGAAACTTGGAATGGGGATGTGTGGGAGGACCCTGATGAAGCTGGGGACACTGAGTTTGTAAACTCTGATGAAACTTTCTTGCCAGAAGGAGCAGCTTCCCCGTCCCCAGTAGTGGCAACATCTGCACCCCAACCCATGCTGCCATCAGCCTTTCCACTTTTGTATGAGAAGATAAACCCTGCTGCCTGTGGCAACAGTGATGGCCTCTCCTGAGGCAGTTGCCAGGCAAAATAATGTTGAGTCTCCTCATGAGCCTCCCCCAACACCCCTATTTGCTTTTAGACCTATAACTAGACTAAAGTTCCAGCGGGCCCCTAGAGGTGAGGTTGAGTGTGTGACCCATGAGGAGGTGCACCACATTCGAAAAGAACTGCTTGAGTTCTTTAACTTATATAAACAGAAATCTGAGAATAGGCATGGGAATGGATATTAAGGGTGTGGGATAATGGTCAAGGGAACACAGAGTTGGATCAGGCTGCGTTTATTGATTTGGGCCCACTAAGTAGGGACTCTGCATTTAATGTTGCAGCTCAGGGGGTTCATAAAAGTTCTAATCATTTATTTGCTTGGTTAGCTGAAATATGGATTAAAAGATGGCCCACTGTGAGCAAGCTGGAAATGCCTGATCTCCTTTGGTTTAATATAAAGTAAGGGACCCAAAAGTTTAGGGAGATTGGGATTGTGGAGTGGATTAGTCACTTTAGACCTACTCATCCCAGCTAGGAATGAGATATACCCTTGACCAATGCCTTGAGAAATAGATTTGTGAGGGCAGCACCTGCATCTTTCAAGAGCCCTGTAATTGGTCTTCTCCGTATGTCAGATCAAACAGTGGGAACAGTAGTCACTCAACTACAAAATTGAAATACAATGGAAATAATTGATTCCTGAGGTGGCAGGGGCCAAGTGGTGGCACTCAACTGTCAAAGGAAAGGTTGGCATAGCTACCATAATGGACAACAGAGGCAAAGCAACAATTAGAATAATGTGACTTGTGTATAGCTGTGGCATTGGCTAATTAATCATGGTGTTCTTAGAAGTGAAATTGATAGGAAGCCTACTGCATTCCTACTAAAATTATACAAACAGAAAACTTCTAGGTCGAATGAACAAAAGCCTAATTTGAACTATAAAAACATAGAATCATGCCCCCTCAATCAGTTTCCAGACTTGAGCCAGTTTACAGACCCAAAACCCCTTGAATGAAGGGGAGGCTGGGTCTCTTTGAGGAAGGACCCCACTACATTACCGACAATTTATGCAGTGAATCTTTCTCCCATCCTTCCCCAAAGAGACCTCTAGCCTTTTACCAGGCTAACTGTGCATTGGGGAAAGGGAAATGATCAGACATTTCAGGGACTACCGGACATGATCTGAGCAGATGTTGATTCCAGGGGACACAAATATCATTGTGGTCCTCCAGTTAAAACAGGGGCTTTTGGGGGGTCAGGTAATTAATGGAGCTTTAGCTCGGGTCCAACTTATAGTGGGTCCAGTGGGTCCCTGGGCGCATCCTGTGGTCATTTCCCCAGTGCCAGAATGCATAATTGACATAGACATACTTAGCAGCTGGCAGAACCCCCACATTAGCTCCCTGACTGGTAGGGTGAGAGCTATTATGGTGGGAAAGGCCAAATGGAAGTCATTAGAGCTGCCTCTACCTAGAAAAATAGTAAATCAAAAACAATATCACATCCCTGGAGGGATTGTGGAGATTAGTGCCACCATCAAGGACTTGAAAGATGCAGAGGTGGTAATTCCCACCACGTTCCTGTTCAACTCTCTCGTTTGGCCTGTGCAGAATACAGATGGGTCTTGGAGAATGACAGTGGATTATTGTAAGCTTAACCAAGTTGTGACTCCAATTGCAGCTGCTGTACCAGATGTGGTTTCATTGCTTGAGCAAATTAACACATCTCCTGGTACCTGGTATGCAACCATTGACTTGGCAAATGCCTTTTTCTCCATTCCTGTCCATAAGGCCCACCAGAAGCAATTTGCCTTCAGCTGGCAAGGCCAGCAATATACCTTTACTGTCCTACCTCAGGGGTATATCAACTCTCCAGCTGTGTGTCATAATCTTATTCAGAGAGACCTTGACCACTTTTCGCTTCTGCAAGATATCACACTGGTTCATTACATTGAAGACATTATGCTGATTGGATCCACTGAGCAAGAAATAGCAAACACACTGGACTTATTGGTGAGACATTTGTGTGCCAGAGGATGGGAAATAAATCTGACTAAAATTCAGGGACCTTCTATCTCAGTAAAATTTCTAAGAATCCAGTGATGTGGGGCCTGTGGAGATATTCCTTCTAAGGTGAAGGATAAATTGCTGCATTTGGCCCCTCCTAAAACCAAGAAAGAGGCACAACACTTAGTGGGCCTATTTTGGAGGCAACATATTCCTCAAGTGGGTGTGTTACTCTGGTCCATTTATTGAGTGACTTGAAAAGCTGCCAGTCTTGAGCGGGGTCCAGAACAGGAGAAGGCTCTGCAACAGGTCCAGGCTGCTGTGCAAGTTGCTCTGCCACTTGGGCCATGTGACCCAGGAGATCCGATGGTGCTTGAGGTGTCAGTGGCAGATAGGGATGCTGTTTGCAGCCTTTGACATGTCCCTCTAGGTGAATCACAGCGGAGGCCTCTAGGATTTTGGAGCAAGGCCCTGCCATCTTCTGCAGATGACTACTCTCCTTTTGAGAGACAGCTCTTGGCCTGTTACTGGGCTTTGGTGGAAACTGAACATTTGATTATGGGTCATCAAGTCACCATGCAACCTGAACTGCTTAACATGAATTGGGTGCTTTCTGACCCATCTAGCCATAAAGTGGGTCATGCGCAGTAGCATTCAATCATCAAAATGGAAGTGGTATGTACGTGATCAGGCTCGAGCAGGTCCTGAAGGCGCAAGTAAGTTACATGAGGAAGTGGCTCAAATGCCCCTGGTCTCCACTCCTGCCACCCTGCCTTGTCTTCCTCGGCCTACATCGATGGCCCCATGGTGAGTTCCTTATGATCAGTTGACAGTGGAAGAGAAGACTATGGCCTGGTCCACAGATGGTTCTGCACAATATGCAGGCACCACCAGAAAGTGGACAGCTGCAGCACTACAGCTCCTTTCTAGGACATCCCTTAAGGATAGTGGTGAAGGAAAATCTTCCCAGTGGGCAGAACTACAAGCAGTGCACCTGGTTGTGCACTTTGCATGGAAGGAGAAATGACCAGATGTGCGATTATATACTGATTCACGGGCTGTAGCCAATAGTTTGGCTGGATGGTCAGGGACTTGGAAGAAGCATGATTGGAAAATTGGCGACAAAGAAATTTGGGGAAAATGTATGTAGATGGACCTGAGTGGTCAAAAACTGAAGATATTTGTATCCCATGTGAGTGCTCACCAATGGGTGACCTCAGCAGAGGAAGATTTTAATAATCAAATGGACAAGATGACTCATTCTGTGGACATTATTCAGCCTTTTTCCCCAGCCACCCCGTCATCACCCGACGGGCCCACGAACAAAGTGACCATGGTGACGGGGATGGAGGTTATGCATGGGCTCAGCAACATGGATTTCCACTCACCAAGGCTGACCTGGCTATGGCCACTGCTGAGTGCCCAATTTGACAGCAGTAGAGGCCAACACTGAGCCCTTGATATGGCACCATTCCTTGGGGTGAGCAGCCAGCTACCTGGTGGCAGGTTAATTATATTGGACCTCTTCCATCATGGAAAGAGCAGAGGTTCATCCTCAGTGGAATAGACACTTACTCCAGATATGGGTTTTCCTATCCTGCATGCAATGCTTCTGCCAAGACTACCATCTGTGTACTCACAGAATACCTTTTCCACCATCATAGTATTCCACACAGCATTGCCTCTGACCAAGGCACTCACAGTTTATGGCTAAAGAAGTGTGGCAGTGGGCTCATGCTCATGGAATTCACTGGTCTTACCATGTTTCCCGTCATCCTGAAGCAGCTGGATTGATAGAATGGTGGAAAGGCCTTTTGAAGTTACAATTACAATGCCAACTGGGTGACAATACTTTGGAGGGCTGGGGCAAAGTTCTCCAGAAAACCGTGTATGCTCTGAATCAACATCCAATATATGGTACTGTTTCTCCCATAGCCAGGATCCACAGGTCCAGGAATAAAGGGGTGGAAGTGGCACCATTCACCATCACCCCCAGTGATCCACTACCACAATTTTTGCTTCCTGTTCCTGCTACATTATGTTCTGCTGGCCTGGAGGTCTTAGCTCCAGAGGGAGGAACGTTGCCACCAGGAGACAGAACAACGATTCCATTAAACTGGAAGTTAAGATTGCCACCTGAAGACTTTGGGCTCCTCCCATCTTTAAGTCAACAGGCTAAGAAGGGAGTTACAGTGTTGGCTGGCGTGATTCACCCAGACTATCAAGATGAAATCAGTCTACTACTCCACAACGGATGTAAGGAAGATCTTCTGAATGGAATACAGCAGATCCATTAGGGCGTCTCTTAGTATTACCATGCACTGTGATTAAGGTCAATGGGAAACTACAACAGCCCAATCCAGGCAGGACTACAAATGGCCCAGACCCCTCCGGAATGAAGGTTTGGGTCACTCTACCAGGAAAAAAAACCATGACCTGCCAAGGTGCTTACTGAAAGCCAAGGGAATACAGAATGGGTAATAAAAGAAGGTAGTCACCAATACCAGCTATGACCACGTGACCAACTGTAGAAATGAGGATTGTAATTGTTATGAGTATTTCCTCCTTCTTTTGTTAAAAACATGTTTGTGCATATATACACTTGTGCTAAGAAACTATCTTCATTTTATTTCCTTTCTTCTTTATCATGTGACATATGATTTATTGACTTCATATCAGCACTTAAGTATTGTTAACTTTATGTAATAGTGTTTGGGTTGGGGATTGGTGTGTTTCCGGTTGTATGAAGGATAGTTGTATTATGTTAGGCATAATTATAACCTTATTATTGTCTACATTTGAAGATTATGTATGATCTCAGGGAATGTATATGGGTTCAAATTGACAAGGGGTGGACTTGTGATGGTTAATAACGAGGGTTAACTTGATTGGATTGAAGGATGCAAAGTATTGATCCTAGGTGTGTCTGTGAAGGTGTTGCCAAAGGAGGTTAACACTCCCCCAGTCAGTGGGCTGGGGGAGCCAGACCCACCCTTAATTTGGTAGGCACAATATAATCAGCTCCCAGCGACTATAAAGCAGGCAGAAAAACATGAAAAGGCCAGACTGACCTAGCCTCCCAGCCTACATCTTTCTCCCATGTTGCATGCTTCCTGTCCTCAAACATCGGACTCCAAGTTCTTCAGTTTTGAGACTCAGATTGGCTCTCCTTGCTCCTTAAGCTTGCAGACAGCCTATTGTGGGACCTTGTGATTGTGTAAGTTAATACTTAATAAACTTCCCTTTATAAATATATACATATATATTTATATTTATATATTTCCTATTAGTTGTGTCCCTCTAAGGAACGCTGACAAATACGTCTAGTATGTGTGGGCCATGCACTTTACACGTGCTCTACATGTGACGTCTCCCATACCCTAACAAGGTCAATCTGAGAAAGGTATTATGATGCCCATTTTGCTGATAACTCAGAAGGGAGAAATGAGAGGTGATTTTAAGATACATCAGCACAATGATAATAAACCCGTCACCTTTGTATACGCTTTGCTGTTTACAAAGCACTTTCATATCTATTTTTTTAATACTCATGACAATCTTGGGAAATAGTCTGGGAAGGAATGGCTATTTCCATGTTATAGGTTTTATTATGCATTTCTTCTAGGCCCACTGTATTGAAAGCAGAGGAATATTTCTTTCACCCAGGAGTCTGTGGTTTGGGTGATGACCTCCACAGAGCAGGCAGGGAAAATCCTACAATGAAGATTCACAAACACAATGTCCAAGACCTCAGACCACTGCTGGGCATCATATCCCCAAGAAAGGCTGGAAAAGTAGTTAGTGTATTAAAGTCAAGACATGGACATTAGCTCCTCACATTCTCTGGTCAGTCTCAACTCTAGCCTTATGTAATGCTTCCCACAACCATCTGATACAGCACATAGACTCAGAAAGATAAAGGGGTTCCTCAAATGACATACAGATAGTAGTGACCTGGAGAGGGCATGAATGCAGGTCTTTCGATCTTGGTGTGGTGTTTTTTTCACTCCACCATGCTGTTTCTCAAACAGTTGGGAACCATTATAGTGGCTCAGGCCAAATGACCTTAGAACAGTAATTTTTGTCCTGGTAGGGCAAGCTTTAGTTATTGTGCTCATTCCTTTATTTCTCCTTCCTCTTAACATACTGATACTGCCCCCACAGATGTCCAGGGTCCTTGAAATGCCACAGGTTGCCTTGGGCCCTTTCTATGCTGCCTCCACAGGCCTCCTTCACAGGCAGGTCCCTGGGTCCTGAGCCTGGCTCTCTAAGAACTTACAGAGCCTGGTGCTGTGACCCAGAGCCTGGCTAAGTGGCAGCCACAGTCAATTCTGAAATCTGATGCTGAGTCTTAAAGAGGGATGTACCTCTGCCAACCCTCCCTCTTCTCCACTGATATTAAGCCTGGGGACTGGAGCTTTTGGGGACTGGAGCTTTTGGGGCCACATTATCTATGGTCAGAGATTTCTAAAAGATTTTTTTTGTTTTGTTTTGTGTTGGTTTCTACTTATTACTACTGGGTTTTAAGACTCCAGATGTCTTTGAGGCTCAGCCCTTGATTGCAAATGGGAGCAAAGTAAATGAGACAGACTGCTTGGGGAAGATGGGTGGCAATTAAGGATTAAGATGAGTAAATGGGGAAGACAGATAGATATCTTACCCTCTTGCCAGGACTAAATTAAACATCTGTCTTGCCTGATGGCTTCTGTGGCGTTCTAGAGAAGCTTGAGAAGAGTGAAATAAAGGAGGTTTTGTTATCAGTAATACTTTTTAAATGGGTTTCAGCTAATTCTTAGGCTTTCCAGGAAGGCAACTATGACATCTGAAAATTGTGATCATTGTGTTATCGCTTTTCAGTATTTACTTTTACCTGCCTTGGCAAATTATTTAACCATTCAGTGACTTATTTCCTTATCTGTAAAATGGGCATAATAATGATACCTCCTAAGGTTATTATGTGAGTTAAGTGAAAACCAAAAAGTGCTTGGAGCAGTGCCTGGACTATAGTAAGCACACAATAAAATTTTAGTCTTTCGGCCAGGCACAGTGGCTCACGCCTGTAATCCCAGCACTTGGAGAGGCCAAGGCAGGCGGATTACTTGAGGTCAGGAGTTGAAGACCAGCCTGGCCAACATGGTGAAACCGCGTCTCTACTAAAAACACAAAAATTAGCCGAGCATGGTGGTGCACTCCTGTAGTCACAGCTACTTGGGAGGCTGAGGCAGGAGAATCACTTGAACCCAGGAGCCGGAGGATGCACTGTGCTGAGATGGCACCACTGGACCCCAGCCTGGGCGACAGAACAAGACTCCACCTTAAAATAATAATAATATTAATAGCAATAATAAAATTTTAGTCTTTTTATTATTATCTGTACACCTAGCCTTATTTAATTAGCTGGGGCTTTCAGAACAGTGATAAATAATAGTGGTGATAACAGGCATCCTTATGTTTTTTCTAAAACTAATAGGGCTATGTCTAAGACATTATAATCAAGTATGATGTTGGCTATTAGTGTGAGACAAAAAATTCATTTGTTAAGGAAGTATCTTTCTTGTCATAGTTCTCTGAGAAGTTTTTAAAAATATGTAATCAAAAAGACATCTTGAATTTTATTTGATTTGGGGTATCTGTTAATCATAATTTTTCTCCTTTGATCTATCAATAATTGGTTTGCATTGCAAATTATGTTAATGTATTTCCCAATACTAACTGCCCATGCATTTCTAACATAAGCCTTACTTGGTTATGGTGCATTTGAAATATGTAATATGGTTTGCATCATGTTTAGGACTTTTACTACTATATTAGTAGATGAGGTTTGGAGGAGGCCTAGTTTATGATTTAGTTTTAGGACATGTTGGATTCATAAAATGAATATGGAAGTTTAAAAATCTTTTTCTAGGCTCTGAAACTGGTTGACTAGTGGGAACGTCTTCCCTTCTTAGGATGTTTGAAAGAAATGAAAGTCTCTGGGTCTAAGATCTTCATGAGAAATCTTTATGATTTCACCCCTGGTTAATGCTTTGATCAGGTTTTCTGCTTCACAAGGCAATATTGGAGATTCTATTTTCCAAAAGTTGGTTTGTTTTACCTACATTCTCAACTCTATTAGCATACCATTGTTTCTAATATTTTCCCATTTAGTTCCCCTCTGTGGTCATATTCACTCTCTCATACCTCTTCTATGTACCTGTGTTTTCTCTGTCTTTTCATTGATTGCATTTGCCACAGATGTGTCTAATTATAAATACTTTCAACAAATCATCTATTGGAGTTATTTAACAATTTGACTTTTAAATTTTCATCATTTCACGCTTTTGACTTTGTTAATGTTTTTCTTCCCATTTTACTTATTTTTTCGTCTTTTCTAACTTTTTGAGTTGAACGCTAACTTTGATGTTTCTTATTTTAAAATGAAAGCATTTAATTCTATGTGTTTTCCTTCAAAAAAAACTTTGGCTCTATTCCATAAATTTTGGTATATGATATTCTGCTTTTTAGCTTGTTTCTTGACTTTATCGTGTTTTGTTTTTTTTTAAAAAACTTTTATTTTAGGTTTGGGGGTACATGTGAATATTTATTACATAGGTAAACTCATGTCATGGGGGGTTGTTGCACAAATTATTTCATTAACCAGGTATTAAGCCCAGTACCCAATAGTTACCTTTTCTGCTCTTCTCCCTCCTCCCACCTTCCACCCTCAAGCAGACCCCAGTGTCTGTTGTCCCCTTCTTTGTATTCATGAGTTCTCATCATTTAGATCCCACTTATAAGTGAGAACATATGGTATTTGGTTTTCTGTTCCTATGTTATTTTGCTGAGGATAATACCTTCTAGCTCCATCCGTGTTACCACAAAAGACATGATCTTCTTGTTTTTTATAGGCACATAGTATTCCATGGTGTACATGTACCACATTTTCTCTATCCAATCTGTCATTGATGGGCATTAGGTTGATTCCATGTCCTTGCTATTGTGAATAGTGCTGCAATGAACATTCACGTGCATGTGTCTTTATGGTAGAATGACTTTTATTCCTCTGGGTATACACCTAGTAATGGGATTGCTGGGTTGAATGGTGGTTCTGCTTTTAGATCTTTGGTGAATCTTCATACTGTTCTCCACAATGGTTGAACTAATTTATACTCCCACCAACAGTGTATAAGTGTTCCCTTTTCTCTACAACCCTGCCAACATTTGTTGTTTTTTGACTTTTTAATAATAGTCATTCTGACTAGTGTGAGATGGTATCTCATTGTGGTTTTGATTTGCATTTCTCTAACGCTCAGTGATACTGAACTTTTTTTCACGTTTGTTGGCCTCATGTATGCCTTCTTTTGAAAAGTGTTCATGTCTTTTGCCCACTTTTTAATAGGGTTGTTTGTTTTTCTCTTGTAAACTTGTTTACGTTCCTTATAGATGCGAGATGCTGGATATTAGACCTTTGTCAAATGCAGTTTGCAAATATTTTCTCCCATTCTGTAGGTTGTCTGTTTTATTCTGTTGGTGGTTTATTTTTGCTGTGCAGAAGCTCTTAAGCTTAATTAGATCCCCCTTGTCAACTTTTGCTTTTGTTGTGATTGCTTTTGGTGTCTTTGTCATGAAATCTTTGCCAGTTCCTATATCCAAGATGGTATTACCTAGGTTGTCTTCCAGGATTTTTCTAGTATTGGGTTTTACATTTAAGTCTTTAATCCATCTTGAGTTGATTTTTGTATATGGTGTAAGGAAGGGGTCCAGCTTCAATATTCTGCATATGGCTAGCCAGCTATCCCAGCACCGTTTATTGAATAGGGAGTCTTTCCCCCCGTTGCTTGTTTTTGCCAGCTTTGTTGAAGATCAGATGGTCATAGCTGTATGGCCTTATTTCTGGGCTCTGTATTTTCTTCCTTTGGTCTGCGTGCCTGTTTTTGTACCAGAACCATGCTGTTTTGGTTACTGTAGCCCATAGTATAGTTTGAAGTCAGGTAGCTTGATGCCTCCAGCTTTGTTCTTTTCGCTTCCGATTGCCTTAGCTATTCAGGCTCTTTTTTGGTTTCGTATGAATTTTAAAACGTATTTTTTTTCTAGTTCTGTGAAGAATGTCAATGATAGTTTAATAGGCATAGCATTGACTCTATCAATTGCTTTGGATAATATGGCCATTTTAATGATATTGGTTCTTCCTACCCATGAGCATGGGATGTTTTTCTACTTGTTTGTGTCATCTCTGATTTCTTTGAGCAGTGTTTTGTAGTTCTTATTTTGTAATTCTCAATGATCTCATTGTAGAGAGCTTTCACCTCCCTGGTTAGCTGTGGGAGCTACATATTTCATTTTATTTTCGTGACAGTTGTGAATAGGATTGCCTTCCTGATTTGGCTCTCGGGTTGGCTTTGATGTATAGGAATGCTAGTGATTTTTGTACATTGATTTTGTAATCTGAAACTTCCCTGAAGTTGTTTATCAGCTGAAGGAGTTTTGGGGCCAAAATTATGGGGTTTTCTAGATATAAAATCATGTAATCTGCAAACAGAGATCGTTTGACTTCCTCTCTTACTGTTTAGATGTCCTTTATTTATTTCTCTTGTCTGATTGCTCTGGCTATGACTTACAGTACTGTGTTGAATAGAAGTGGTAAGAGAGGGCATCCTTGTGCCAGTTTTCAAGGGGAATGCTTCTAGCTTTTACCCATTCAGTATGATGTTGGCTCTGGATTTGTCACAGATGGCTCTTATTATTGTGAGTTATATTCCTTCAATACCTAGTTTATTGAGAGTTTTTTTAGTATGAAGGAGTGTTGAATTTTATTGAAAGCCTTTTCTGCATCTGTTGAAATAATTTTGTGGGTTTTGTTTTTAGTTCTGTTTATGTGATGAATCACATTTACTGATTTGTGTATGTTGAACTGACCTTGTATTCTGGGGATGAATCCAGCTTAATCTTAATCATGGTAGGTTAGCTTTTTGATGTGCTGCTGGATTCAGTTTGCAAGTATTTTGTTGAGGATTTTTGCATCGATGTTAATCAAGCATATTGGCCTGAAGATTTTTCTTTTTTGTTGTGTCTCTGCCAGATTTTAGGATCAGGATGATGCTGGCCTCAGAGAATGAGTTGAGGAGTCCTTCCTCTTCAGTTTTTTGGAATAGCTTCAGTAGAAATGGTACCAGCTCTTCTTCATACACCTGGTAAAATTTGGCTGTGAATCTATCAAGTCCTGGGCTTTTTTTTTCTGGTTGGTAGGCTATTTGTTACTGATGGTATATACTATTCTTATTTTCTAAATAATTGGTAATTGTGGTTTTAGTTTCAACATTGATGTAGTAGTTATTTCAGAATATTTCTTTTTTTTTTAACCTCAAAGTGGTTAGGGGCTTTTTATGTGTGTGTGTGTGTGTGTGTGTGTGTGTGTGTGTGTTCTTAATTTCAATTTCATTATATTGTGACCAGAGATGGTGTCCTATAGAAGTTCTGCTTTTTGAAATATACTGATTTATTTTTAGGTCCTAATCTATTGTTGGTTTTATTAAGTATTCCTTAAGCCCTAGATTGTGGGCACATTATCATAAACACAATATTATTTGATTGACATACTACTCAGTAGGGTCCTCCCTTCTTGCTGAGCAGTGAGTGATCCAGTCTTAAAACCCCATCTCAGTCCCTGTTTTGTTGGGCCACTTCTGGTACCAACTGTATTATTCAGATGTCAGAAAGGGGTTAGAAGTGCAAAGATTCATTGGAAAGATGCCCATGAAAGATAAAGGGAAGAGAAATCTGGAGTAGACAGGAAAACTTTCAAACCATTTTGCAGACATTCCATGAAAGAAGAGGAGGAAGGAAGGGAGATTAGGAAGGAAGAGCCAGAGGCTGCACTGCAGCTCCGAGCTGGTGCAACAGGGGGACTTGGCATAAGGATCACTCATAGAAGAGTCCTGCCCTGGGCAGAACTGTCCAGACCCTAGGAGCCCCTCTGTGCTCAGTGATTGGCTGGCTGCAGCCCAGTGAGAGCATAACCTTGGCTCAAACACTAAAGTAGGCCTGAAGGTGCAGTGGCTGGAGGCTGTTGCCAGTTCTCAGAATTGCACCTCAACTGCCATAGCTACGACATACCACATGGCCACAACTATGATTTAACAAAATCCTCAAAGTCATATATTTGTATGTGAGTATATACATGCATAAAGTTTTAGAAATATACACACCAACGACTGAACAGAAGTTTACCTTCTAGGAATGGAGTAATATTCAAAGAATAGAAGAAGGAATTTTCACATTAAAAATATCTCTGTATTGATTTAATTTTTATAATAACCTGTTCTCATAATAATGATTTGTGTGATTAAACACAAATAAAAATATAAAATTAACCTCTTTATCCCATTTAATCTTTCTTCTTAACTTCTACTTTAATGGTAGTAACATTCCACCTTTGCTTTCTCTTATTTGCATTTACCTGATGTATCTTTACCAACTCTTTTAATCTTTCTGAGCTATTTTGACTTAGGTATCTCTCTTGTAATAACTCATTTAACATTGTAAATTCAACCTGAGATTTTTTGTCTTTGGAAAGGATTTTTGATCCATTTATTTTTATTGTTATAAGGAACACATTTGTGTTTACTGCTATCATGCTTTATGCTATAGCAGTTGGGTTCTTGTTTGCACACAACAGAAACCTAATATAACACGGGCAGAAAAACGAAGTACTAGAGGGATATCTAGAAGAGAAAATCAAGTTCTGAGAATAAATAGGAACTGTGGAAGGCAAGGCAGAGCAGAAATTATGCAAAAGGATGTGGCAGGACATTGTAGCTGATCCCTTGCAGCTGCCACCCCTCAACTCTGCTATTTCTTCTTACTTCCACTCTATGGCTGGACTCTTGATCTCACAGCAGCCAACCCCAAATAATCTCTGACTATAAGTATACTTTGTGCCACTCCTTCAACTTTCAAAGCCTCAGGTTGTAGCATCTAACTGCCTGAGCTAAGATTGAAGTCCAGGGCCAAATGCCAGGAAAATGATGATCTGCTCCTGTCAGCTTCCATTCTGGGAGTCAGAGACCTGCCAGATGCTGAGTACCCAGAAAAAACAAATATCCACCATGTACGCATTTGTCGCTCATGATGCCTTTTTTATTTTTTGGTATTTGGACTTCTTTTTTATTCTTTTATTCCTGTCATCTCCATTGTTTGAATGCAGTGGTACCATATTGAATTCTCTTAAATTTTAAAAATGTACTTTTTATATTTTATGGAATGTTTTAAGTAAACAGTGAAACATTATCTTTGGTATTCCAAATTTCATCTTTGGGTGACTAAAATTTAACCATTGCTTACTCTTTCCCCCTTCCCAATTCATTACAACATGCCTGTGGTCTTCTTATGGTCTTCTTTTTCCCTCCCCCACTTTCATCTCTTCATTCTTTGCCTCTAAATTAATATAGGAATAATATATCATACAGGAATAATTTGTTTCATCTAAATCATATAGGAATGATTTGTTCCATGTTTGGTATCCCACTAGATTGTCAAATTATGATTCCACTTTCCATAGTAAAGGTACTCCTCTTTACTAACTCCAAAGTACACACTAACTCTTCTAATCTATGTGTATATTTTATTTCCTCCAAATTCTTCCATATATCATTTATATTTCTTTTACCCATGTTATTTTAATTTCATCATGTCTTGAGTTTTGTTTATATTACTTAGAAGCACTGTCTTTTTGCATTCTATTAAAAATGTCAGATAATTTCTGGAATTTTTCTTCTAGCTCCAGTAGTACATCATTTTAAGAGGTATAAAAGCAGAGTGACAAAAATGATGGTTACACAAATTACTTGGATAAAGCAATGACCTAAGAAGTTTGCAATATATGATATATCTGTCTCTCTGGTTCCTAATAGACCCTGTTAGTACACATAAGAAAAGGATCTAGCTGGAATCAGCAGCAGGAAATTCCTTTGTAGCTGTACATACTGCTTTTTGTAATTTTCTGTTTATTCATTCATTTAACAAATATTTATTATTTACTTACTATGTGCTAGACTCTGTGCTAAGTGTTGGAGATACAGCAGTAAGCAAAATAGACATGAACCCTGTCCTTGTATAGCTGACAGTCTAGTGGAACACCAAAGATGAAACAAATTATTACTAGTATGGATGAGTGTTATGAAAGGAGACATTATAGGCCACCTTAGGGGGAAGGGGTCTCCCTAGACACTAAGGAAGTGAAGTCTAGTGGTCTAGTGTGTTTAAGTGAAAACTAGAAAATGAGTTGGTCTTAATTTTCTGTCTTGATGAAAAGATCTTTAAAACTATCTGCCTTATATGATTGCAGATTAAATAAATCATAAACCATTAGTTTTCTTTTACAAATGATTTAATATGCTTTTAATAGTTTTATCATATTTCTAACAGAAAAAAATGTGATCTTCTCTCCTCTCTACCCTACCTACCCCCTGCCTGGCCTCAGAGCTCTGCATGTGTTTACTAGCATATCTCTTTTTTGGTCTTCTGGATGATATTTTCCTTGTATCTTGGGCTCCTTATCAGACATTTTCTCTTACTCACCTTGAGCAAAGCAATATCTTCCAGACCCGATGTTTTCCTATAGGCAGGGTATGTGAACTATCTTGGCGTCCTTTGGATCCACTGGAGCAAGTCAGTGGACAGAGTGATGTTCATGATTCCGTCTAATTCCTAGCAACACAGGCTCTCCTGCTCCCATTTCCTGGTTTTTTGATGTGCTAAATAGGAAAAAAAAAATAGATCTCCTTGGTGTCTAGGTGACACCCCTGTTCCCAACAGTGGTCTATAATGTCTTCTTTCATAATAGCTGTTCATATAAGAATAATTTGTTTCATGTTTGGTATCCCACCAGACTGTCAGCTATACAAGGGCAGGGCCCATGTCTACTTTGCTTACTTGTGCACCCCCAATACTTACACAGAGCTTGGCACATAGTAAGTACATAATAAATATTTGTTAAATGCATGAATAAGTGGACAATTACAATAAGCAGTATGTACAGCTACGAACGTGTTTCCTTTTCTACTAGACCCTTTTCTTACATGCACTGATAGGATCTATTAGTAGCCAGAGAATGACAGATATGTCATATCTTGTGAACTTTCTAGGTCACCTCCATTTTGTGAGTATATCAGGGAAGACAAATTCTATAACAAACAATTCCAGAATCCTGGTGTTTTAACATAGTAAAAGATCATTTCTCATGCACATCACAATACAGTATGCACTGGTGTTGGAGAGTGAAGCAGGGTCCATGTCCTGGACAACCTACTCACAGAGGAACCTGGGCTTCTTCTATCTGTGTTTCCACCATCCTCTGTGTCTTTGGGACCATCTCCACTCAGTCTGAGAAGTGAGAGAGTATGGAGTATTGTGCTTGGGAGGTGGCCCTCATCTCTTGTGCTCATATTTTTTGGCCAGAACTCAGGCATGTTGCTACACCCAACTGTAAGGGAGGCTGTAAAATGCAGTGGCTCTGTGGGTCCATGAAGCAGAGGAGAGCACAGATGTTGGCAAGCACCAGCAGGCTCTGCCACAATGAGGCAGAGCTTCCATGTGATATGAAATGAAACCTGGGAATATTTTTTCTATCTCAATTCTGCTTGCCTCTTTGAAAGCAGAGATTCCCTCCAGATTCTGTCATTAAGTTTTCCATCAGTCTTAGTTTTCAGTGTCGTGATTTTCATCCTTATTGATGTTTCCATGAGTGTTTTAGTGAGGAAGTTGATAAAGGCTTCACTGAGAAATGTTAGCCAGGTGCAATTTTAAACGGGAAGGTCTCCTTGAATCCTTCCTAGTAGGTGTTTTGTTTTATGTTATTTTGTTTTGGTCCTAAATGAAAGATTATACATTTATATCTGTTAAGGTTCATTTTGTTAGAGTTAGACTCATTTCAGCCTGTCAAAATTTCTTTACATCCTGATATTATATCCTCTGCTTAGGAGGGCCTAGAATTTCCAGAGATAACACTGGAGTTTCTCCAGGAGGCAGCTGCCCACATAATCCAGATTATTTCTTTTGGGGCATCCAGAGATGAGAGGGCAAAGTGGGGAGGGCTGGTCTCTCTTTCATGACTTGGGGCTGGTTGACCAAAATATTTGTAGTAACTCTTCCATCTTGCAATTCAGCTGCCCACCACGATCTCCTGCTTTGGTTTTTCTGTTTGCTTGATGACTTTGTTAAAGGGGAGCAGAGAGAAAAGGAGCCTTGGGCAGGGAAACAGGCACAAAGAACCAGTCACTGTACCATTAAGGCCAGCCTGTGTGCCTTCCCTCTCTTTTGCCCTGGCCACAATAAGGATAGGTTGCTGGACTATACATCTCTGCTTAGATAGGGAAAGACTGTGGTCCCTGTCCTGGAGGTTCTGGTACATTTAAACAACAAGTACATTTAAATTGGGAGGCCAGTGGTGATGGTTAATTTTATGTGTCAACTTGGCTAGGCCACATGATATAGTCTGGATGTTTGATCCTCCAAATCTCATGTTGAAATGTGATCCCTAATGTTGGAGGTGGGGCCCAGTGGGAGGTGTTTTGGTCATGGGGGTGGATCCCTCATGAATGGCTTGGTGCCACCCTGTGGTAATGAGTGAGTTCTCACTCTATGAGTTCATGCAAGAGCCGGTTGTTTAAAAGTATGACACCTCCCTCCAGCCCTGCTTTGCTTCCTGTCTCTCTCACCATGTGACATGCTTGCTCCCCCTTCAAGCATGCTATGATTGAAAGCTTCCTGAGGTCCTCACTAGATACAGATGCTGGTGCCAGGCTTCTTGTACAGCCTGCAGAACCATGAGCCAAATAAACCTCTTTTTGTTGTAAATTACCCAGACTCAGGTGTTCCTTCATACTAATGCAAAACAGACTAATACATCACAGTATCCAGATATTTGGTCAAACACTAGTCTAGATGTTTCTGTGAAGGTATTTTTTAGATGAAATTACATTTAAATCAGCAGACTTTGAGTAAAGCAGATTACATGGGTAAGCCATGATGTGGGTGGGTTTCATCTAATCAGTTGAAGGCCTTAAGAGAAAAAAGACTGACCTTCCCCAATGAAGAGAGAATTCTGCCAGCTGACTGCCTTGTCCTTGAGCTGCAATGTCAACTCTTCCCTGGGTCTCCAGCCTGCTGGCTACCCTGAAGATTTTGGATTTGCCAGACTCCACATTCATGTGAACCAATTCTGTAAAACCACTCTCTTTCTCTCTCTCTCTTCATTTTCCAACCCGGTGGTTCTGATTCTCTGGAAAATGCTGACTAATACACTAGGCAACCACTTCCTCTCCTCTAAGAGACTTTCCCTTCTGGGAGACAAAAGCACCATCTCTAGAGGCCCCTCTTTCTTTTTCTTCCAACAGTTTTTCCTTAGAGCCACCCTATGATAGATTTTCCTCCTCTTCTTCCTCCTCCTCACCATCTGTGTTATCACCATCCCCATTTATAAAATTCTTAGTGTGTGCCAGATGTTGCAAGATATTTACATACATTGTGTAATTGATTCCTCACACTATCCTCATTCTACAGATGGGGAAATAGTGACCTATGGAGGAAGAATGACCTGTTCAAGGTCATGTACCTACTAAGCTAAAAAATAATTTTCAAACCTGGAATAACTAACACGAAAACACCTTGTGAGCAATCACCACATTGCGATATCTGTTAGAAATCTATTTGCACAGGTACTACATGAATCAAAATTTAACATACAATGACCTCCAGAAGCTCTGTCTACGCCAGGGCCAGTGTTTAGAAAGCACCAGAGACACAAAGAAGTTCATGTAGTCTGGGATAAGGAGTAGTCTATGGAATTGATCAGATGTGGGGTCAAATTCTGGCTCCATTACACTTACTATCGTATGAACTTGGGCAAGTTTCTTAACCTCTCTGTACCTCAGTTTCCTTATTAGTAAAATGGAAATAACACCTCTTCCTTCAATTTTTGGAGGATTAATTCAGAAAAAATATGCAAAAATACATGTTTTTAGTGATCAGCTGATAATAGCCTCTCAACAAACAAAAATGTTTATTTATTTATTTAAAAAAAGACAATTGAAGCATAAAAAACAAAAGCCAGAGGTGGAAAAATCTCAATGGCCAAAGCACAATGTCCATGGGAACTCTGTGCTTCTGTTTTAGAGGTTCGGAGTCAGTGACTCCCTCAATTACTTGCTACCAGAGAAAGATTTCCAGCAGTACTCAACTGAGTACCAAGGCAAGAGACAGTAGCAGCAGTCAGACCAGGTTGCTCTGACCCTTTGAGGGGAAGAAGTCTTGACACTCTATTGATTGTCATTTTGTCCCAGGGTCTTAAGTCACATGCTAGACAACCCTTTCCTTATCTCGTGCTTTATAGCTTTGACCCTCAATGGAAGGAGGGAAGGAAAGAAAATGCTCTGAAAATTTAGCATTGCTTCTATTCCTGCAAATCTTCAGGAAAAACTACAAGGACAGTCAAGGGGATGGCTGAATGACCTCTGAAGGACCTGGTTGCCTTTCTTTTGGTCTGATGAAGGGAAATAATGGTTATTGGCACTATCAGTGGCCCCAAGGAAGAATGTAAACAGCTTCATTAAAATCTCACCACCAATTCTATTCCACCATGGGGCTGCTAATGAAGGGGAAGAGTCATTTGCAAATCTGAGCCAATGTGAACTATTCACGTTCCCATTGGAGAAGATGCAAGTGGCTGGTATCACCTAGGTGGCCTTACAGAAAATCCAATCTCATAATCAAAGTCTCTGTAATTCAGTCTCAATTACTCCATGGTGCTCCACAGTGCCAGCCAGCTGCAAGAAAAGTCTTGCATTTGGTAAATTACCCATCTCTCTCCAAAGAGCCACACTAAAGTAATTTTACTCTGTTTTCCATATGCTGTCTCTTATTATTATTATTTTTTTCCTGAGAGATGCTTTCCAAATTGGACCACTTTTTCCTCCTGCAACCTTGAGGACCCCAGTCAGGACCCAAGGAAGGAAGCATTGCAGAAAGTTTCATGCTTGTTTATCAAGACCTTTGGACCTGAACAAGTGTCCCAGTAACTGAGATGTGGTAGGACTGGGTGTACTGTCCTTAGTCCCTGACCTATGAGTAGCCTCTTAAGTGTCTGTGTTACTGAATAGAAGGTTCTGATCATGAGTTTGTCCAGGTTCTTGGTGCATTCAACAAAGAATTGGACAGCACACACAAACCAGCAATGAAAGTAAATTTGCTGAAGTGAAAGGCAATAGAAGTGAATGCACAATCCACAGAATGGGAGTAGGCCTGAGCAAGAAGCTTGAGGGCCCTGGCAGGAAAGTTTTTTGGGGTTTGAATACCCTCTAGAGATTTCCCATTGGTTACACCCTATGTAAATGAAAGATTGAAGTGGAGGCTTGTTCCATGACTACTCAAAGGCTGAAGTGAATTGGCACCTTATGCAAATGAGGATTGGCCCGTGTGTGGCCTGCAGCCAATCAGAGGTACTTTTCCATTTTTCATCTACAATGCAGTGGAAAGGGGAGTTGCAAAGGGAATAGCCTCTAATCTTTTGTCACTTGGGTGTGGAGAGGTGGGGTTTTCCTTTTGATCCAGTTCTAGGAAGTCAGTGCAAATTGGTCTTAGGTTCCCTGCCTCCAGACTCTATTCTCCTGCCTCATCTGGAGAATCTGAAGTTTGGCTGGTCTCCTTGGGTTGGTGTTTGTTCTGAAAGGATAGGACCATAATTTTAGCCTCAATAGGCAATAAGACAAAACACCAAATGTGCTGTTTGTTTGTTTGTTTGTTGTTTTTTCAAAGGTATTGGGCAGCACCTAATCTATGAGTCAGGATCCTAAGAAAAACTTGAGATTTCCTTTTTCCTCTCAGCCTGGCTGGTTTCTCCTAAAGGTCAGGAGTATATGAGATCTACAGCTGAAGCCAGGATGCAAAAGAAGAAAAAAGACATAAGATGGACCAGGCCAAGTGTAGCTAGCAAATCTTAATGAGAAAAGAATGCAGTAAGGACTAAGAGATGCTGGCTGAGTTCCAGACCCAGTATTCTCATGTTGTGAGACCTCAGACCAGATTCTAAACTCTCTTATACTCAGTTTCTTTATCTGTAAAATGGGGGGGAAACTATACTTGCCTCACAGAGTTGTGAGGATAAAATGAGATGCACTTTATGAAATGTACTTTGTAAATGCTAACATGATTTACAAATATAAGTTATTTTTGGTTAAAATGAAATATTAGACCAAAGCTTTGTTTGCTACATTCCTCTCACTTTCCTTGATCCCAGCTGCTTAGGAAAAATCTCTTGGCCCTAAAGTCAAATGTCAGAAAAGGTCCCCACTGTGCTTTGTGAATTGCAAAATAAATCCTTCCTCAAGTAAAAGAGGCCTGTTATTTTTTTCCTCTCTGCATAGACAGCAGTGATAAGTCAAATTAATAGGTTTATGATGCTTTTGTAGTTTCAAAATCTGCTTTCAATATGCTTCCTTACATGTGCCTCACAATGATACTTGGGGGATGCTTCAGTGTGGATGTATGCCCATTTGGTACACAAAGATACTGTATCAGTCTGGGTTCTCCAGAGAAACAGAACCAACAGGAGATATACGTATATTATACACACGCATACCTTATTTTATTACACTTTGCTTTTTTGCACTTCACAGGTATTGTGTGTTTTACAAATTGAAGGTTTACAGCAACCCTGCATTGAGCAAGTCTACTAGTGTTGTTTTCCCAATAGCATGTGCTCACTTTTTGTCTCAGTGTCACATTTGGATAATTCTTGCAATGTTTCAAACTTTTGATTAGGATTATGTCTGTTATGATGATTTGTGATCAGTGATCTTTGATGGTACTATTGTAATTGTTTGAGGGCACCATGAACCACACCCATAGAAGATGGTGAACTTGATAAATGTTGTGTGTGCTCTGACTGCCTCACTAACCAGCTGTTTCCCTGTCTCTTTCCCTCTCCTTGGGCCTCCCTATTCTTTGAGACACAGCAGTATTGAATTCAAGCCAACTAATAACCCTACAATGGCCTGTAAGTGTTCAGTGCAGGAAAGAGTCTCAAATCTCTCACTTGAAATCAAAAGCTAGAAATGATTAAGCTTGGGGAGGAAGGCATGTCGCAAGCTGAGACAGGCTGAAAACAAGGCCTCGTGCCAAACAGTAAGCCAAGCAGTGAATGCAAAAGAAAAGTCCTTGAAGAAAATTAAAAGTGCTACTCCAGAGAACACAGAAATGATAAGAAAGCCAAACAGCCTTATTGCTGATATGGAGAAAGTTTAGTGGTACACATCGATCAAATCAGCAAAATCATTCCTGTTAGCCAAAGCTAAATACAGAGCAAATCCCTAAGTCTCTTCCAGTCTATGAAGGCTGTGAGAGGTGAGGAAGCCGCAGTAGAAACTTTTGAAGCTAGTAGATGTTGGTTCATGAGGTTTAAATAAAGAAACCATCTCTATAACATAAAAGTGCAAGGTAGGGAAGCAAGCGCTGATGTAGAAGCTGCATCAAGTTATCCTGAAGATCTAGCTAAGATAATTGTGGAAAATGGCTACACTAAACAACAGATCTTCAATGTAGACAAAACAACCTTATATTGGGAAAAGATACCATCTAGGACTTTCGTAGCTAGAGAGGAGAAATCCATACCTGGCTTCAAAATTTTAAAAGGCAGGCTGAATCTCTTGCTAGGAACTAACGCACCTGATTACTTTAAGTTGAAGCTAATGCTCGTCTATCATTCAAAAATCCCAGGGCCCTAGGAGACTTCTGATTCCAAAATTGTGGCATAGAAAGAAGCTGGCATCACTCTCCCAACCAGAAACCAAAAACAAATATACAGTGTTGCATTTATCACCAGTGATATCCCAGAACTCAAATATGAAGATAAGATAGTTTCTGGGGCTAGAAAGAAGTGAAAAAACTTGAAGTAGACAGTAAGAGAATTGGACTGCCACATCTGTGATGCCTCTCCCCACATTCTTCCCTGCACCAAATGTATGAAAATTACCCCCACCCAAATTACTCTATACTAGAAAAACTGAGATAGAGGTGGACAACAAGCTTCCCTATTATCTTGGATTTCCTGAAAGGAGATTTATCCCTGCCTTAACCCATGGGAAACATTGTGAGTGCCTGAAGGGAGAAATATCCCTGAGGACAGGCAGAAACAAAGGAGGGAGATGGGACTACCACCCTCAGTCACGGAGGCTCTGCTCTGTAACACAGCCAAAGGAGATGCCAAATAAGAGTTGCTGTTGAGCAGCACCATGCAGTAGGAGGTTTATCACACAGGTCCCCTAGCCAGCCTTCCCACATGGCCAGGACAACCCCTTTGGGACCTCCCCCATTCAGGAAGGTCAGTGCTCTGATCATTTACTAGAGCCAAGGCGAATCCGGGCTTAAGGCACCACCTTAGAACCAAAAGGGAGGCAGTGACCTAGTGGTAAAGAACCTCTAAGCAAATATATCCAATGAAAAACAGAACAACCCAGATAAAGCCAAGACTAGAATAAGTAACTAATTCTTCAGTGCAAAGACATAGACATACATCCACAAGAAACAGCAGCAAACAGGGAACCATGAGCTCCCTAACTGGACAAAACAAGGGACCAGCAACTGATTCTAATGAGATGGTGATATGTGAGGTCTCTGAGCAAGAATTCAAAAGAGCAGCTTTAAGGAAACTCAGTGATCTCCAAGATATCACAGAAAAGCAATTCAGAAATTTAACAGGGAAATTTAACAAAGAGATTGAAACAATAATTAATAAAAACCAGAAACCTTGGAACTGAGAAATATATTTGCTGAACTGAAAAATTTATTCGAGGCTCTCAAAAGCAGAATAGATCAAGCAGAGTAAGGAATTAGTGAATTCAAAGACAAGAGGGATAGCATTTGGAGATATACCTAATGTTAAATGATGAGTTACTGGGTGCAGCACACCAACATGGCACATGTATACATATGTAACTAACTTGCACGTTGTGCACATGTACCCTAAAATTTAAAGTATAATAAAAAATGAAAGAAAATACACAGTCTGAGGAGAAAATTACATGTAAGATACAGAAAATTATCTCAAAATACTAAGTCTAAGAATCACTGGTGTTCAAGAGGGAGTTGAGCAAGAGCAAGGGGTAGATTATTCAAAGAAATATTAACAGAAAACTTTTCAAAACTTGAGAAAGATATAAATATCCAGGTACAGGAAGGCCAGAGAACACCAAACAGATTTGACCCAAATAAGACTGCCCTAAGGCATATAATGATCAAACTCTCACAGGTCAAGGACAAAGAGAGAGTTCTAAAAGCAGAAAGAGAAAAGAAGTAAATAATACATAAAGAAGCTTCAGTTGGTCTGGTGACAGACTTCTAAACAGAAATCATGCAGGCCAGGAGGGAGTGGAACTATATTTCCAAAGTGCTGAAAGAAAAAAAAGAGCTGTCATCAAAAAATATTGTATCCAGCCAAGTTATCATTCAAATTTGAAGGAAAGATAAAGTATTTCCCAGATAAACAAAAGCTGAGACACTTCCCAACCATCAGAACTATCTTACAAGAAATGCTAAAGGGAGTTCCCCAGTTTGAAAGAAAAAAACCACTAATGTGCAAAAAAAGCATAAAACCCACTGGTAAAATGAAGACTATGGACAAGCCCAGAAAGTTTTAATTCTCTAATTATGGTGTGCAATCAACTCATAACTTCAGTATGAATCCCAAAACACAAATCTATCAAAAACATTAATAGCTACTACAACCTGTCAAGAAATAGGTAATATAAAAATGTGTAAATTGAGACAACTGAAAGTCAAAATGTGGCATAGGGTTGGGGTTAAAGTGTAGAAGTTTTCACTTTTTATTTTTTCTTTGTTTCTATTCTTTTATTTGTGATGTACGATAAGTTGTCATCTCTTTAAATTAACTTGTTTTATCCATAAGATGGTTTTTGTAAACCTCTTGGAAATCATAACACAAAGACCTACAATAGAGGCATTAAAAATAAAAACAGGAATGAATTTAAAAATCCTAGAGCCCTTAAGAATTTGCCAAGTCTACTCTGTCTGTGCTCTATAAATGGAACAACAAAGCATGAGTGATAGCACATCTATTTATAGCATGATTTACTGAATATTTTCAGCTCACAGTTGAGACCTACTGCTCAGAAAAAAAGATTCCTTTCAAAATATTACTGCTCATTGACAATATATCTAGTCATCCAAGATCTCTGATGGAGATCTACAAGAAAATGAATGTTGTTTTCATGCCTGGTGTGATATTGTGAAATATATATTTGGCCTTCCTCCCTGTTTCCTGACATACAACTTCTAAAATCCTTGGAATCTCCAAAGTGATGTCTTTATGTATGCTAATGATTGACAGCTAACTTCAGGATAGGGCTGGTCACTAGGAAGACAAAGGCATTAATAAAGCATTCAGCCCCACTCCCCAACCTCTGGGGAAGGGCATAGGGGCTGAAGGTCAAGTTGATCATCAATGATCAATGGTTTAATCAATCAGACCTACATAATAAAGACTTCGTAAAAACCCAAAAGAACAGGGTCCTGGAGAGCTCCCAGATAGGTGGACTCATGGAGGCTTCCGAAAAGTAGCACACCCAGAGAGTGCATGGAAGCTCTGTGCCCCTTCTCATATGCCTCATCCTAGGCATCTCTTCGTCTGTATTTTTTGCAATGTTCTTTACAATAAACTGATAAATATGAGTGTTCCCCTGAGTGCTGTGAGACACTCCAGTAAAATTAACCAAACCCAAAGAGGAGATTGTGGGAACTCCAATTTGATGCCAGTGAGTGAGAAGTTTGGGAGGTGTGGACTTGTGATTGGTGTCGGGAGCAGGGGAAGTTTTGGGGACTGAGCCCCAAACCTGTGGGATCTGACACTAACTTCAGGTAGATAGTGCTGGAATTGAATTGGAGAACACCCTGTGGGTGTCTGCTGCAGAACTGATTAGTCATTTGGTGGTAGGGAGAAACCCCCTACAAATTTTGTCACAGAAGTCTTCCTTTTTGTTGATGATTGTTATATTGAGAGAATAGGAAAAAAGCACTTTTGAGTGTATTTGAGATTTTCCCAATGCCTGCTAACACAACATCCATCCTGCAGCCCACAGATCAAGCAGTCATTTTGACTTTCAAGTGTTGTTATTTCAGAAAACATTTCATAAGGCTGCCAACAGTGATTTCTCTGAAGGATCTGGGCAAAATAAATTGACAGGCTTCTAGAATGGATTCACCATTCTAGATTTAAGGACATTCGTGATTCACAGGAGAAGGTCAAAATGTCAACCTTAATAGGAATTTGAAAGAAGTTGATTCCAATGCTCATGGATGACTTTGAGGAAGGAAGACTTTAGTGGAGGAAATAACTGCAGATATGGTAGAAATAGCAAGAGAACTAGAATGAGAAGTGGAGTCTGAAGATGTGACTGAGTTGCTGCAATCTCATGATCAAATGTGAATAGATAAGGAGCTGCTTCTTAGGGATGAGCAAAGAAATTTGTTTCTTGATGTGGAATCTACTTCTGGTGAAGATGATGTAACATTGTTGAAATGACAACAAAGGGTTTAGAATATTACATAAACTTAGTTGATAAAGCAGTGGCAGTTTTCGAAAGGAGTGACATCATTTTTCAAAAGATTCTGTGGGAAAAATGCTATCAAACAGCATCCCATGGTATAGAGAAATCTTTTGTGAAAGGAAGTTAATTGATGCAGAAAACTTCATTGTTGCCTTTTCTTAAGAAATTGCCACAGTTATTCCAATCTTCAGCAACCACCACCCTGATCAGTCAGCAGCCATCAACACTGAGGCAAGACACTCTGTCAGCAAAAAGATTATGACTTAGTGAAAGCTCAGGTATCATTAGTATTTTTTAGCAATAAAGTATTTTTAAACTGAGGTATGTACATTTTTTAGATATAATGTTATTGCACACTTAATAGTGTAAACATAACTTTTATATGCACTGGAAAACCAAAAAGTTCATGTGATTCACTCTATTGCAATATTTGCTTTATTTTGGTGGTCTGGAGCAGAACAGACAATATCTCTGAGATACACCTGTACATAATATATGTATATATTATATATATTATATAATACTATGTATTCTATATAGCATATAATATATAATATGTATAATACATTCTATCATATATTATATATTATATATACATATATCTATATAGATCTATATCTATATATACTCTATATAATATATAGAATTATATAATATATATTATACATATACATATACTGTTATATATATGTCCTTCTGGAGATATATATGTATATATAATATATGATAGAAAGTATTATACATATTATATAATATTTTATGTATATATTATGTATACAATAATATGGTATATATATGTATTATATACACATAACTCTTTTTGAAGATATATGTAATATTATATATTACAATATATTATATATGTAATAATATATTATATAATATATTATATATTATATGTTATATTATATATTAGATAATATATTATATATTATATGTTATATATTATATGTTATAATATATATTAATATATTATCTAATATATAATATATAATATATTATTGCATATATAATTATATATTATAATCTATAATATATTATTGCATATATAATTATATATTATAATATATAATATATTATTGCATATATAATTATATATTATAATATATAATATATTATTGCATATATAATTATATATTATAATATATATAATAAAATATAATATAAAATATAAAAATAAATATAAAATATAATATAAAATATATATTATATATTATATATTATTACATATATAATTATATATTATAATATATAATAAAATATAAATATTTTATTGAAATAGAATATAATATAAAATATATAGTCATATATATTATATATTATATGTTATATGTTATATTATATGTTATAATCTAATATATTATAATCTAATGTAATCTAATATTCTATATTACATATATCTTCAAAAGGAGATATGTGAATATAATATACTATGTATTATATAGTATATAATTTTTTATTATATAATAATGATATGTAATGTATAATATGTAATATATTATATAATATTGGATTATACAATATAGTATATAATGTGTTATATAATATTTTATATAATCTAATATCATATATTATATAATCTAATATTATATTGTATATTATATAACATATTATATACTACATTATATAATATAGTATATAATCTAATAGTATATAATATATAATCCAATAATATATTATATATTATATAATGTGCTATATATTATATAATCTAATATTATATATAATATAATACATTATGTTACATAGATAACATATATTACATATGCAATGTATCTATAACACTGTTATATATACATAATAGAATATATATATTTATGTATTTATGGATATATTTTTATATATTTATGCATATATTTACATGCACACACACACTTTCTGTGTATGTATATATCTATATATCTATATATCTATATATATCTATCTCCTGTTGGTTCTGTTTATTGGTTCTTCACCCACACAAAGATACAGAAAGAGAGAGAGAGGTTTATTATAAGGAATTGGCTTACACCATTATGGAGGCTCAAAAGTCCAGAATCTGCAGTTGGCAAGCTGGAAACCCAGGATACCTAATGGTATAGCCCAGTCCAAGTCTGAAGATGTGAGAACCAGGAGAGCTGATGTAAGTTCCAGTCCAAGTCTGAGTTGGAAGGCAGAACACAATTGATGGCCTAGCTCAAAGACAGTCAGGTAGAGAGTGAATTCCCTCTTACTCCACCTTTTGTGAATTCTCTCTTAGCTTTTTGTTCTACTGAGAACTATAATGGATTGAATGAGGCCCACCAGTTGTGGGGAGGGCAATCTTTTTTCCTCAGTCTGTCAATTCAAGTGTTAATCTCATCCAGAAATACCTTCACAGACACATTTAAAATAATGTTTAATTAAATATCTGAACATCCTGTACCTCAGTCAAGTTGATACATAAAATTAATCATGACAGATAATGAGGCTCAGAATCATGCGGCATTTAAGTGGTAGATCCAGGACCTGAGTCAAGTTTTCTTACCACAAATCCCTATTTTCCCAGTTACTGTCACCCACAGTAAATTGCCTCCCTGTGATCATGCCTAGGTTGTTGGTCAGAAGGGACTCAGATGAGAAAGTATGGAATAATTTGCATAAATCAGTCCTAACGTATTAGGAAAACCTGCCATCCTGAGGGAGAATCAGCCGCGTAGCTTAGAAGTTATCCTAAAGTTATGCCAAAGGGTGAACTCAGACTCTGCTCTCAGGGAACTCACATATAATACACAAGATGAAATTCTAGTCAACAAGGATTTCCATAAAATGTGGTCTGAAATTGTGTTTCTTAGGGGTGGTGATGATCATGATAGGGCTGAAGGAGCTATGTCAATCCAGGAGCCTTCCTGGAGAAGGTAACCCTGGAAATTTAAGAAGGAGAGTAGGTGGAGTGACAATCACTCTGTAAATCAGAATTACCAGGATCAAAATAATGGACTGGAGAGGAGACAAGAGCGTGTTTACCTGCTATACTGCCTATGGATTTTCCTGTCCCACTCTATTTGCAACATAAACTTGAAATAGACTCAATAACTATAAGCTAATAGTTACATCTTGTGCTATTACATAATGTGCTTGCAAAGCATTTTGATTTCTATTATTTTTAAGTATATTTCTCACAGAAGTTTTGTCAAGTAGTGTCTTCATCTGGGTTTCCCAGAAAGCAGAGAATGAGATAAAGTTTATGCAACACTAATTTATTAGGGAATGCAAGCTCAGGGAGCAGGAGTAAGGGAAAATGAGCTCAAAGCAAGGAAAGTGCATAGTATATGGAGGCATTATTTAGCTGGTTGCTGTGACTGCGACTAATTGCTTGATTTTATGGTGCAGCTCTCAGAGAAACTGTGTAAATTACATCTCACCCTAGTCCATATGGGATAAAACAGGGGAAAAAATTTATCCACTGACTACCTTCTCTCACTAGTCAAGGGTTGGCTTTTTGGAGGCCATTAAACTTTTGGGCTTCAAGTATATGGGAGCCAAACAGGACCCTATAGCATGCTAAGCCTTAGGGACAACAGGAAAAACCCATGACAAGAGGCAAAATGCTCTAGGTGCAGGCATAAGTTGAGGTACTGAAAAGTTGTATTTACTTGAAGTCAGTCAACACTCAAGCAGAGATGGTTAACACAGTGATGACTGAAACTAGAGACAGGAGACAAGTTCTAAGAGAATCAAGTGGTATACAAAAGGTGCCTGCTACAGTCCACCCCTTGCACTACTCAAATATTCTTGTTCTCTCAAGTATGTCTGGTTCCCATTTTACAATATGGAGCTTCCATTTTTGTGATAACAAAATGGACTCAATTCTTCTCAGAGAAATCAGATACAAATACAATTGACCAAAGAGTCTTTTTCAAATTGGTGGCCATGTGCAACCTCTTAAAAATGAAAAGCAAGAGGGTTAGAGAAATAAGATACAATCCCTATAGCTAGCTATAGTTACAAACTGTAATTGATACTCATATCTCTCTCTTGCCGTATCTATTCTATCCAGACTTCTCTCAAATTTGGCCAACACTTCTGTTGGTCTGGACTGCTTGCCAGTTGAGGTAAGCCAGGATTTCATCCCCACAAAGTCTGAGCTGTTGTAGAGTTATGATTGCTGAAGCTGCCAATTTATTGTTATTACTCAGAAACATTAGAGATTTCCTAGTAAAATATTTTGAGTTTCCAACATATTTTCTGCCACCACCATCACCTCCTGCCCCTACAAGTAGAAGCAACTCTAGCTTCTCTTGGTAGGATTTACTTGTGATTACTCTCACAAGTTCAGGAATCCTATTATTTGTCTGCTGGTCCTTTGGCATAAGGATTTCAAAGTGAGTAAGTGGCAAAAATAATTTCAAGTTAATTGTAGCCCTTGTCATGTTCCTGAATGGAATCATACTCTACTGACACTTGAGAGAGAAAATCTCTAACTTGGTAGAACCTAGGACTACAGCATGGTTCACTGAGAATGGGGTTGTGAGGGTTAATCCTTTTTCCATCTCTTGGTTCCTGGATCCATGTATTCCAGCCTATTAGATTACAGGTCTATCTAGTGGCCTTTGATTTGACACACAGACCACATCCTGGAAGAGAGTGCTCCAAACTTGCAATTATTATCACCAAGCTGGAATTTTAGATGAGCCTTTAACAGGTTATTCCATCATTCTACGAGACTAGCATCTTTCCAGGTGGAGATGATGGGTAAGAGCAATAAATCCCATGGTCATATGCCCATTGTTACATCTCTTTTGTTGTAAAGTAAGTCCTTTGGTTTTATATGATGCCGCATGGGTTAATATATTGGTAAGTTAATATATTGATAAGTCAATTCCTTCTGAATAACCAGCACCGAGAGCTTATATAGAATTCAGAAGGAATTGACCAACAATAATGGTTTCCTGCCCCTCCAGAATGGCAAGAGTCCAATACAATTAATCCATAATCAAGTGTTTGCCTAATCTCTTTGAGGAATAGTAGCATATCAAGGGATCAGCACAGTGGCAGTCTACAGATCAGTCTTGGTGAATGGGAACCCATGACATCTATCCCTGCCACCATGTTCACTTTGTTAATTGGCTCATTGTACCAGGACTGGAGTGGCAGAAGAGAGGCTTGAGGACAATTACATGATGTAGCACCCATTTACCCAGTTGTGGATCGCCTTCTCTCTGGTGAATTTTCTTTGGAGGGTGTTAACTCAGACACAAAGATCTGCATACTTTATTCCCATTCCTTAGGCCTTCATCTCCCAGTTTTCTGATGTTACTCCTTTTCAACCCCAGAGTAATCAGATAAACCATTCACTAATGCCAAAGAGTCTGTGTGTCTACATGGATGGATAGAGATATATATGAAGAGGGGGGTGGGCGGAGATTTCAGGCCACTTTTCCTTCCATTCAAATGGATGAACAAGTGTGTTGCTCCTAGATCTGTCCTCTAGGATGATTTCTCTTCCCTGTCACATTTAGGGTCACCCCTGAAAGGGACTGCATTGTGGCATCAGTTCAGCAGTTCATTTTCAGTTAGCACCAATATATTCTGCTGAGTCATCTGTGAATCTGGCCTGAGTTTTTCTTCTTCCATCAGTTGGTCATGGGGAAACCCTCATGAGGCCATAGGTTTGCATGGAAGGATAGACATCAATGCAGCATACATTAATGACATGGAACTCTGGACCACATATCTATGTGATTTATTAATGCCTTTCGAGCCTAATTCAGTCTGATTCCAAAAATATAATTTCTTTGAGACAGTTGATTGTTGCTGTTCACTCAACTTTATGACTTGGTGGATCTGAAAATTTTCAGCTCATGATGGGTAGTTCAAGTCACATGATCACTTGGTATCCCATGGTCAGGCATTTAGTTTCTGCTAGGGAGTCGAGTAGCATACCAGGAGCTGTCTTTCAAATGGAAAGTAGTTCTTGTTGTAGAAGTTATAGTCTTTTTCCGGAACATTAGGTGCAATCTTATCCACCATGGGTAACTCAAACACCATCGAATATGGTGAGTCATATATCCCCAGTGGCAGGTAGATTATCCTGCTACTGGACTACTGCAGAGCTCTCTTTTGTTCTTGGCCCTATTTGAAACTGGCAGTCTTCTGAGTCATTAACATTTTGGTCAGAGCAATATTTCCTGGTGTGGTAAATTCTATCCCAAAATACAAAGTCTACCAGCATTGTGCCTTTTTCTCAATGGGAGAAGGTACAAAGTGCAGCAACTTGACCTTTTCCTTAGAGATAATGTTCTTGTGTGCCCCAAGCCACAGGACCCCTAAAACTTTACCAATGCATCAGACTTCTGAACATTCCTATGTTTTATCTCTCATCCTTTGATATGCATGTATCTTACGAGGGCGTCTAGAATGCTTGCCACTCCCTGCTCACTGAGTTCAGTTAGAAAGATATCATTAATAGCAGACCATAATGATAAGCTGTGGAATTCTAAGATGATCAAAATCCATGTGAACTATATTGTGACGGAGAGAGGGAAGGTTAACAAAGATCTAGAGAAAGATAATGAATGTATACTGCTGTTTCTGTCATATGCAGGTAACTACTTTTGATTCTCTTATCGATGGGGATTGAGAAATATGCATTTGCCAGCTCAGTGGCTGCATACCAGAGGCTGAGTTAGTTTGTCTTAATGAAGATATCACATCCAGCATAACTATGGTTGGGACTACCACTTCCTTAAGTTTATGTTAGTCCAGCATGAAATGAATCTTAATTCCTGGCTTGTCTGTTTGTTGGTTTTGCAGAGACCACACAGGTAAATTAAATGAAGATATAATCAGACCGTCACCCTTACATTTTTTAAGCCTTTGATAATCGTACTGACCTCTGCAATTTCTCCTGGGTTGTGCTTCTGAGTACTATTTTGGTCAGTGCAGAAAGTGGGGAGTTGATCAACTTCAGAGGATATCCACTTGGCTATCACTATCATACTGACCCTTACTTCACAGGTTAGAGGACCGATGTGAGGATTCTGCCAGCTATATCTATCCCAAATATATACTTGGAGACCAGGATATAATGGTAGAATGTGTCTGCAGACTCATTGAACCCATTGTAAGATGGATTAGAGCTAGGATTCTATTTACTACCTGGCCTCCATAAACTCCTTCTCTAACTTTAGGACTTTCAGGTCCCTTGGTCAGAACTTATATTACAAGGTGACAATTCTTAAAGTTATTGAAAAGTCAAGATATTCTCCTGGTTTTACACTGGCAAATGGCCACATGTCCCCATTGGGAAGGATCAGAAGAATATTTACCATTTATACTT
The DNA here is from genome assembly GCF_000001405.40 of Homo sapiens. Taxonomy (NCBI): domain Eukaryota; kingdom Metazoa; phylum Chordata; class Mammalia; order Primates; family Hominidae; genus Homo; species Homo sapiens. The sequence goes on along the minus strand of NC_000001.11, from coordinate 112,098,432 downwards.
GCAGTTGCATTGCAGGGTCCTTCCTAGAAGAAACTCTGTCTTCTCTCCAATCACTGGGTTCGAAGTCTATGTACTTCCTTAGATCAAGAAAATAAATGAGGGACTATGACTTTCCATTTTGATGGCTAAATTACTTTTTCTTTTTTATATACACAAGTCAAGAAACACCCTACATGACAGGATCATGTAGTATGCTGGAGCCAGTCTAGTGAACTGTGCATATCTCCTCAACTCAATGTCTAGTGAAGTCAGATTCGTACCTTTAAAAATGGTCATGATGAAAGTATTTACATCATGGAAACTGGCAAATGCTATAAATAAGGGTTGTCTTTCTTTTTTTCCAAAAGCTGGTTGTATCAAACCAGCTTTTTTTTCCAGAAGCTGGTTGTATCAAACTTATTGATACTAGGAATCCGAGTTACTTGGCAGCATCTCCCATCAGCAATTTTAACTTACTATTAAAAAAAGCAAAAGCTGTCCCTAAGCTTCTCAAAGACATGGTCAGGTGGTAGGTTCTCAGGTCTTGTATAGTACCTTGTTTCTAATATTCCTGCTTTCTTGAGCCCTGTGATCTCTCCTTCAATACCATACCAAAGAATTACCAAAATCTTCACCTAATTTACTATAGGCCATTATCTGTCCAAGGTTTAAGGAGTCACCCAAATAGATTATAAGAAGAAGCTGTAAGTATCCTTGCCAGGATATAGGTGAGATCTCCCATATTAAAAATATTTCCTATTTTACACTTATTCCTCCATTTGACTCCTTTTGACAAAGATTCATTTTGAGGGATATCAGAAGATTTTGAAGAGAATAGTCATTATCTCATAAAGCACCTACCTCAGGTGAAGTCATTACATGGTCTCCAGGCAAGAGAAGGATGTTCTTCCCTGTCAAGGGAGAAGGAACTGCTTTTACCAACTTTCAACGTTCAAGGGAATCTAAAAGTTCTCAGGCTTGTCCACCCATATGCCCCATTCTTGGTTTCACAAGCCCTCTCTTTTCCTATCCAAGCCTTGACTCAAACATAAGAGAGGGAAGGTTGTGCATATACTCTCTTGGAAGTTATAGCACCCTTACAATTAGACCGTGGGCTTGATTTTCAGCACTGTGTGTTCTGCAGCTTCAGGAGATGAGTCTCCTTAAAGCTGTCATAGAGAGCTTCTGGTTTTCACACTGTGCCTTGAGTTGGCAGTTAGTTTTCCTTAACTTATCATTTTCTTTAGTAAAGTCTTCCAATGCAGTTAACAAAGTCTAGCTCACTCCATATAATTTCAATGCTTCCATATTTTTCAAGTACCACAGCCATCACACATTTCAATAGTTCATCCTACACTTTCTCCAATTAACATCAGGTAAAAATTTAGTATTTTTATATCACTGTATGCCAGAATTATTACTACCCTTTTCACCAATAGCAATGAGGTACTTCTTGCCATCAGATTCTGGGTAATTCATCTCCAAAATCCCACCTTGAGATTTTACTTTCCAGGGCCATTCTTGATACCAACTGTCTTATCCTGGGTTCCCCAGAGTACAAGACTGCCAAAAAGACTTATGTGCTTTTACTTTATTAGGGAGTTCCATCCCAGGGAACAAGAATGATATCAAGAGGGTGAAGCAGGGACAAATTATGAGGATGTTTTATCAACTAGCAGCTGCTAACTGTGACGATTACTTGACTTCACAGGATAGTCCTCCGAGAAGTCATTTAAACTGCATCTTAGCAAGATTGTTTCAGGCAGAGAACTGAGGAACAATTTGCCGATTAATTTCGTTATGTAATGGTCAAAGATTTACCCCCAATTACACCCCGCCCACTTCCTGCCTCTCAGTCCTTTGTCTCTTCCAAAACTCAGAACGAAGTTTCTGTGTTTCATGTAAGTAGGTACCAAGCAGGGGCCAGAAATGTTCCATGCCTCAGTGTCAACAAGAAAGCCTTGAAGGAGGCAAGAGTTATGCAGCAAGGGCATGAGATAAAGCACTATCAGCCCGTGCCTATGTAAAGTCAGCTGGAACCCACATAAAGCTGGAAACCTCAGTAGCAGGTGAGGCAAGATATCGATGACTCCAAGAGAACCTGAAGTAGTGCATACGAATGTCTGACACAAGTAGGAAGACTAGACTGTAAGCTCCTTGAGGGTAGGAGCCACATCTTATTTATCTTGGAATCCCTAACATGATTCTTGGCACATAATTCTATTGATCAATAAATATCTGTTAATTTCAATTGGATGAGTGGTGTTAGGCTCAGAAATTGATACCCCAAAATATGGTGCTTAACTGAAGAAGATTAACATGCTTAACTGAAGAAGAAGCCTCAGTATCTCTCTGACACTTACATTTCCCACCTGCCCCCATTTTCTGTCTCTCAGCCTTTTGTCTCTCCCAAATCACAGGATGAGGTTGTTTCCTGAAGGTTCTTTATCTGCCTAAACTTGGGACCCACCAAAGAAGAAAACAATTATGTCTGGTCCCTTTCCTGAATTTTCAGTAACTGAACTCATAATACAGGAAGAAAGACTGAAGTCTATCAACAAATCTGGACAGACTTTTATCACAACAATTGTCTGGTCTGTGGGTCCAACAGACTTTGTCCCAATTCCATTGAATTCCCCTAAAAATCATTTACTATTCCTCTAAAATCATTTACACTTCCCCATTTCTCTTTCCCCTAAGAAGATGGTTATCTGTACCATCTTCATGTGTGGTGGGGTAATAACTCTGTGATTTCCCCTGTGAACACTAATAAATTTGTGTGCCATTTTTCCTATTAATCTGCCTTTTGTCAGTTGATTTTTCAGTGAACCTTCAGAAGTCAGACGGGAAGTTTTCCCTTGGCCCCTATAATTATTATTTTTTTCTTTTTACAGATGTAGAAACCAAGGCTCAGATGGGATAACCGACTTTTCCAAGTCCAACAGACAGTAAGGAAAGGAATGGCGAGATCAACTCAGATCTTCTCTTAGCCATGCTGAGGGTAATCGCCTTGCAATTACCTCTTCAATGGATATTCCTTGCAAGAATTAAAACTCTATTAGGCTTTTTCCAAGATAGCTCCTTCCAGAACTCAGTTCATCCAGGTCAAAAAAGCACTGGAAGGTAAATTGGCAACCACTCATCATATCACATGATGTTTTCCAAAATGTAAGACTGTCCCAATCAAAGGAGCTGGTAGCAAACATAATGAACGTCAGCTGAGACTCTATAAACCAAAAAAGCCCTGGGTTGACTGTGTTCATGTGACTTCAAAAGAGGGTAATCTGCAGGGGGTGTTCCTGCAGGGCCTACTTTGCACCCTTTGCTACCCTTTAGATACCATTTGACCTCATTTTCCTCTCTGTGTGATGGCCAAACCACAGGCTCCCTCTTCTATCTGGCCCCATGAGCATTAATCAACTTCAACCTTCCCCAAGACCTGGCAGGAGAGATGCAGTACCTACTTCTTAATAAACTCAAACTGTCATTGAAGATGAAAGATGAGACTGCAAAACTTCGAGCATCCCAACTCCCCAGCTTGCCAAGTGCTGGGAATCCGGAGGGGAGTGCCCTCGAGGACAGGTCTCTGTGGATGGTGCAGAAAAGTCAGCTAGCTGCCTTCTCTTTTTTCCCTTCTCTTTCTTCCCCTAAATGCTCCCTCAGTGATACCACTGTGTCTGCAGTAAAGAGAGACTGTCTAGCTGTTTCTTTTTCAGCAAGACAATTTGGTGTGTGGTCTGTGGTGCCCACACATTCTTCTTTGCAATGAGTGGTGGGTGAACAGTGTTTTCCAAGTTGGATGTTACAGTACCATAAGTAGAAACAGATCTCCCGGAGCTCCGAACACTTTTTCTGCCTGAGTTGGGAGGATCAGCAGGCTCCTGTGTAGATGGCCCAGCAGATTCCTTGGGAGCAGCTTTGCAGCATTTCCCCACTCACTGGCCCTCACCAATCATAATGAAAGCTCAATTAGGTGGTGGACTTCCACTTTTGTAACTGCCAGGTTAGTTATAGCATTACACGTTCATGCAAGATGAAGCTGAGATATTTGGAATCGGTACATGTAACTATTTAAATGACCGGGATGCTAACTGCTCTCTACACATTCCCACCCCCAAACCCCTTTCACCAAGCAGCTGGTACTAAGTACTGTTTACAGAGAGTTTTCAAAAGGCAAGTCACTGTGCTAAGCATTTTACAGATATTATTTCATTTCACCTTCACAACAATCCTATTTGATAGATTTTTTTTTATCAAGAAGGAGAAATTTGAAGCCTAGAGAGACTGAATGATTTGCATAAAGTCATGCAGTTAATGAGTGGCAACGTCAAACTTGAATTCAGGTCTGCAGATTCTGAATATCACTCTTCCCACAACTACAACCTTACCTTTTAGGCAAATTAATAAATAAGCAAGCATTTCCTGAGCACCTACTATACAAGAGGTTCTGTGCTAGGAACTTTCACATCCACCTAACAACAATCTTGATTTTTAGGGGAGGAAACTGAAGGCCTAGCTTGTTAGCACTGTCAGGGCCAACCCAGGATTTGATGTCTATTTAACTGTAAGATCATTCCCTCCCTTCCTTCCTTCCTTCTTCCTTCCTTCCTTCCTTCCTTCCTCCTTCCTTCCTTCCTTCCTTCCTCCTTCCTCCCTCCCTCATTCTGTCTCTCTCTGTTTCTTTTCAATTAATCATGTATCAATTCAGCTAAGGTTAGAATCTTATCTTTGCATTCATAAGAGATAATTTATACATTATGCCTACCTCAGTATTTGGCACACTGTATTTGGAGGCAGTTGAATCATGTTAATCTCTGCCCCCAAATCACCTAGATAAGTTTTTTATTGCTACTTCCCTCCCTGGTAAATAGAAAAGAGATGCTCTTTCCAGCTACCTGGTGAGAAGAAAGTCTGTCCAACTTGGCTCGTGTTTCCTCTACTTGGGGAGCTGTGCCCTGCAAATGGTATAGCCCAGCCCCTTCAGGGACACTTGGAAGAACTGATGGCATCATGTCAGGACTGAGGTCTCCTTTCTTGTAGTTTCTGAAGAATTAATGAAAAGGTAAACTTTGCAGGATCTCAACACACAGGCTTTGTTTTTCCCTTACTTCTTGTTTTGCAAAGAAAGGCCCCTGCTGGCCTTTTAAGCCCAAGGAAAACTTAACAAACACTTGCTGCAAAACACCTTGCTTTTTACCCTGCATCAAATAACCTCCCCCACTCCAGAGATTTGCGTTCCAATCTCTGCAAAGGAGCAGCGAGAGGAAGCAGGATATTGAGTCTCATTAAGTTTCTTTGCTGTGTCAGTCATCTTTCCCAGAGGGGGATGTAATATTCTCTTCATAATATTCAGCCCCTCTCACAAGTTGGCAGCTCCTTTCTCTCAACTTATATTCTTAGCTAAGAATGTGTTCACAGGGATTTTTTAAAAGCCTCCCCAAATACCTGTTTACTGACTTTCTCAGAGCGTTTCTGAGATGGCACAAGGATGTGTGGTCTCTGAAGTCAGCTTCTTCTTGCTAATGAGGCTCAGCTCAGCACCTCTCCCCAGCACTCCAGGCAGGGGTTGGGGGAGCCCGCTCTGCCCCTCTTCCTGTCCCCAGGGCAGACACTCATTCTCGGCTAAGTCCTGTCCCGGCTGGAACTGGTAGCATCTTTCAAGGCCTTGTCTCAGATGCCTTCCTGGGTTGGCTTCCCGGATCAGGACCCCACATGGGTCTCCACATTTGGCTTTAGAGTCTTGGCTTTGCCCTTCCCCCAGCTTTGGTACTGTTTTGTATGACTTTATTAAAAATGTTAAGAGATATTTTCTGGTATAAAAAATACCTGAGATTTTTCTGCTTTGACAAATGTTATGATGTCAAGTATTGGATCTAGTCTTGGGGTCTCCCCAGGAATAATAAAATATTATTATCTAATAATATTATAAGCTAATAATTAGCTTACATAGCTGTGGCACTATTCTAAGTGCTTTACTCATTTAATCCTATAATAATCCTAAAAAGTAGGCGCTGTTATGTACTTATTTTAAAGATGAGAAAACTGAGACAGAAAGAGATTAAACTACTTTCCCAATGCCAGATAAGCTAGGAAGTAGCAGAGCTAGAATTATTACCTGGTCATTCTCACATGTTTAAACTTGACATTAAACTTCCTGAGCAAGCGAGTCCCTGCAGATAAGCTGAGCAGTAGGCCTTGGAGAAGAAAGTCTCTGATTTGCTTTGTCTGAACTTTAGGGCCCCTATGTGGACCCCACTCCATCCCATCTGAACATTCTCATTTCCCCCCATTTCCCGTTGTGGAGATTCTGCTCCAGCCAAGAGAAATTTCTCCCTGTCCTCTATCACAACCACACCACTCCCTCTGCAATTCTGTGTTTATTCATCTGCCACCTCTTTCTCTGAATGCTTTCCCTTCTTCCTCCACCCCAATTGAAATATCACCTTGCTCTCCTTCCAAAATTATTCCTAAATCACCTAGCCCAGGACAACATTCTGGTCTTACCCAGTCCTGCCTATCTCCTAATTCAAATTTATTTGTGGCTGTGTTAGGGGGTGGGTGTGAGGCAAGTGGGGGTGCCAAGAAAGAGAACTTTTTAGGTGGGTGACACTGAAGACCATACTTCTAGAGAACCTTGGTCCAAGGTGAGGCATCCTCCTTAAAGTCCCAGGAGTCTGTTCTTCTATTATTCTATTCACTCTTGCCTTCTTCTATGAGCATGGCACTACATTAATATGGTGGGAATGCTAATACAATAAGATGCAGTCTTTTCCCTAAACATACTTGCAGGCTAGTGTTGGGTTGATAGTACATGTACATTACAGTGCAAGGAAGCAAGTCCCTAGTATCTCACTAGAGATATCAAGTGCAAGGGAACTGATATGGGGGAGATCACCTGGGTTAGGGGCAGGGAAGGAAGGTTTGGAGGGATGTATTCATTTTGAAGATAACATTTTTCAAGGCTAACAGACAGTATAAAAATGGCAATGCAAAAGCAATATTTGGGCTCGGATAAAGGAACCTGGGTGAGGTAAACAGGAGACAAAATGCTGAAAATGTACATTGTGGTCAAAATAGAAAGAACTTTACAGATTAGAGAGCATACTTGAGAATGAATAATAAGTGTTAGAGAATAAGGAGTCTGGATTTTATAGTGGGTGCAATGGGGAGACTTTGAAGGTTTTTAAGGTTGGGGGAAATGGTCAGAAGTAACTCCAATAGCCACATAGAGGAATTGAGGTATTAGGCATCTGTTGTACAGACCAACAGGCCTTTGTAATAAAGAAATCTAATCACAGGGATAATGGCCTAAGCAAAGGCAGTGGCAGTGAAACTGGACAGGAAAGACTTGCCATCTGATTGTATACAGAGAGGGAAGGAGTAAAGGCGAGTGCAGGACAGCAAGAGGAACAGGAAAATAGGGGGAAATGGAGATTTTTATAGATGAGGGTTTCAAAGAGACAATCTGTTGGGTTTGAGGTGTTTAAAGAACCTCCAGTGAAATCATTAGCACACAATTTGAAATTGTGGCAGAAGTTGGAGCAGCATTGGTCTATTGGTCCCTCATAGAGAGGAGTACTCTGGGCCATTAAGGATTTGGGTCTTTGCTGCTACCTCCCACCCCAGCCAAGGACTGATTTGCCTAAGGACAGATATTTCCTGATGTGCTTCTCATTCAGGAAAAAGCCCACTTGGTTCACAAGCACCACTATCTTGGGTTTCTGTCTCAGTTTAAATATTTATTTTTTCTTCTGTTGGAGCTCAGAAAATGATAACCCAAAGTGAAAGCCTCCAAGGCAAAGTTTTTTTCTTACCTTCTCCTGCCCTCCTGTCTCTCACCTCTCATCCTCCCCCATGGCAGCCATAGAAACTAGAATTTCTCTTCCCTAATGTGGGTCATAGAAATCAGAACCCCTTCCCCTTACCAAACCAGCCATAAAGCCTACAAATATTACTCTAACCTTCTCATTTCTTTCTGTGTAACAGCTGGTCATAAAGGAAGTAAGACCCTCATTCCAGAGGGGTCCTATCCCATACATGGGAAGAAGAAAGGCTATGACAGAGAGGCCAAGGAGAATCTGGACAGGCCTTGCTTGGTTTTCCACTCAGTCTATTACCATTAGATCATACCCTTTTTGTAAAATCACATTTCTAGACAACCATCCCTGCTTCATTGAACCTAAGCATACAGTCAGATAGCTACCCTGTGTCTTGGAGTCTTCATTCTGAAAGCTCCCATGTTATGTAAAACTATCATCAAATCAATTTGTTGTGCTTTTTTCTTGTTAACCTGTCCTTTGTTACAGGAGTGCTGGCCACGACCCTTGTGATGGGGAGGAAAGGGGGTGATCCCTTTCCGCCCTTACACTTCCCATGGTTAGCCTGACTTCTCTGCCAGGATTCTGAACCACAGGGAAAGAAGCCCTTATATGAAGATACTGATATCTACCAGGTCTTTCCTCCAGCTCCCATGCACACTGTTTTTCTTGATGTTACTCACAGAGTGGCTTTTCCAATGTATTAGAAATAAAATGCCTCCCTAGCTGCTCTCTACTCCTTTATTAACTCAATCCAGAATCCCTGCCCCTTCACCTGAAATGTTTAGAATTGGGAACATCTGTTTGCCTCTCCATTGACATTGCTGACTTTGATACTCATTGGAATGAGTGAGTTTTCCTTTTTGAGCTGCTGTCCCATAATAAAGTAAACATGGTATTGATTTTCCATGCATGTTCAGTTGGGAGTAAATCTTAAACAAATGTGCAACCTGCTGAGCACTCCTCACTCCTCCACCTTCCTACAAGAGTCCTTCCATGTTTTTGGCACTTTTGAGGAATGTCAATAAATTTTTCAGGGGTTAAGAAGAACCAGGGTGGAAAGAGAAGAGGAAGGATAGGAGGGAAAAAATGCACTGGTTTTCATTTTCAAAAACAATGATAAACATTTCAAAGATATTCATTATTCACAATGAATACCCACAGTTATTAGTTCTTTTGCTTCTCAATCCACAAGGGAAAAAAATCAGCCTAGTCCAAAAGCATTTACTGAGCATCTACTAGAAACCAGAAAAGTAAAGATTCAGGAGGCATAAAGATGAATAAGAGGCCAGGTGTGGTGGCTCCTGCCTGTAATCCCAGCACTTTGGGAGGCTGAGGCAGGCGGATCTCGAGGTCAGGAGATCAAGACCATCCTGGCTAACACGGTGAAACCCCGTTTCTACTAAAAAATACAAAAAAATTAGCTGGGCGTGGTGGCGGGCACCTGTAGTCCCAGCTACTTGGGAGGCTGAGGCAGGAGAATGACATGAACCCGGGAGGCGGAGCTTGCAGTGAGCCGAGATTGTGCCACTGCATTCCAGCCTGGGCAACAGAGCGAAGATGCTGTCAGAAAAAAAAAAAAAAAGAATAAGCTACAGACCTAGCCCATAAAAAGCAGAAAATCTCAGTCAGAAAGACAGATGTATAATAAAAAAGTAGGATTGTACAGAAAATAGTCCAAGTATGTACAAAGTTTAGGACCAGAACAATGACTCATCTCTCTAATATAATGGGGAGACCTCAGAGGTCCTTAGTAGGATTTTGTAAATAGAAAAGAGAAGTGAGATATAGAACATTGCAGACAGAGGATAGACAGGTGGAAAAGCATGAAACAGCAAGGTCCTTTTATAGGACTATGAGAAATCTTGTCTTGCTGAGGAAAAAGTGGAAATGAGTGCTTCAGGATGGGTGGAAGGACCAGGAAATCTTCAGGAGACATATGTAGGGCTAACGACGATTCTGTAAAGTGCCTTGTAGGCCACACTAAGGAGCTTGACTTTTATCCTGAATGTCAAAGGAAGGCAATGAGAGATTGTAAAAAGGAAACTAACTTTAAATTTGTACATTCTAGGAAGAAGATATGAGTTCAGTTTTTGATATGAGTTTGAAGTTCCTATCTAAATTAGTTAAATGTAGATATATCTAATTTAAACTATCCAATGGGGATATATTGGGTTGGAATCCAGGGGAAGCTGGAGTTGGGGAGGAGATACAGAGAGGGGAATCATTGCATAAGTGGTATTTGAGCCAGCATAGAAGATGAACTTCCCCAAGTTGAGTGCATGGAGTCAACAACAGCTCTGGACAGCACCCTGGGAAGCATCAGCATTCAAAAGGTGGACAGAGAAAGATAAGCCCATGAGAGAGATCAAGAATGTCCTCAGCATTGGAAGATGACAAAGATAGAATGGGGTCAGGAAAGTCAAGACACATTTCAAGGAGTGTGGTCATCAAAGCTGAATGTAGAGAGGTCAAGCAAATTTATGGACTGGAAAGGTCTCATACACTCAGGAAACATAAGAATTTTTCAATGAAAACAGCCTGAATGGATGGCTGGTAGGTGGAAGTCAGAATGAGGTAGGTTGAGAACTGAATGAAAATAAGAAAATTGAGGTAGCAATTGAAATCTTCTCTTTCTGGAAGCTGAACTGCAAAGAGAAGTGGGGAACACTGAATCAATGAAGTTTTTGTTTATTTTAAGGTACGAGAGACTTGAGCATGAGTGTGACTACAGGAAGAAGCCAGCCTTAAAAGAGAAGAGGAAGATATAAGAAAGAGAGGAGATAATTGAAGGAACAAGGTTCCTGGCCCCTGAGGAGGCAAGGGCCGGTTGGTTGGAATAAGATACAGAGCACAGAAGAAGGTGTGATCTTGGACAGGAGGAAAGACAGTGCTTCTTCCTTGGGAGGTAGGAAAGGGGTAAAGCTATTGGTAAGGTAACAGTTGTGAGACTGGAGGAAGAAGCAGGAAAGGAAATGAAACTGATCATCTTGAGGTTAACATGAGCTAATTGGGGGAAATCACATCACAACTTTTTGACTGGACATCCCTGTGATAGAAATCTCTATATACAACAAAAGCTTTCCAAGCTCTGGCTAATGGCCCATGTATATGACAAAGCCAAATACTGTGGTCAAAGAATGAGGATAATTCATAGAGGCAGTGTCAAGGAGACATTGCCAATAATGAAAAAGCACTCCAAAAAGGAAGTATAAATGATTTGCAAATTGTAGCTAGTCTTGTAATTACTGTGCAGGTAGATGTCCCTAACTCTGTATCTCCTGATTCTTCCCCAAGCTCTTGTATAGCTCACTTAAAAAATTAACACTAGTTGAACATACTATCTAAAGGGCCAATTGGGCACAGTCTGACACTCCCAAAGCAGGAGTTTTCTGTATCCTCCTGGGAACTGCACCAATTATAAGCCAGAGGGTGAAGTTAGTTTGAGTTTGCTGCCCTGAGCCTCCCTCTTTTGTCCTTTTTCCCTTCTTAGCAGGTAGATTCTTTTCTCTCCTCCAGGCACTCCACCTCCTAATCACTACTCTTCACCTGCCATGAAAACTGGCTTTCAGCATAGGATCTGAAATTACATTGGTCATTTACACCTTAATGTAATTCTAAGGAACTGTTTACTCTCTCCCAGAGGCATGGTTACACAAGTCTTCCATTTTAATTTTATTAAAGGCTTTGATCCCTCTTAGAAGGTGTTAGACACTCAGAATCTGGAGAGAGAGCACTTGTTATAACCTCCCAAATCTTCCAAAAGCAGGGCAGGACACACAGGCACTTTCTGAAGTGACAGCCCAGCAATGATCAGAGTCTTTGAGTATTTCTCTCTCTGGCATGCTGCTACTTTTCCTTCTTTGTAGTTCTTTGTTGATAGAAATGGATTTAAAATGGCATAAATTCTTGGAGACAAATAAAATTCATTGTTGGCAGAAATGCAGTCTCATCTTATTGCCTTCTCTCAAACCCTTATGACTATCCTTTTCTCCTGGCTTCCCTTAGTGAAGCCAGTGGCCTTTGCATAGTTCCAACCGTTTAACTGCTTCTGAGCACCTCTGGATGCCTGTATTGCAGGTGTTAGAGCAGCAGCTTTGTGGAGACCATTTTACTCAAGCTTCATCTTCAGGCAAACAGCTATGTCTTAGAAAAGTCCTGTTTCGCTAACCTTATTCCATTCATACTTCCATATCAAGGGACGAAAAATCAGAGCTGACATCATGTGGATTATTTATATGGATAAAATCCCACCAGGCTGCTCAGGATGTACAACAAGCACATGCTATTCTGCTATTCTGGCCCTAGGAAAACCAACTGCGGTTGACACAGTAGTCCGTTGCTCCTGAGAATGTGGTTCTTTTAAAAGTTTTCAGAGACTCCAAGGGGAAGGCCATAAAGTTTTGAGGGTCCAGCTCCTGGGATTGCTATGACCCAGCATCCCTAAAGTAAAGGTTTCACAAACACTAAAATCAACATCTAAAATAGGATCTTGGTTAGACAGATACCTTATTTCATTCCCGAGTAAGACTTGTCTCTCTGTCCTTGAAGGGAACTTTAGCACTAGGGCAGCCAAGAATGGTGGGGCACCTGCCCTAAAGTGTGGGACCTCAGAGGAAGAAACTTACACAGCAAACAAACGTTTTCTGGATATTTTTTCCTGCTTATAAAAGTGATACGTACCCACTGAGGAAGTTTGGAAAATAAAAAAGACATGAAGAAGAAAATTAAAATTACTCATCATTCCATCTACCCATATCATTCTCATGTATTTTCTTTGAGCCTTTTGTATATTTTACAAAATGGAAGCTTACCACATATACAATTTTATATTTTGATTTTTGCACTTTACATTAGGGCTATAACAAGTTTGATGATAAAATCTCAAACTCACCAGGTTTTAAACATGGAATGCTTTTACTTTTACAATATTTCCCGATTACTGTGCCATGTCAAATCCATCTCTCTCTCACTGGGGAAAAGAGATTCTTGACAACACTATCCAGTTCCATAGCTTTCAGTCACATTCAGTTATTAAGGTGGCATTGTTTTGGTTTTAAGCTTAGTCTTTCATATTTAAAACATTTAATTTTGTATTTAATTGATTCATGAATGTCCTCAGATTTCCTCTTATCCGCAAAGGGTGGGCTGCAGTTGCAGCTTATACTAAAAAGTAAAGAGGGAGCAGAAGGAGAATCTGTGCATTCTTATTCATACCCTCTCTTTTCCCTGCCTTTACCCCCTGCTGTATAGGGATATGTAGGGGAGTAAAAGGAAAAAAAACACCTACCTACATGACTACCTTTGGCAAGTTGCTGCCCCTTCCTGTTGGTCATCACCGCTAGTCTGGCTCTTAGTCACTAGGTCTGCGTGGATGGGCAGGGGACCCTGCAAGTCGTACTGATGTGGGGACCATCCCCATGCTACTCCCTTTTGTCTCAAACTTCAGCATTCCTGCCATGCTTATATACTCTCTATGGCCCTACTCTATGGCCAGTGGGTATAAGAAATATCTAGTGGGGCTGGGCACGGTGGCTCACGCTTGTAATCCTAGCACTTTGGGAGGCCGAGGTGGGTGGATCATGTGAAGTCAGGAGTTCAAGACCAGCCTGGCCAACGTGCAGAAACCCAGTCTCTACTAAAAATACAAAAATTAGCTAGGCGTGGTGGCACGTGCCTGTAATCCCAGCTACCCAGGAGGCTGAGGCAGGAGAATCACTTGAACCCAGGAGGTGGAGGTTGCAGTGAGCCAAGATCACGCCATTACACTCCAGCCTGGGTGACAAGAGTGAAACTCTGTCTCAAAAAAAAAAAGAAAGAAAGAAAGAAAGAAAGAAAGAAAGAAAGAAAGAAAGAAAGAAAGAAAGAAAGAAAGAAAGAAAAAATGTCTAGTGGGCACCCAGGTGATGTTCTTGTCCCTCATCACTTGACCATACCACAAAACCTCTCCCTACACCCTGCAGTGTTCTGTCTCCAGCTATGGCAGAACCTTGGAATAAGATGTTAGTCTCTCCCTCTTGGAGATACCCACTGGGATCCCCTCTTTTGGTTTGAAGATGAGAATAAGTTAAATTTTCTTCATCTCCTCTTCCATGGAGAGATAAAAATGAGTAAATTTTCTTCATAACACTGTTCTTCATTAAAAGGTAGCTTTATTTTATATCTCAGTGATAAAAAGCCACCAAATCAATTCTAGTTTTGTCAACTCTGTTGGTATGAGGAATCTCAAGATTGAAAATCAGATTCCCTTTAAACTCAGCCCCTATAATATTTAGTCACTTTGTTTTTGACAGTTCTCTGTCTCTGCTGTAAACTGCACTATTCCTAAGGGTAAACATCTCAATCAGTACCATCCTATCACAAAGGAACTTTGAAAACATCATTTCATGGCTCCTTTACTCCATCATATGGATTATGATATTTTTACATATTTATGTTGTTTCTACTTTTGTATTATAAACAATGCTGTGATAAACATCTTTGTTCACATTTTAGGTAGTTTTCTTAGGATTATAGCTAACAGTTATTATGCATATCTTATATTTTAGCATTTTGTTAAGCAAGCATTATCTTATTTAGTCCTCATAAGATATTGGTACAATTACTGGTGATAGATATACAGCATTGATTCATTTATTAAACAATAACATTGAACTCCTAGCATATGCCAGGCACTGTTCTCAGTGTTCTCTTTCATCTATGCCTTTCTTGGCAGTGGTACACTACGCAAGTTCTCAAACTTGCTATGTGACCTTAGTAGCTGGTTGAAAGCAGGTCAGGTCAACTCCCCACACAGGCTGAGAAAATCTCTTGGATGCCAACATCCTTGATTCAGACCCCATAAAGTGCAGGTTATGCCACAAGTCATCCGGAAAAGTCTCAGGAGATCTCTGCGTTGTCTCAAGGTTTTAAAGTCAGAAAAGTATAAACCCTCTCCAAGGTGCTGAAAACAGCTGCTCTTACTATGTGTGAACGAGAAAACTATCAGGGACTGCATTTGGTCATCACTCAACCCTCTGAAGGATCAGCAGGACAGATGCTTTTCTTCTAATCATTGTTTAAGTAATGAATGAAACTAAGTTTTTGAAGTTTCCTCCTTTCTCCTTCCCCCAGGACCAAGTGATATTAAGCTGTAGAAATAGCATTCATGTCATCTGTGGAGTGACCCATCCTTTCTAGGAGTGAGAGAGTGGAAAAGGGTCCTTAAGATATCTGAATCCTTGAAATCTCTGGTTAGCATTGTGTTGGTTATAGGTGTGATAGGGGAGAGAGAGTGGGAGGAATGGTATATGCCCTAGCTGCACTAAGTAATCCTTCCCTCCTATCTACTCAACATTAATGCTTTGTCCTTTTCTACTGGGAAAATAGTAGAATTTAGGAAAGAGGCAGATATAATAGCTAAAAACTTGAGTCTAGAGTCTGATAGTCTCAGATTTGAATTTCATATCTGTCATAAACTTGTTTAATATAGTTGCTGCTTTGGCATCTATTTTTAAACCTGACATCAGTTATTCGAAACCCAGTTTTGCCTTGTTGCCTTTGGTCAGGTTAAAGCTCCCCTTCCCTGTGTGGTTGTTTCAACACAGCCTGTTTGTTCCTCCTTTCAAAGATGGAAAGCCAGATACACCCCACAGCTGCTGGCCAAGATACAACCTAGTGATCAACACCAGAGTCATGTAAATAATAAGTTCTCTCGTATGCATGTGCTTTTAAAAAAAAAAAAACAAATCAATATGCAACCCCCACAGGAAAGCCTAAGGAATAATGCCCATGGACATTAATAAAGGCGTAGTCCCACAGGCGCTCTCTCTCTCTCTCTCTCTCTCTCTCTCTCTCTCTATCTCTCTCTATCTCTCTCCCCCTCCTTCCACCTTTCTCCCTCTCTCACTTCCTCACTCCCTCTCACTGTCCGTCCACTGGTTGAGCTTCCTGCTGCCTTCAGACTTCCCAGCAGTTCCCCAGTCAGCACCCCTAACTTCTTGGGGACCTGTGAGTTGTACATTTCTCCTGTTTTATGCATTTTGGTTTTATGTCCTCATTGTGGCTCACCTGACAAACCCAACTGAATGTAACTCCACCTCCCCCTCTACCCAAATTAGGGCTTTCTTGGAGAGTGGCTGTCTTGGCTTATGGATACTCTTAACAGAGAGACCTCAAGAACAAACCAGAAGAAACCATAACAGTAAAAATTACAATAGTATCACCATATGTATCAATTAGGATTAGGCATAGTTCCAAATAAGAGAAAACAAAAGTTTCGTGAGCTATCAGGGATTAATTTTTCCTCATCTAAGTTCAGAGCTAGGCAGTTTAAGGCTGTGAATCTCCTCAGGAATGCCATTATGAGCCCAAGTTCCTTTTTCCTTCCTGCTATGTCTTGGTATCATGTGGTTTCCATCCTCGGAGTTATAAAATGGATGCTAGAGTTCCAGGCTTCATGTTCACATTTCAGGCAGGAAGAATAGGCAAAGAGCATGGAAGATGAGTCTGTCTCTTAAAAAAATTGTTCCAGGAGATTCACCTAGAAACTTTGACTTACCTCTTATTGACCAGACTTTCTTATTGCAAGAGAAAGTATAAAAAACAATATTTTATACTTTGGGAAGGAAGCCGAGGCGGGCGGATCACAAGGTCAGGAGATCAAGACCATCCTGGCTAAAATGGTGAAACCCCATCTCTACAAAAAATACAAAAAAATTAGCCAGGCATGGTGGTGGGCACCTGTAGTCCCAGCTACTCGGGAGGCTGAGGCAGGAGAATGGTGTGAACCCAGGAGGTGGAGCTTGTCGTGAGCCAATATCACACACGCCACTGCACTCCAGCCTGGGTGACAGAGCGAGATTCCGTCTAAAAAAAAAATGCAATATTTTAGCTTTCTAATCTCTATAGCAAGGAAATCAAGGGAGAAGCCAGTTGTAAATGTTTTATTATCTGTGTGACCTTGGTTATGTTACTTGACCTAGAAGCACTTTCCATTCATGCCTCTATAAAATGGGCATGATGTTGCCCCACCTTGTAGAATTGTTTCAAGGATTGAGATCATGCATGATAAACCCTTATCAGAGTGCCTGGCATGTCATTAGCTCTCTATAAACCTTTCTTTTTAACAGTAAGTTAGACCAATGTTTATAGATCATGAAGAGGAAGAAATATACAATTCAGAACAGAGTTGCTGCCTCTTGCCCTAGGATTTCTCACTTAGCTGGGAGCTCAGCTGAATTCTGAAAACTTACATTGCTAATGCCTATTTATTGATGGCACCTGGCGGAATTGAGAAACTACCAAAAATCGTGATCCACTTTGCAGTGGTAGCTATTACACACAGAATGTTTAAGAATGCACCCTCTGTTTGGCATGATGCTTGTGATGATCTGCCTCACTGTCATAGCTGTGTTCTTAAAGAGCTATGCATAAAGAGAAATTTGGTTAATATCTTTGGATGTGGAATCAGTGGGTTTGGATTTGTGACCTTGTTCTGCCACTTAGTATCAATGTAACCTCAGGTTAAACCTCTTTGGACTTCAGTTTACTCATCTGTAAATTGGGGATATAATAACTCTTCTCCACCTCACAAGATTTTGGAGGTCAAATAAGGGAGTGGCAGGGGTGTGGATATAAGAAAGTGGGTGTTTGGTGACTCTCATCTGGGAAACCCCTTTTTCCCTGTTAATACATTCACCTGAAAATGCACAGCCACTCCCATTTCCTCTAGATCTGGGGACACGGGCCCAGATGCCATGTAGGAAGTTTATCTTCACACCCCCTCTTCCCATTCTGTGAGCAGCCACTGCTGCTCCAGGATGTCTATGCTCTTCAACTCTTTGTAGCACAGGACTCAGCTCCTGTGCATACAGCAAGAGGACAAGAATGACTACAGGTGCAGGCAAGATAACATTAATTTTTTTTTTTAGTCCTACTATGTTCTGGGCACTTTGCTGAGTCCTCTACATGTGGTATATATCTTAAATTTCAAACATCCTCTTCATATATATGTTTTATACAAACACATGCATATATATATTTTGTAAAATAAGCAAAATAGACTTCAAAAGTTAAGCAACTTGCCCATGGTTACATAGCTAGTAACTAGCCAGAGTGTGATTGAAACCCAACTCATCTGCTAAGGAGATCAAAGTATCAACTAGGGGACAATTTATCCAAAATTGCCATTTTATAGATGACAATTCCAAGGGTTATAGCAGTGATATTACTTGCCCAAGGTTACACAGTGACACTAGATGGGCTAGAAGTGGATTCTAGATTTCTGAATGGCCAAATTAATAATTTTCCTACGGTGTGATCATGCAGTCCTGACGGTAGAATTTCGGATATCAGTTGAGGAATGGGAATGGATTCTCAGGGCAAACAATGTTACTTGCCCTCCAAAAATCAGACTGGGAGGCCCTGCAGCTGGCAGTGAGTTGGTTCCATTGGACTAAATATTGACAAAGATTCTTCTACTCCTTTTGAAAATATATCTTACAGAAGGCTCTGCCAAGCCTTGCTTGAACTCCCAATGAGAATCTGCGGGGAGGAGGTAGAGAGATGGGAGAAGAGAAGAGAATGAAAAGCAAGAGAGAGCAAAACAAGGCAAAGAGAAAATCAATGCCTCATTGCAAGCAGGTGGGAGCTGTGGTTGTGATGAATATTTACTGTGTAGTGGTCTAATGATTTTAGAAATTTTTTTTGACTGTACCGAGCGCTTGTGGGATTGTTTTTCAAGAAATAAAATACATTAAAGCTCAGTCGTTAAGAGCTTAAAGGAGGAGGGATTGCAGGCTCCAAGCCCATTAGCACACCCTGTCATTAAGTAAGGCCTCATTCCTAATGCATTTTTAATTTATTCTGTTTTGTAAAATAAAACTTTAAACTGCTTCTTGTACCATCAAATTTGTAGGCAGCTCCCAAGCCTGTCCCCAGCCATGGAGCTCTGCTAAGCTGCCGGGTGGTCACAGCTGAGTTGCAGGTCCAAGTGTTCTCCTCTTCTGGGCTTCCAGATGGCTCTGCCAGGCTCAGATCTTTGCAAAAGCCTTGCCCAGTTTCTGCTTGTGGAGGAAGCTGTCCTGTGCTGCTGGGATTGTTGCTGGAGATGAGAGGAAAGCATTTCAGGCCAAAAGTGGTTTTGCCCCTTGGAAAACCTGTAGGTCTCTGAGACCCGGACCTGTAACCAAGGCATTCACCCTCCCTGAGGAGATTGGAGACCCCAGGAGAGCATTCCTGCCTGAGAAGTGGGAAAGGGCGGTATGAACTTTGTAAACCTGGAATGCATTAGCTCACGTAATCCTCTCTACAGCCCTAGGAAGTAGGCATTATTTTTTGTTATACAGTTGACAGAATTATGACTTAGAAAGGCTAGTCACTTGTTCAAAGTCAAATGGATAATAAGTGACAGAGCCCGTGATTCAGGTTAGTCAGACTCCAAAGCCAGGATACGGGAAGGCAGGAGAAGGGTTAGCAAGATGGCCATGTCAGGATCCTTTCCAACACTACTCCTAGAGAGGATTCAAAACTAAGCTTAAAACTTGCATTGCCTCTTTCAAAAGACAAAAACACCACTTGTCTGAGGTACAGCTTACCAAGAGAATTTGGACTTTTTATTTTTCTTCCCTATCTAATTTCTTCCCATAACATCTCCCCCTTCCTTCCTTCAGTTCTCTGCTCAAATGTCTCTTTATCAGAGAGGTCTTCCCTGACTACCCATATAAGACAGACCTCCTACCACCACCCAGGATACTCAGAACAATGAGTATCCTTACCCTGCTTAGTTTTCTCCATAGTGTTTTTTTTTGTTGTTGTTGGTTTGTGTGTGTGTGTGTGTGTGTTTGTTTTTTTGTTTTGTTTTGTTTTACCGGCAGATCCATCATATTTACATATTTGCTTATTCCTAGTCTTCTCCATCAGACTGTAAGCTCTGTGTGGGCAAGAACTTCATCAATTTTGTTGCATCTAGAGGAGTGTCTAGCATATAACAGGTGCTCAATAAGTAGTTATTGAATAAATGAATAAGCTTCCTAATTCTGGGGCCCATCTGACTCACTATAATTCACTGGTCACAATTTGTGGGCCAGAGTAACTGATTTATATCAGCTTGAGAAGAGTGTACAAGAAGTTGATATTTCCAACAGTGAATACCCTCAAAGTAGAGTCGGATTATCTTAATCCACAAGGTGCTTCAAAGATTGGCCAAACCAATCCTCTCACTTTAGAGATGAGTAAGAGGCCCAGAGAGGTAGAGTAATTTCCCCAAAGTCACAAAGGTCAAAGCTTCTTATGACCAATCTGGTTCTTTTTCCACACAACCAGGTGGGCTGCTACTAGGGGTTTGGGACCCTAATGTCTGAGGGCATGTGGAGAATTTTCAGAGCTCTGTATATCCTCTCATCTTTGTGGGAAGCTTGGGTCAGGTTATCAGGTTAGGAGAGGTGAGGGGCTGAGCCCCTTGCTAAGCCAGGCAGTGTGGCTGTTATGCTCTTTCTCCATCTCTGCTTGCTAATACCACCTAACATAGCCTGCACAACTGGCTGGCTGTGACCACAAGCACAATAGGAAGCTTATTTTTTGGTATGACTTTTGCAGCTCTGGGAAGGACCCCTTACTCCGTATCTGCTTTTCCAGAAAGCCTGAAGTTTCTCTAACAGAATATGAATCCTGACGCAACAACAAGGAGAGGGAGGTAAGCTTTCTGGGAGAAGGAGGAGCACATGGACTTGAAGTCCACTCAAAGGGATAAGTCACTAGCAGACGATCACACGCTAATTTCCTAAGAAGTAACAGGGAAGCATGTCCATGGTGTGAGAGTGGGAAGACCCACTCTCAATGCAAGCCTGCTGCATACTCCAGTGCTCAAGGCTCCCTCTCCCATCTTTCCAGATAGAGTCTGCTGCTGGGCCTCCCATCACCACCCTTGAGCACCCAGGAGACTTCCCTGGGAAGAGACTTCTGAATTTGCACTTAACTATGAGGAAGAAATGCACATTTATTAAGCATTTATGTGTCCAACGTGCTGCTGCTTTCACACAGTTTTTTTCAACCGCAGAAGACAAATGAGATCATTCAAATTCAAAGATGAGAATTCCTAGGCTCAGAGAGGTACATAAACTTGAGCTAGTGTACACAGACCTGGCCAATCCAGGCAACCCTGGCTCTCAAGCATCAGGTGGGCTGCCTCTGTAATCAAACTGACTGTGTTGACTAGGTGACATGGTGGCTAGGCAGGGCCTTCGTTTGGTGGCTTTGACTATGAGGATAAGACTCCATCCTGGAGAGTCTCTTAGGGAGTCATCTGAGTGAGAATCCTTCAAGGAGCTTATCCGCAGGCCACAGCGGGGAGAACTGTCAAGAAAATGCCTTGAGGCAAAAGTGGTTACCACCTCCATCTTGTTACTGTCGTGGAGACCCATGAGGCCAGCTCAGTGCGCAACATACCCAGACCCCTGATTTGGGGAAGATGCATAGTAATGGATCAGATTACCAGGCCTAACTTAATTACTCTTTTTACTCTTCATTATCAGGGAGAAAGCAGTGGGAAGATCCTCAGAGTTTCTTTTCTCCATACCGATGTGATCGTCCACGTCAGTGGGGCTCGGTCCAGTGCCTAGTGGCCTTCTCCCCTCCTGCCAGTGCCACATGGACTTTTCTTCTGGGATAGTGCAAAAAGCTTCCTCCTCACCTTTCATGAAAAAAATGTTTTCTGTTTTTCTTGATAGCCCTACCCTTCCCTGACCTCTGGTATTATTCAGCTTGGCTTGCAATTTATTTTAAGGATATCAATACCAACAAATCATTTTTTAATTTTCATGGCACTTGCTGAAAGTTTGTTGATAAAATAACCCACAAGTGCATGATATTGGTGGGAATTGTGAGTGGAGGGGGAAATGTCCTCTGCTGGCAGCCAGTTCTGGGAGCTGTGCTGGCCTACTGAGGAATGCAGGCTGTTAGGAAGGTGGGCCTTTCTACTCAGGGTCTAGCCTTATGGGTTCAATTGCTTTGCAAGAGGAAGAAAAGTGAATTTGGAAAAAATGCAACTTATGGTGGAGACAACTGAGGCAGAATCCCTAAAAGACATTGTATGTCAATGAGGGCGGAAAGGCTGGGATGTAATGGAAAGTAGGTATAAGAGGATGCAGTACTCAGTGAGATAAAAAAGAAAGTCCTTGGTGAACCCAACTCAAATTGGGAAGCAATAATAGAGGTGAGTTCATCCATAAATCAGCTTGTCCATTTCTCTGCCTCTGGGTGGTATTACCTGTAACATCAGTTAGCCAGGATTCTCCTCTATCCCAAGAGAGTATTGAGGAGAAGGGTCTCCTGGGATCACAAGAAACCATCCAGTCTAATGGCCTAGTTTTTCATGTGAGGAAATGAAGCCCCACAGAGATGAAGTAATTTGTGTCATAAAACTACCCTGTGGCAAAGATGGGGCTGGAGGCTGGTTTAAGAACTTTAGGTTCAGTGCTCTTCCATTTAGCAAATATATTCACACACCTAACCCCCCACCTCCACCCACTCACCCATCCAACCATCCCTTCACCAATCCATCTACCCACTCACCTACCCATCTGCCTATCCTTTTACCCATCCATCTACCCACCCATCCATCCATCCACCCACCCATCCCTCCGCCCACCCACCCATTCATCCATCTATCCACCCATCCATTTATCCACCCACCCATCCACCCATCCCTTACCCACCCATCCCTTCACCCATCCATCTATCTATCCATCCATCCATTCACCCATCCATTTACCCAACCATCCACACATCCCTCCACCCACCCACCCACTCACCCACCCATCCACCCGTCCCTTCACCCACACATCCCTTCACCCATCCATCCCTTCACCCATCCATCTATCTATCCATCCATCCATTCACACATCAACCCACCCATTCATTCATCTATCCACCCACACAACCATCCTTCCACCTACCTACTCACCCACCTATTCCTTTACCCATTCATCTATCTATTCACCCATCCATCTATCAAGTGTGTACACTTGAAAATGGGTAAGTTTATGTTTTGTGAATTTTGTCTCAATTAAAAAACATATGATCTTCTATTTCCTTCAGGTCCTGGACTGAGGTGGGGCAGGGGAAGAGAGTGCATCCATTGGGCTACAAATAGGAAACTATGTGACTGCTTCTGGGCCTCATGAACAGGGTGATTTTCCTATAGAAAGTGCTCCCTACAACCAAGAGGGCCTAATCCTGAGGGATCCTAACTCTTGTGGGCCATGTGGCCCTAGGCCCCCAAGCAGGGGTATTTGGTGGGCTCTTCCCTCCATGTGTCCAGAGTCTTCTCCACAGCCATACCAGAGGCAAGGCCACAGTGAGCTATGTGAGGAGAGGCCGCAGACCTTGAATTTATAACAGAAATATGAATTTGAAAACTCTCAACAACTTTAGTAACTGTCACTATTTTTAATAGGTTGTTATCCTTTATGCATTCAATTATTATCATTTTCACCAGCACATGGGGGAAATTTCAACGTGCCTGTTAAAAATGTCAGGTTTATTAGACTCTCACTCAAAGCTTAGTTAATTTTGTTGTTTTGTTCTCTTCTCCCTGCTGCTTTTATTTATTTATTTTTTGGTTGTGTGTGCATAGCTAGTCTAAACATATGGGCTAATTTTTCTCTCCTGGTTTTAAAATACTTTAATGAATTCTGCAAAGGCTCATAGCTGGAATGAGTACAAGAGGCACAATGCTCCCTTGAAGTTGGAGGGAAGGGGGTACCTGCTGGCTCTGCCTAAGCTGCCATCTGCTGGGCCTGTCCCTGGGTAGAACAATTCTTTCTCAATAGAAGCTGCAGGGCTTCTGGACTTGGAACTTTGGTTTCCATTTTCTTTTTGTCCGGGGTGGGAACATTGCTTCTGTCTTCCTGACAAATGGTCTTTTCAGAGAGTTCAAATGATTCATCGTTGACCTTGGGCCTCTAAAAAGGGTCTCTGTTTAACATCCACACTCACCACTTTGGATGATGACTTCTCCTTCATTCCTCTTGTCTTTCCTGGTACAGAACTGTTTTGTTTTTATTGTTCTTGTTGTTGTTGATTTTTAAAAATTCCCACTGAGAGTGAAGACATTCAGGAGATGCTTTGGGCCAACTGCCAGAGGGCACATTAAATACTTCTGGGTACCATAGAATTAGCCACCTGATGAAGCCAAGGAAACGCATTCAGTAGTGAGATGTCACACTTGCCGTTGCCTCACTAGCCAGGGCTAGAGAAGGAGGGGCACGCAACAGCCACCTTCCTCAGTAGGCTTTCCTAGCATTTGAGTCTGTCTGCTGCAGGATCAATAACTCTAATATCTGCCCTGTGCTCTGCAAGGGCTACACAACTGTTAGCATGGAATAGTGAACTCCCAAGACAAGTTCTAGGAGGGGAAATTCATGACTTTAGGTTGATTCATCAGATACCAATTTTCTATTTTAGGTTTTCTCTGGTAATCAATCTTTTCCTTATACTGTGTGTGTGTGTGTGTGTGTGTGTGTGTGTGTGAGGGTTGGTGGGGGATCATGGGGTAGGGGAGCTAATTTAGTGTTCTTTTCTCATTTCTTAAGTTGGAGGCATAGCTAATTCATTTCTTTCAACCTTTTTTCTTTTCTAATGTAAATTTCAAAGCTATAAACTTCACTCTAATTACTAAATTAGCTGCATCCCACAAGTTTTTATATATAGCATTTTTGTTATCAATAATTTCTAAATTTTAATTTCATTATGATTTTTATTTGATGTATTTGAAGCTTTTATCATTGTGTTACAATCTTCCTTATATTAGTTAATGCTTTACCTTACCATGTACTTAATCTGATATTGATATAGTCTCACCAGCTTTTTATTGCTAGTATTTGCTTGGTATATCTTTTTTCATGTTTTTGCTTTCAATTTTTGTGGACTTACAAAAACCATTTAATTGGACTTTAAAAACCTAGCCTGGCATCTTTTCCTTTTAACTGGAACATTTATCAATTTATATTTATTGTGATGGCTGATAGGTTTATTTCTCTCATTTTATTTTGTACTTTTTATCTGTTCCACTCTTTCTTATTCTTTCTCCTTTCTTGCCATCTTTTGGATTGATTGAAGTGCTGTTAATATTATTATTGAGCTTTTCCTCTACTATTTTGAAAACTTTTATATGTTTATTCTTTTAGTGCTTATCCTAGATATTTTAATATGCAAACTTAATTTAACAGTGTCTAAAATTAATCAGTATCTTTATCTTCCTTACAAATGATTTAAGAACCTTAGAATGCTTTAAGTCTCACCACTCCTTTTCCAGCTAATATACTATTTTTGTCTAGTATTTTGAGTTATAGCTGTTTGTAACCTCATGATTTAGATATTATTTTTACTTTATTCAGTCAGTTTTTATTTAGATTTACCTACATACTTCCAATATAATATCTCATCATTCCTTCTTTGAGATCATTTTTATTCTGCCAAATGTACATTCTTTTAAATATCTGTTAATAAGAGTCATTTATCTGGAAATATACTTATTTCATCCTCATTCTCAAAAGATAATTTCTTGAGGTGTGGAAGTCAAATCATTCTCTTAGCACATTGAAGATATTATATTACTGTTTTCTGGCTTCTACTGTTACTGCTAAAAAGCCAGTCATTGGTCTAATTATCATTCCTTTGAATGTGATCTGTCTTTTCTCTTTGAAAGTATAAATATTTCTTACTTTAAAGTGCGTGAATCATAAATATACAGTCTACTAAATTTTTACAAAGTAAATGCACCCATGCAATCATCACCTGAATTTTTAAAAATGAAAACAAAACCTTACAGCACTCTAGAAGCCTCCCTTAGTCATTACCCATCTCCCTAAAGATAAATACTGCTTTCATATCTGTCTTCATAGATCAATTTTGCCTATTTCTGATCTGGCTGGTTTTTTTTTTTTTCCTTTTTGTCTTTTGTGTTTTACAGATTCACTCTGCTTTGTCTGGGTGAAGATTTCATTTGACATTCCTGCTTAGCATTTCCCAGAACTTCTGGAACTGAGTTTTGGTGTTCTTTAACAATTCTGGAAAACTGTTAACTCCTTCACCAGTGCCTCCTCCCCATTTCTTTTTTTTTTTTTTTTTTTTTTTTTTTGAGAAGGAATCTTGCTCTGTCACCAGGCTGAAATGCAGTGGCACCATCTTGGCTCATTGCAACCTCTGCCTCCCAGGTTCAAGCGATTCTCCTGCCTCAGCCTCCTGAGTAGCTGGGACTACAGGCATGTGCCACCACGCCCAGCTAATTTTTGTATTTTTAGTAGAGATGGGGTTTCAACATGTTGGCTAGGATGGTCTCAATCCCTTGACCTCGTGATCCACCTGCCTCAGCCTCCCAAAGTGCTGGGATTACAGGCATGAGCCACTGCACCCAGCCCTCCCCATTTCTTTATTATTCCAGTCAAGCCAATAAAAATTAGAATTTCTTACCTTATTCTTCAGATCTCATCCTTTATTTCATACTGTCTCAAATCTTTTGTTTCCCAGGGCTATGTTCTGAATCTTTCAATTCACCAATTTCTCCTTCAGCTGCATTGAATCTGTATACTATTTGAGTCTCCACTGAGTTTTTAACTTTAGTTATATTTTTAATTGAACTTCTATTTGTTCTTTTTAAAAACATGCTTGGTCATTTGTTATAGTCTCTTTTTCTTTGCTCATTATTTTCAAGGTTCCTTTTTATATCTGCAAGCATATTAAACACACTGATTTTATATTCTATGATAATGTTAATATCTGAAATATTTAGTGTTCTGATACTGCTGTTATTTCTGCTGGATTTCACTTATAGTACTTTGTTTCATATGTGTTTTATAATTTTTGATGATAACTTCATGTTTCTTGAGAATTCACCTGGGGAAATTATTTGAGGCCTCAGGCAAAATTGCATGCTTTCAGAGAAAATTTGTGTTGGTATCTGCTGGGCACTTTGGAGTTTTACCAACTGGATGCCATTTAAAATCAAATTTCCTGCCTGGGGATTTCAGTCACAAATTCAAATGAATGGTTATGATTCTCAGGGAAGATTTTTCCCACTCCTCCAAATATCAAGTTAAGACTTGTAAGTTTTCTCGCTGTTCCCTTCTGCATAGTGGGTTTATTTTAGTTTTAATACAGTTTTGTATTGTAGAATAGTTACAGATTTACAGGAAAGTTTCAGTTAAGTACAGAGAGTTCCATATACTTTGCATCTAGTTTCCTTTATTCATAACGTCTTATATTTGTATGGTACATTTGTCACAATTAACAAAGCAATATTGATAGATTATTATGAACTAAAGTCCACAATTTATTCATATTTCCTCAGTTTTTACCTAACATTCTTTTTCTGTCCCAGGATCTTATTTAGGAAACCATGCTACCTTTTATCAACATGTCTCCTTGGGCTTCTCTTGGCTGTGACAGTTTCTTAGACTTTCCTTGGTTTTGATAACCTTGATACTTTTGAAGAACACTGGTCAAGTATTTTGTAGAATATCCCTCTATTTGGATTTTCTCATTATTAAACTGGAGTGAGTTGGTAGGGGACATCATCAAGTGGTATTGTTTTTCATTTATTCTTTTACTGAAGAGACAACTCTCTGCAGTCTTAGCTTTATGCAATCTGTTTTATTAGCTTGCTCAAGCTGGATGGGCTTGTGGCTTTATCTCCTGATTTCTGAGCCCTCAGCAGCCACCAAGACAGAAGCTTAAAGTCCACAGGGTTTGGCAGACATGCCAAGGGCAGGAGCTGACCAAGGCTTTTGCTTATCTCCCAAGGCCTTGGCTTTCACTTCGGTTTGGCTTCTGCAGATCCTTACTTTCTTACTAGCTCAGCAATTCTTATAGGAAGGTGTTTCGACATAATTCATCCAGCTTTTTATGTTGCTTTCATTGGGATAGTTATTCAGAAGACCATCCTGCTGGAACATAAATTTGCTAGAAGAGTCTATGACCCTACTTAAAGCCTCAGCCTTGTATCTCAACACATCTCACTTTCCATGTATCTAATTCTGTGTACTGAACACCTGTCAGGGACCAAGTATCTTGTTAGGCCCTCGGATAACAAGTGTTCAGCCTCTGTCTTTTTGTCGTTAGGCTATAGAGACTAGCAGAAAAACAGCATGTGATGGAATGGCATGGTGGAGAAGCCAAGGGAATGGTGTGGTCTCTTCCTTGGAGAGTGAGGAAGAGAATGCTGACAGGAAATGTCAGGGCAGAAGGCCGGGATTGAGCCAGGGAAGCCTGACAAGCAACACTCAAAACGTTAGCTTTTATCCTTAGAGCACTGGAAAGCCACTGAAGGTGTTTTGACTCAGAAGTGTGATGGTGATGCATGGGGCTTTTGGGAAAGCCCTCTACTGATGCTAGCGAGGATGTGTCAGAACTTGGGTTGAAAGACTAGTGACAAGACTGTTACAGCAGTCCAGATGATACCGTGGAAAGGGGAAGCAATAGAATCTGAGGAATATTTAGGAAGTAGAAAGTATAGGACTTGGTGGTGGTTTGGATGTGCAGAATAAAAAATGGAGAGGATCAAGGGTCATGCTCAAGTCTCTGAAAAGAGTAACTGGAGGGATAGTGGAGCCATTCCTTGAGAATGGAACGCTGCAGATGGAAGGCACAGGTTTGTTACGAAAAGTCACTGCATTGAGCTTATAACATATTTACTTTAAGCCACCTTTGAACACCCAAAAAGAGTTGTCATATAGGCTGAGATAGAGTCCAGAGCTCAAAGACGAGGGCTGAGCTAGAGATATAAATGAATCCTGCTGGAGGTCCTAGGGCAGAGGGAGAGTGGTGGGGGAGAGGCTGTTGAGAGTCTGAGAAAAAGGCGGGGGAGGGAACAGGTCATTACTCACCCAGGGAGGGGATGCTGGGGTACAGGGATTCATGGGATTCTTCCTTGTGGGATTTCAAATGCTGAAAGAGGGTGCATTTTGTTCTGGAATGTATATAACATGATACAACTTACAAAGTCCCTTCTGGAATATGATCTTATTGAAAGCTGGCCTTTTTCCTCCTGTTTGGTTCCACTCCCTGCCTAGCTCTTTCTGCTCTATTCATGATATTCCTTCTGTTCCTCCAATGCATCATAAACTTTCTTGCCTCAGTACTGTGCCTTAGGAGACCAAGGCAGCAGCACATTAAAATAAATCCTCAGGCAGAGCTATGTTACCTGGATCTGATGCCAAACCCTGTGACTTTTCTATCACACCTCAGAGCACGCTCGAGCCATCTTCCCTTTAGCAAGGGGAGCTGGTCGATTGCTGGATTTAGACAACTGGTTCCTCCAGGGAGAGTTTGAGAATTGCTCGGAGCTGGGTAGGTGTGTGCTAGCATTGCCAAAATCGGAGTAAGGTAGGAAGGCAAGTAGGAGGCCCTGAGCTGAGCCTAGGGAGGGGGGGGTATGTATCTGAATGTGTGTGGGGAAGTGAGGAGGGTAGAAGTCACACAGGACAGACATCCAGGGGCCTCCAGAGACAAGTTTTGCCTCACTGATGCTTTTTCACTGACAGCACCAGGCCATCAGGCACATATGACATGAGACAGGTCCAGGACCTGAGATGCAGCTCCCACTTGGTGATGTAGGGCTCTTGACAGCAGGAAGGCCCAGGCTAAATGAACCTCTAGAAATGATTCCTGCTTTGAGTTCCAGTCCTGATGGAACCTTGTGATCTGCTCAAGCACTTGTATAAAAACTGATGGAAAGCCCTCAGAGCAGTTGCAGAAAGTGTATCTGTACTTCCCAGATGACATCCCTGTGGCTCACAAGGAAAGCCTGGGCAAGAAGTGGGCCCCGTGAATGTGGGGCAAAATGCTTGACCCCAGCCTCTCCTCCCCATCCTCATGTGACCTGCCATTCTGGCTCACCTCAAAGTCTAGACTAGTCTATTCATCCAACAGACATCTACTGAGCACCTATTACATGCCAGGCACTATGGGATACAAAGATGATTCAAACGTGAGTCTTTCCTTCTAGGAGACGAGAAAAGGAGATGAGATGAGCCCCAAAATAGTAACAGAGCAGAATGTAGGGGGTTCAGAGAGCTCCAAAGAAGTTTAAGGAAACTGTGGATCCTCTGGCCCTCTCTTTCTTCCTTGTTCAACAAGTATGTATAGGTAACCCACCTAGCCCAAGCACTACCATTCCTGTGGGCTGCCTGAGACAGGAAGACCTGCTTTTCCATGTGAGCTCCCCAGCTTCACTCCTGGCCTCCCTGTCCAGTGGGACAGGATCTCCTAACTTTCAAAGGCCTCCCTAACACCTGGGGCCTAGGTTTGGGATGGCAGCAGAGGCTTTGGACTCAGACTGGCCCATATTTGCACCCTGGCTTTGGCACGCATGGTCTTGAGTGAACCTCTTTGAGATTCAGTGGCCTCACTGAAAAATAGGGATAATAATAGCACTGCACAGGCTCTGCATGTCAAATGAATAAATACATATGGAGATTGTGTTGCAGAGTAGATGTCCAGTCCATGCCAGTTTCCTTTCCCTTCCTCAGGGCTCTAAGCTTCCTGGGCTTCATCTATACTTCTGCCAGCTAAATCAACCTTCACTTTCAGGCCTGAAAAGCTGTGGGGGACAAGGGCTTATAGGATTTCAGAAAGGGAAGGAAACAACCAGCCTCTACATCCTCTCTCAGACCTCCTCCAAGAGGCCTGCCACTCACTGGCAACCTGAGCCCCATGCCAGTATGGGGCTCACCAAGCACAACTGGCTACATGAGGTTTATCAGAGGCAAGATTGACCTTGGGTAAAATGACCGAGTAGGGAGCATTGTGCCCCATCTCTCTC
The DNA here is from genome assembly GCF_000001405.40 of Homo sapiens. Classification (NCBI taxonomy): domain Eukaryota; kingdom Metazoa; phylum Chordata; class Mammalia; order Primates; family Hominidae; genus Homo; species Homo sapiens. The sequence goes on along the minus strand of NC_000001.11, from coordinate 112,067,838 downwards.
CTCTGGTTCCCATGCCAAGGTTTTTTGTTCTCCTCTTCCTTGGGATCAGGACATGATTCAGATGCTTATTTAACCTTGAGGACTAACTGACAGAAAAGTTTAATTTGTTCCTTCACCCAAGGGCACTTCCATTCAGTAGAGCCAACCATCCTAAGGTCAAGTAAGCTCTAGTGTGGACTCTAAGATGTTTGAACTGAAAGAGTATTTGAGAGTGGGAGGAGGGCAGAGGGCCATCAGGGTCTCCTGAGAGCCCCTTGGGCTAGGGACATGTCCTACACCTTGAAAGGGGCTGCAGAGTGTATCCTGACCTCTGATTAACAGCTCCTCCTTTAGGTATAATTCTCACCTTGTGGCAGCCAGAGAAGGGGCCTCGCAGACCTCCTTCTACAGAAAGAGCAGTTGACAGGGTCCCAGCCACTGCACTCAGGAATTGACAGCCACTTCTGCATTGAGGCCATGCTTTCCACAGTCTGCTCCTGCCCAGCGATAAGCCACAGCAGGGATACTGAGGTAGACCCAGCCCTGGGAGACAGGTGTCTCCTTTATTGGCTTACTTTGGCTCAAGCACTTCCCAATGGCTTTAGACTGCCTGGCAGTCCAGGACACTTTCACCTCATTTTCTCTCCCTCTCTCCTTTACTCTGGGTCAGATTTGCATTGGTCTGACATATCTCCCCGGTTCCTCGACTCCCCCAACATCACCACCACTTTCTTTTTTTCTTTCACACAGGTGTTTTCCCTAACAGGATCCTTGCACCTTGAATCTTGGGGAACCTGAACTTAGGCACACCTCCATGCCCCTCTGTCAGCAATGCCGCTAATGCCATGGGTGTCTAAACCTACCCGCCTTTAAATGTGCTTCCTTTCCAGTAATGAGGCCTGGGGAAGGCTTTGGCCAAGTGTAACTAGGAGGTAATGCCGTCTAGTGTGTTTGTAGGAGTCTTGGCCAAAAGACAGATACAGTAGAAGAAAATATATCCAGCATGGGTAGACCTCACCTGCTTTCGATAAATGATATTTCAGCAGTTAAGAATGTTGACTCTTATAGAACAAAATGCTCTAAAAACCCAAAGAAAAACAAAACCCAATATATTTTATCCATGAGGTAAAGTATTTAAGATGTGACATAAAGTGTGATAGGAAAGAAAATAACTTGATAAGTGTATGTGCTTCGTAGAACCTATTGTACAATAGAAATACATCATGTAAATTGAGTGAACATCTTTTGAGAACAGTTTCATGCTGCTGGTTGCTAATTCTCCAGACAGGCTTCCTATTATGTATGTTTCAGAGGGAGCCAGAGGCTGAGTCCAGAAGCAGCCGGAAAGTTGACATGGGTGAAAGTTAAGCTCTTCTGAAAAGGAAGCCAGAGATGATCTGAAGGCGTGAGCCTTGGGAGTTTGGCTGAATCTAGAGCGGCCTCTGGACATAGAGTGAGCAGCCCCAGCAGCCATTCCTCTGGCTCCTGTGTCATGCGGAGCAGCTGGCAGATGCGTAGGTGCAGCCAGAAGCTAGGCATTAAAGACTAAGCTTGAAGACCATCTCCTTCTTGAATTCCCCCTGATTTTCCAGCTAGAAGGTGCTCCAAGTTGTTCCAGCTCACTTTGCCTGTGCCTTGTACAACATGGTCCACTCTCTTCCTTGTATTGTGGCTCTTTGTATCTGGCTTTTCTCTGATGCTCAACTCTTAACTCCTTGAAAGCCAGGACTATACACAGCCTGTCACTTAAGGCTTAGCAAGGTGATTACTTTGGAGCAGCTCAAAGCAGAGAGGAAGTCAGATTGGCAAGAAAAACCCACCACACAAAGCAAGATCTCCCTGAAAGGTCTCTGTGGATTTGTACTTGCAGGCACTGACCCTTGCTCTAAATTTCTGAGACCAGGCATAAACTTGAATATCATGAATAAGAATGCTATTTGATTTTATGAGCTATATTTTGTTCTTCCAACTTTGTGCTGTAATTAATTGTCTGGTAAGTCCATGGATGGGGACGACATTCAGATGCGTTTAGACTAATAAATTGTTGTTGTTTGCAAATGATACAGTTGCTTCTGGCTTAATCAGTGGATCCTAATAGACTTTTATGATGGGCATTTGATTTTTCAGCAGGGAAGGTGGTGCTGACATCCTTCCTTTTGTTTTTGCTTTTGTTCCTGGAGGCTTCCTGACCTTGGTACCAAAGCTCAGGAAGCTCACTGACAAAGTCTGGCATTGGGTAATTGTTGGAAAATCTGCCCTCCAGCTAGCACCCTGTACTTGGAACTGAAGGGAATCCTAGGAAAATGTACTCCCTCCCTTTTTCCTATCACAACCTGGATGTACAGATGGTGACGTGCTATCTGTGCTTCTAAATGTTGAGATTCCATCAAGAACTTTAATACAAGAACCTATTACTTTATGAAATAGGACTGCCCTAAAAAGTCACATATAAATCTGATTGTGTTCAAGGGGAGAGATGGGCAGATTGAGTCAAATTGGATTTTAAATGTATTAGAGACTCTGAATGTTTGAGAGAACACTGGGTGATGCTTAGAAGAGTGAAGAATTTTATGAAGAGAAAATAACCAACCCTAAACATTCTGCTTGGCTCATATATTCATCCATTTCATCAAAAAAATTGCCTTATTGGGCACCTACTGTGTGTTCGACATTATTCTAGTGACTGGTGATACAAAGATAAATAAGCCACCTGCTGTGCTTTTGAAGGCAAGGGATGTGCTCAGGACTCAGTTGGGCAAAGACTCAGTTGAGTCCCAGAACGCCTACATTAATAGCACGTGAAGATGTCCATCAGAAGAGACAAAGACCCTGCCCTTGAGATTGACCGGTTGTTTCCTTGCCTGGAATGCGCACATTCATGAGTCCCTGAGCTAGCAATGCCTGCTCCTGGGCTCTTAGCAACTGTGTCCCTCTCTTTCTGTTAACATCCCCTTGCCTTTAGGATAACAATGACATAAGAAACACACAGAGGAGTATTAGTGAACCTCTGATGGAGGAGAGGAAACCACTGTGGCATTATTGAGTGGAAAGTTATTCCAAGCACCAGGGGTGGGAAGAGCTTGCCTTCTTTTCAAAGGCATAGTCTTTCCTTTCATCCCCAGAAGAAGCTTGTCTCTCTCTTCCTCAGCTGCCTTCTATCCCCTTCTTCCTGCTGCCTCCAACCTGTGGCTCCAGGAAAATCAAGTGTCTCTAAGGTCAATTGCCCATGGCTGTGGAGAAACCTTATTAAAGTGATATTTTCTCTGGATTACAGCTGGCGCAGGGGCGGGAGGCCGCTTTACATATGTTGGCCTGGCAGTACACAGGAAATGGCTGTGTTAAGCTGTAACAACAGCACTCCATGCCACCAGGCAGCAAATTTCGGTTCTGCTTTAATTTCTAATGAATGGCCATGCCTACACTGCATCCATCAGCAGGAGACGATTCCTCTGCGTTAACAGCCTTGTTTAGTGGCTGCCTCCCTGCTTATCACACCTCAGCCTGATTAAATTGTTATATAAAGAGAAATGCTTTTGTAATAAATATCTGTCGGGAATTTCAGTCAGGTTCCAGGACCACCATTGCTGAGTCATGGTTCTTTTCTTTTCAATTAATGAGGCTTTCATAGGTGCTGGCAGGGGTGACTTCAGAGGGAACAGCAGATTGGTTTCAGGGGCACAGAGAGGAGGAATGAGTAGAAATGTAAAGAACTGCCTGGCCGGGCGATTTCCAGGAGTAGCTAGAACTCTGGGAACCAGTCAGAGTTCCCAAGGTCTCTCCAGGACTTTGTGGGTGACATTCCTCCCCCAGGTTAAGAAGGCGGAAAGAATGAGGCATGCTGGGGCCCTGCTGGGCTCACCGTGTCCTCTGCAGTCTGGCCACTTCACTGGCCAAATCAGATATGGTACATCCAGAAGGAGGGGAGGGCCAAGGGGAGGGAGCACAGTGCTGCGTGTCTACAGGATTCTGAGGTCTGTGTAAGCATGGATTAAGTGTTTACTGTGTGAAGTTCTCTTCTAGGAACTCTCTATGCCTTAGCCCAGGGGTCCCCATCCCCCTGGGCTGGAGACTGGTAAGAAGTAAAGTTAGGAACCTGGCCACACAGCAGGAGGTGAGTGGTGGGCCAGCCAGCATCACCGCCTGAGCTCGGCCCCTTGTCAGATCAGTGGGGGCATTCGATTCTCACAGGAGGGGGAACCCTGTTGTGAGCTGTGCATGCGAGGGATCCAGGTTGCAAGCTCCTTATGAGAATCTAATGCCTGATGATCTGAGGTGGAACAGTTTCATCCTGAAACCATTTCCTCCCTCTAACCCCCACCATCCATGGAAAAATCTCTTCCATGAAACTGGTCCCTCCTGCCAAAAAGGCTGGGGACCCATGAAATCTGCACAAGGAACCAATGAGGTCACCATTATTATCTCTATTGTATGCATGTGCAAACAGGGAAGCAACAAGGAACTGAAATGAGTTGATCAGTTCACATAGCTAAGTAGGTGGGAGAGCCAGGATTTGCCCCAGCATCTGCTCCAGAACCTTGCCCTGAGGCTCCATTTGATACTTCCAAGCTCTGTGAGGTAGGGAACACATTGGAGCATCTGCCTACTCAGCTGTGTACCACACATGTTAGGCAGTGTTGGAAGCAGAAGATAATTAGATGTGGGTCTTGCCCCACAGGAATTTGTGATACAACTGGGGCAGAAAAAACACACCTACAAAATGGCTAAAAATAAAAATAAAAAAGTTCACATTAGCAGATATGCAAGCAACCAAAAAAAGAAAGTATACACATGTATAATCACCTTTGAACTCAGAAAGCAAAAAGGCACCAGCGTCTGCACTCTGGGCCTTAATCATTACGTTTGAGAAACCTGTAGTTAGCTTGATATCTAAAAATGTTAAATATTTTTTAAAAACTTTTCTCTTTCTGCTTTTTTTGGATCGATCATATATATTTTTACTTTTTATGTTATATATATTTTTCTCAGTCAGCTTTTAAAAAATACATTCTTTTAATGGTTACCATCAACATTTCATATCTTCTATATTTTGTTTTGTGAGCATATTAAGTTTGGCTTTATAAGGAATTCGTTTATTTCATCTAATTTGTTGTATTTTCTTCTAAAAAGATAGGTGACTTCTCCTCTCTTCTAACACCAGTCAATGCAACTTTAGGATCTTTGAAAACATTTTATAAGCTTTGATTACTAGAGTAATTACAAAATAAAATGTATTTATTAAACAAAATATTTTGACAAAACAAAAAGAAAGCTGTAGTTAGAACTGTGGTGAGGGAAGAAGATTTGCACCAACTTTGTGATCAGAATGGATGCACAGCTAATCTTCCTGGGTATGGTGACTGTTTGGTTAAACCCTGAAGACAATTGTGGATTTGAATGGAAGTAAGAAAAAGAAGGGCAAGTGCATTGTCAACTCCGTCCATCCTCTCCAAGGAGCCAAGGGGAAGTAGCTGTGTGGATCAGGCCCACTAAGCTGCAGTTGTCCATGCCTGGTGGAGGCTCTGTTGGCAGTGTTGGTGACAAGGCTGTGGAAGAAGGGGGAGGGACACCACCTGGCTGTTCATCGGCTGTGATGGACGTCAAGTTGATGCATGTTTGGTTCTGATCATGTGGAACAGAAGCTGAGCATTTTGACTCAGTATGAATTGCTCTATGACTACAGAACAGGGAAAGGGAGAAATGAATAAACTTTCCAAGAAACTAATTAACCCACAGACTGTTCATACTGTCATTCTAATCCAGACAGAAAGCGATAATGGACACATAGTTCAGAGATAGCTCATCAGCACACAAAGTAGACCAGTTTAATCATCTTTCTCTGGCAGATAATGAAGCCATTTCATTTTATTTTGGTTTACATCATGTCGGGCTCCCCAGGCCCAGTGAGTAAAGGGATGGCATTTTTCCAGGGAGACAGAGAGAGAGAGAGAGAGAGAGAGAGAGAAAGAGATCATTGATCTCTGGAAGCAAGGAGACTTCTCACCAAACCTAGCCTTCATCATCATGGTATAAAAATTCTGTGGTGAGAAATGCATTGTGGGAATGGGGGAAGGGAGTGGGTTTACAGAATTTTCAAAAGGCAAAGAGGCCAGTGTGGTGGTGCATGCCTATAGTCTCAGCTACTGGGAGGGTCACTTGAGCCCAGGAGTTCGAGGCTGTAGTGCACTATGATTGTACCTGTGAATAGCTACTGCACTGAGCAAAGGCAAAGAGAAGCTCAGACTAAAGAGCAGTCCATGGCCTTGCATAGCAATTAGTAAGAAAGATGACCAATTAGTAAGAAAGAGATGACCTGCTTTGTCATTGAATTATAACCTCAGTGTCACCTTGAATGCCCTGGCTCAACCACCGAAGCCATTGTGGATTTGGGGAGGCAGCAGCCTTCTGCCAGGGAAGATAAGTGGCCCTGTCTGTCCTTCAAGAGGGGCACCCAAGGCACAGAGTTTGGGGCCTGGACCCATGATTCTCTCACTTTCCCTGGCCCTAGCACTGGAACAGCCCCGGGCATCCATGCTCAGCTTTATCTCCCACATATCCGGCCACCAAGCTCTGCCATGTATCCCTTCTTGCCCAGGCATGCCGCCACTGCAGAGTAGCTCTGCAACTTCCCAGCTCTGAGCTTCAGTTGCTTATCCAGAAAATGGAGACACGAAAACCTGTCTCACAGGTTGTTGAAAGTATTCCAGGAGATACAGTGCCCAACATGCTTTGTAGGGGGCCCAAGATGAGTGTTCAGGAAGGTCTGGGTATTAAAGCAATGTCCTTCATTATGCCCGGTAACATATGCCTCCCATCTACATCTCTTCCTGCAGACTCTCTGATGCCAATGCCCAACTGGCCCTCTGAAATCCCTACTTTTGTCATTTATGCATAAGTAGCCACAGCCCCTACTGAATGCCTGTGGGATCAAGTCCAAACTTCCCAGCCCGGCCTTCAAAGCGCTTCTTCCACAGCTTCCACCTCATCTTGCCAGCTTCGTCTCTCATAAGCACACAATTTGAGGCTCTTGCCCTTATCATCCTGGACTTTTTACTGTTATTTCCTTATGCCAACATATTCTTGCATTTTAGAAGAAGAAAGTAATTAACACAGTAGGCACTCAATTTTTATTGGACACATGGATAATAATAATGAAAAGAATAGATAAGCTTTGTATTTGACTTTAAGATAATATACGAATATCTCTATAAAAATATCATACCTAGTTGAAAGAATGGGTTCAATTTAACATTGACTGAGCATCTACCCAGTGCCAGTTACTGTACTAGACAGAATATGAATCTAAAATAGGACATCAGGTATTGTGGCAGGCTGGGCTGGAAGATGCTTCCTTTTGGTGTCTCACATAATTTCCCATGCATGAAACCATCTTCTGGTCCCGTGGGTTTGGCTAGGTCTACTTGTTCATACAAAACACAGATGCCAAGACACACACCATTGCACATGGACACCTAAATGCACACAGTTAATGTAGCAGAAATACTCAACAGGGGTATGCAGATTCCATGTGGCCTGTCCTACAGGCAGGATTACAACTCCTCAAAGCTTTGACTCTGTTACCCTTCACAGGTTACTGGGCAGCATGCAATGAAACACACAGTTGCTTTTTGTTTGCCTCGATTCCTTGGCTGTTGGACCCCACTCCCTCATGGCCATCGGGCTGTGTTCCTCTCAGCTCAGACCCCTCCTTCCTAATCCCTTCCCCCAGGTCTCTAGCATTTTCGTCCTGTCATCTCCAACAGTCCAGGTTAGGAAGGAGCTAGGGTTGGCATTCACAGCACCAGTTTCTACCTGGCAGCACTAGTTCCAGTTGAGTATCTGTCAGGTACTGTCTGAGTGCTGTGCATGGGGCAGCCCAACCTTTGGCAATTTGAGGAGGTGGCAAGAATGAACTACAGTTGGCCGGCCTTTGATGCAGCAGCTCTCCACTTGCTAGGGAGCGCCAGTGTGAGGGTTAGGGGAGAGAAGGCTGCAGCCCCAGCACCCGTCCCAGGAGTGGTTCTGCGGAGTGCCACACATGGTAACCCTCCACCACTATGAAGCGAAGGGTCAAGACTGCTGCCTTAAGCAAGCTGGGGAACCGAGATGCCTGGCATGGAGCCAGACTCCAGGGTGAACTTGGGCCTATCAGTTAACCTCTCTGAGCTTCTGTTGTGTCATCTGTAAAGTTAAAATAATTACTTCACAAGGCTGCTGTGAGGAAGTGCAGGTAAAAAGCCAGAGCCCAGCACTTGGCACCCAACTGACGCTCAAAAGTGTTTGCTTGTACCTTTCATAATCCTTGCCCTGCCCACATCATGGGATTGTTGGAAGGATCAAAAAAGTGCTTTGTGAACGGCAAGGTATATACAAATGGGAAGTACTGAAATGTTAGAACAGGGGTCTGCAAATTTTTTCTATGAAAAACCAGATAGTAACTATTTTAGGCTTTGTGGGCCATATATTCTGTTGCAACTACTGAATTCTGCCAGTGTAGCAGGAAAGCAGCCATAGACAATAGGTACATAGACAAGAGTGACTGCACCAGTAAAACTTGATGTATAAACACAGGAAGCATGCCTGCATTAGCCTATGGGCCATAGTCTGCCGCCCCCTGTGTTAGAAGTTGGGAGTAGGGCATGGATGTACTGGGAACTCCAGTCCTCATAAGCCCCACGTCCCAGCAGGAAACTTGTAACTGAGAAAAGAGTGTAAGAGTTGCCTCCTACCCACTTGCCAGCATTTTGTGAGTCTACAGAGCTGACCTGGGAAGGATTCGACCAGGGTCAAAAAGTTCAGTCACTTGCCCAGGCAGGAACCACATGGGATGACACAGCCAAATGCCCACAGAGTAAGGCGGGTAATAAAAATGACTGACGGCTCTGGGTGCAGCCCCGGTCTATCTTTTATTTTCCCACTTTTAATTGAGGTATGTGGAGAAGTATTCCTCTGCCATAAGAAAACAGCAGTGTAAACACGATAATAAATAGCAAGTAATACTCAAAGTCAGAGAGTAATAGAGAGTGGTGAAGACTGAGGTGAATGGGACAGATGTCAAGGGGCATGGGGAGCTGCTACTCAACTCCCACTGAATGCTGCCAACTGGGAATTAGGGACAAATGTTAACCTATCTTCCACTTTTAAAGACAAACTGTAAACTCAGATTTTCTTGCAAAATATCTTGATGGTCTTAAATATTGGATCAATTCAAACAAACAAACATTATACAGGCCAAAGAAAACAGATCTAGAACATCTAGGGAGATCATGTTATACATCGAAGCCTCCAGACCCCTAGAAACAAAAGCTTCGAGGCCTGTTCTGGAGAATGCAGGGCTGTGCAAGGAAAGGTTTCTTGGGGAAAAGCCTGGGAGTTTTCTATATCTAGGGTTTCTTAAACTCAGCACTGATAATTCTCCGTTGTGGGGGACTGTCCTCTGCATTGTAGGGTGTTTAGCAGTATCCCAGGCCTCTACCCACTAATGCCAGTGGCACCTCCCTCCCCAAGGCAACCAAAAGTGTCTCCAGACGTTGCCTAATGTCCCCTGAGGGGCAAAATCCCCTGAGTTGAGAACCACTGGGTTAACCCTTCCAGGGACAGAGGCAGGAGGCCATGAGAGGACAGCCCTGAGATGCAGCGGCCAAGTGATTGCACTTCAGCAGCCGATTAGTGGGCAAATGCTTTTAAATTAGCAAATTTTAATTTAGACCTAAACCTCCATTACTGCTCAAGGCTTAAGGAAAATTGGTGACCATTTAAAATTACTAATTGAAGCCTGTGGGGAGTCAGTGGAGGGTGAAAAGCAGAAATGGTCTGGATAATGAAGCGGGCTGGAAGATCAGGGTGGAGGGGCAAGAAAGGTGGGGCAACAGCTGGCGACAGACTGACGAGGAGCTGCGGCTGGCTGGGAATCAGGAGACTTGTCAGGGATCCTGGCTGCCATGCCCTGGAAACAGCTTGGCAGCAGCAGCAACACCAAAGGACCTGAGGGGAGATGAGTATCCAGGGCTTTGAAGGTAATCCCAGCGGTCTGGAGCTGGAGCCCAACCCATTTCCATGGGGAACCTGCTATGGCAGGGACAGAGGCAGGAGAACAAGTCCTCAAATAGGGAGGCCAGTGGGCATTTTCCTAAAGTATTAAAGCACTTTGGTGCTGTGCTTTACAAAACTGTTTGAGTGGCTGAATTGATTCTTCTCTCTCATTAGACTCAGAAAACCTCAGAAAAAAAATAAATGCAGATTTCTCCTCAGACTGATGGCTAAAGATCTAAATGTCTTCAGAGTTCAGCTCCGCCTTCAGGCACTGGAGGCCTGAAAAACATGGAGGAAGAGATGCAGGGATTTGAGAGAGAGATGCTCCTGGTGGAGGTGGTGAGGGGCCTGAAGGCAGTGGCAGGAGCGTCTTGGAGAAGGAGGATGGGGCTGAGGAGGGCCCTCAGGAAGAAAAAGTAAGGGCTGAGGGAAGTCAATAGTCAGTCAGGTGGGGACACTTGGGGCTCTGGATGTCAGGCAGGAGTTGGAGGAGGACATCCTGATAGAAGAAGCTGTGGTCTCAAGCTTCCTCTTGTTTTGATCTTAAGTGAACCCCCAGTAAATCAAGGTTTCTCTATTTTAGTTTGTTGCATGGATCTTAAAGTCAAAAGGATACAGCTGAAGCCAGAAACATCCCTGAGGTCCTTGCTGCTGGCCACCAAGGGCCTCCCGGGGAGAGGGGAGGTGGGGACTAGTCTCAGGCCTGGCCGTGTTCTGGGGCCTCTGCTGCCTGCAGTCTGGGGTAGATGAAAGCCCACCTTCTAGCCCTCTAATCAAGCAGGGCAGTAACCAGCACTCCCACTTTTGGATTAAAAAAATGGAGACATGGAGAAGTAGTGACTCACTCAAGGCCACCCAGCCAGGAAGTTGCAGGTCAAGGTAGGCACCCAGGGCTCGCATTCTTAGTTCAGGGTCCTTTGCACATTCCACATTGCTGGTTTTAAGAAAGAAGGGCCTGTGGATGCAGAGTTAAATGAGAAGAGAAAGCCTGAGTTCAGGATTACCTGTGGGGAGTGGCTTGGACTGTATTGGGGTCTCTCTGGTTTGCCTGGTACACTTAGCAAGAGAACACAAGCACTGCTCTGAATGTGAACTGACAAGCCCTGCACCCACCACCCACCCACCTCAGCCTCCACCACACACTCACTGACCTTATTTCCCTTTGACAAGGCACGCATGGTCTTCAATAATGCAGGCCCCCACCTAACACAGAAGATGCCTGTCACCCAAAAATAACTTGAAAAGCAGACAGAGGCAAGCAGATAAGCATTCAAAATCATTTATTTATAGCACAGAACACAAAGCCGTCAAAGAGACTTCAGGCAAGCGACAGCCACAGCACCCTTTGCAGGGCAGCTGAGGGAAAATGTGTCTCCAGATCTGGCCTGCCCAGGGTGGGTATGCTGAGAAGTGGAGGACGGAGCAAAGTATAAGGGTGAGGAGGGGAGAGAAGGAGCAAACACCAAGACCTCAGCCGAGTAGTAGATTCGAGAGCCTCAGCAGGAGATTTTTGGGAGACACAGAGATCCCCATCACTAGGGGGTTTATGCAGAAGCTGGGACCCCATAGGCTGTGTTGGTAGAATTTCTGCATGGGTTTGGAGATTTGGGAGGATCAGTGCTTTGTAACTCTGGTTATAGCTGAGAAAGACAACTTTTTGCTGGCTCATGCTCCATTCCTTCTGGGGAAAGTGGCACCTGTGGCTCTGTAACCCTCGGGTCCATGGCGTGGAAGTCAGTCTACATTCTAGATCAGACACTGCACTGACAACCTGTAAGTCCCCTTTCGACTCTGAGAATCTGCAATTCTGGAATGTTCTAGCCTAGTGCCACAGTCTTTAGAAAAGAAACATCAAAAAATTGTGTCACATAAACAATTACTTCTGCGGAACAAAAGGGATGAGAATCTAGAGAATTTCAGACTTATAGAACAGAATTATTTCTGCAGAAATTTCAATAATAAAGGTGCTTGTATAGCTTTATGTGTGTATTTTGTTATTGAAAGCCAAAGGTACACACTGATCAAAACTGACAACTTCAAACTTAAATGTCACTGAATCCTGAACAAAACATACATCCAGACCCAAGTCAACAAGATTCTATCTAGACCATCAAAGGAAATGGCAGCCTGGCTCCCAGCCACAGATGGTCAGCAGATGCTTGCCAGGCCATGAACTGGCTAGCCACTGAGGCAGAACAGCTCTACGATTCTGCACCATTCACCACCAATTTCTTCCCTCACTTAAGATGTCACTAGTCATGTTGCTCCTGAGGGCAATTGAGGTAAAACCAATAGTGGCCTGTGAAAGCAAATTGTAATCCCTCATTGATCAATTATGTGACATCTAACTCAACCCATGAAAACTTGCAGTGGGAGAGCCAGAACTCTGCAAGGGTGAGCACTGAATTTTTGCCTTGGCCTGCCTGCAGCAAGTCTATGTCAAGGATTCTCTGTATGCCAGGAAATCAGCGGGAGTAAAAGACAGACTTTTTCTCAAGGAATTGAAATCTCCTTGGGGAAGAAAGATGATTAGGTTACTCCTTTCTCCCTGCATTAAAAAAATAAATTTATTTTGAAATAACTTCTAACTTACTGCAAAGTTGTAAGTATGTAGGTACAGTGCCATATCCCATCACCCAGATTCCCTCATTGTTATTAGCTCTCTGCATTTTCTTTATGCATGTGTGTGTGCTGATTTATTTACCTGTGTTTATCTATACCCATTACCACCAGTCATTTTCTAAACCATTTGAAACAGCTGTAGACATGATGTCCTATCACTCCTAAATACCCCAATGTGTGTTTCCTCCAAACAAGGACCTTCTCCACATAACCACCACACAACCCCACCAATCAGAAAGTCAACATTGGTACAATACCACCACTCAATCCTCAGACTCTATTCAGCAATGGCTCTTTCTTTTTGGGTCCAGGATGCTGTCAAGGAGCATGTGTTGCATGTGGTTTTCATGTCTCTTTAGTTTCCTCCATCTGGAAGAGTTCTTTCATGTCCTCAGCCACTTTCAAGAGGACAGGTCTTACATTCTCTAGGATGTCTCTTAGCATAGGCAGTCTCATGTTTCATCTTGGCAGAGTCAGGCAGGATTTCCTGGCAGGAATACTGCAGAAGTGACACCATGCTCCTCTCAGTGTGTCACCCTGGGAGCACAGGATGTTGACCTGTTTCAACATCAGTTGACTCCCTAGTCATGTCATTAAGTTTTCCATCTTAAAGTCACCACTTTCCTTTTATAATTTGTTAGTATTACATATAGCGCCAATATCGTATTCCTCATCTAACCTCTACCCACCAGCCTTGGCCTCCATCGATGACTGATCAACTATCACTCTGGTGGTTGCCAAATGGTAATATTTTATTTCCATGATTTCATACTCATTTATTTGACATTCTACTTTAAAAAGCTTTTTCTTCTCATTTATCTATTTATTCTATCAGTGTGGACTTATGGAGTCCTATTTTGTTCAATAGGGACGTTTTGATGCTCAAATTATCCCAGATTTAGCCGGCGAGAACCCCTTCAAGGTAGCTCCTGTGTCCTTTTGATGTGTCCCGATCACTCCTTCAGCATTTTTGCTTTCTAGCACAAAAGATACTCCAGAATCATCCTGTACTTATCCCATCCCAGCCTGGAATCAATTGTTTCTCTAAAAGGTACTAGTTCCTTTCAGTGGTGGATGGTACTGAACGACCATGATCGGAACATGCGGTGTGCCCTTTGTGTTGTGATTTCATTGCTTCTAGGCCTGTGCAGCAGACAGAGCTAGGAAACACATGTATGTATATATGAACACACATACACACATTTGTACTATTTGTATATTTGCGTATAGAAACCACAAGTTCATACTGAGTCCTCCAATTCCAATCCAACTCTTTAGGGTTCTTTCTAGCCTCTCCTCTTTTCATGTTTGTTAGTACCATTTCCCAAAATGGGAAATCTGGTTCTCATTATTCTTAATATACATACTTATTTGTTCAATCCATTTACTTATTAGCTAAGGTAGCCCATCTCCCACACATGCAGGCCATCTCCTCTATCTGCTTCCTGCACCCACCCTACATCCTTGGGTGCCAGATGGAACTGTCCGATATGCCTTTTCATGGCTCCCCTCTTTTCGTTCCCCCCCCATAGCACTGTGTGACAGGCCTGCTGCTGGCTGTTTTGTGCTGAGAAGGGAAACGACAATGGGGAAGGAAGGGAAGATGAGAAGGGTTGATTATGCCTTTAAACGTGCTTAGTACTTGAGCTTGAAAAGCCTTGTAAATTTTACTGTTATTATAACACCCTTTTGTATACATCACCTACCACATTTTATAGATGAGGAAGCAAAAACAAATCTCAAAGATTAAATAACTTACCCCAAAATTACACAAATCATAGGTGACTGAACCCAAACTAAAACCAGGAACTCTTATTTCTCAAAAAAAAAATTCAACTTTTATTTCAGATTCAGAGGTACATGTGCAGGTTGTTACATGGGTATATTGTGTGATGCTGACGGTTGGGGTGCAAGCCTACGTAGTGAGCATAGTGCCCAATAGCTAGTTTTTTAACCCTTGCTCCCCACCTCTTTTCCTCCTGTGGTAGTCCTCAGTGCCCATTAAGGAACTCTGATTTCTTACCCAGAATTCATTCCACCATGTAATAGAAGAGGCGATGACACACATCATGCTTCCTCTCAAGTCCTAGAGCATGTGGAATAAATTTGTATCTGTCACCTCTTCCACAATATAGATTGTCTATTTCATTGATTTGGCTTTTTGCCAATATGATATGGCAAAGGTGATGAGATGTCACTCCCATGATTACATAGTTTTGTTATATAGGACTCTGTCTTAGCAGGCTGGAGAAAGAGAGTCTCCTGCTGGCCTGAGGGAAGGAAGCCACCTCGATGTGAGGGTCTGTGAGAGGCCACGTGGCAGGGAGCTGCAGGCAACCTCTAGGAACTGCGAGCAGGCCCTGAATAACAGCCAGGAAGAAAATGTAGACTTCAGTCTCATCTGCAAGGAACTGAAATCTGCCACATGAGCTTGGAAGAGGACCCCAAGCTTCCCAGTGGAGTACAGCCCAGCTAGTACCTCAATTGCAGCCTTGTGAGTCCCTGAGCAGAAAACTCATGTAATCGATGCCTGATTCCATGCCCACAGAAACTGAACTAATAAATATATGTTGTTTTAGGTTGCTCATTTTGTTATGCAGCAATAAAAAGTGAATATACTCACTACTTCTCACTGGATGTTAATGATAAGATACAATTATGTATTTTATGGTTTCAGTGATGAGATTATGTGGATTTATGCATACTTTGATGTATAAACTTGTTCCAAATGTATCTGCTAGGTGAGAATATTAATTTCTTTGACTAGCTGTGTCAACGTCACTGTCAGGGAAAAATCACTAGACTTTACAGTTTAATCACTCAACAGTGCTTATCATATGCAATCCATGTATTGGAAAGGTAGTATATACAGTAGTTTAGAGCACGAATTGTGGAATCAGGCAGCATGGGTTCAAATCCCAGCTTAGCTACTTTTTGCTTATGTTCTGGTTATCTATTGCTATATAGAAAACCACCCTAAAACCTAATAACATCAAAGAACAGCTAGTTTATTTTATTAAAATTCTATGGGCCAGAATTGGGTAGGGTTCAGCTTGGAGTTTATTCTGTTCTAGGAGGTGTCAGGTGGGGTCATTCAGGCACCTCAGCTCCTCCACGTGTCATCTCTGTCTGTGTGTTGTAAGCCTGGGCTTCCTAGGGGCATGGTGGTCAGAATTCTAACATGGTAGCTGGCTTCTACCAGGGAATGCTCCTAGAGGTCAGAAGTAAAAGCTACAGATCTCTTAAAGCAGCCTGGCCTTAAAGATTACATAGCACCCCTTGCATCTTATTGTATTGATCAAAGCCAGTCACAGCATTTGAGGGAGGTTGGAGGGCAGGGGCAGATAGGCCCTACCTTTCCATAGGGTGAGTGGCAAAGAATTTGCAGCTATCTTTCACAACAGCTTGGTTAAGCAAAATTTTTTTTTTACCATTTTAAAGAAATAATAATAGTAGCTATCTCATAAAGTTGTGATGATTAAATGACTTAATATATGCAATGTGCCTATTATAGTACCTGCACATAGTAACTGCTTTATAAGTGCTTGTTATTATTACTAGATTTAAACAAAAATGTTATTTCCCATTCTGGAATGTCAGCTTCTGGAGAGCAGATGCTGTACTTCACGCATCTTCGTCTCTCACAACCCTTGCTTGGCCTGGCACTTTGGATATGTTAGCTTAAACCATATGAAATTGGCCAGTGTTTGACCATTTTTGGCATGAAAAGACGGTTATTTCATGTGGTTCAACCTCATAGTAATAGTACGTGCTCAATAAATGTTTATTGAATGAATGATAAGGACTTTGTATTTATTTGAAATTTTTACTTAGGCAGTTGAGTCAGCCAATTCCACCCTGAATCTTTCTCTTGGAAGCCAGCCTTATCCGCCTTCTTAAAGTTTCCCCTTGGGTGTGTCTAATAGGCATCTCAAACTCAATGTGTCCAAAATGTAACTCTTACCTCCAGTGCCCACGCCTAATCCCTTTCTAACCCAATCTTCCTCATCTCAATAAATGGCCTCACTATTAAAGTTAAAAAAAAAACTGTATTTCTTGATTTTCCCCTTTTTCTCACAGCCAGTTCACAAGCAAGCCATGATGGGCTTCTTTCAAAGGATATCTCCAATCTGCCACTATCACTTGCACCCTGTTCCAAAGCTCCATTGTCTCTCACCTCATTTTCCTATTGCTCCCCTGATTCCAATCTTCCGCCCCACATCCGAAAGTCTACTCCATACTCAGAACCCCAAGGGATTATTTAAAAATGAAAATCAAATCATGGCCCTTCTCTCCCATGACCTGGCCCTGACCACCTCTCTGGCCTCATCTCCTACACTCTGCCTGCCATGCATTCCTCTCTTACCACACCAGTTTCTGCTAGTCTCTAACCTGCCAAGCCCATTCCCTCCACAGGCTTGACTACCTGGGCTCTTCCCCCAGATATTGTCATGGCTGATCCCTAGCCTCATGCAAGTCTCTGCTCAACTCTCAGCATCTCTGAGAGTGCCCCTCACCCCAAAGCCTCCCCAGCTAGAGAGGAAGAGGAAGGAGACGGGTGACTGGTTCATCACGTACAGGGCAGTGGCCAGCACAGGGCATGGCAGGCAGCAAGCACTCAATACATAGCTAATGAACGAATTAATAAACTGCAAATGGAAGAGAGACATAGGAAGTGGAGGTAAAGGAAAAAGGAGAAATGGGGGAAGCATTTCAAAGGTATCAATATATGATTTCCAAAAGTGATATATTTTTTAACAAAGAAAACATAGAACCAGTAAGTCCTGTGGCAGTACAGAGTGGGGTGCTGTTACGAAGCTTTGTGGCTGAAATGGCTTTTGAGATGGTCCCTAAAGGGTCGGGCAGGGTTTCTGTAGCCAGGAAAGGGCAGGTAAGAGATTAGCAGGTGTGAGGGCATCCCAGAGCTTTTCTGCATGGCTGGAGCATAGTGTGCCCAGTGTTAACTGGGACAGGAAGGCATCCCAGGGCACCAGCTAGGAAGAGGCAGGCTTTGCTCTTTGGTCAGTGAGACCCTCTGAAGAATTATAAAGTAAAAAGAAACTAGCGTTCATTGAGGGCCTCCTGAGCAGCAGGCACCAAGCTAGGCAATCTCACATTTGATAGTCATCTCCTTGTATTATTTTGAGAAAGAAAATGATCCAGAATAACTTCAAATAGTGTTTGAGGGAAGCAGTGTGCAGGACTGATTGGGAGGGAGAGGCTTGTGTAAGGGAGGCAAGAAGTGATGTGGGCCCTACTGGGGTGGCAAAAGAAAGCAGATTGAAAGGACATTGCAAAGGAAAAGGAGGTATTTCATAGACACGATCGTTTATATTAGCACATCATATATGCACGTGTGTATGTATACATGTATAGAAAGCTCTAAAATTAAAAATAAAAATTTTTCTTCTTTCTACTAGTTCCTCTACCCACAGGTAGTGGTGATTAACCCTTTCTTATGACTCTGTGAAGGAATGTTGATATTGCTAGTTGAACCTTTAAGTGTTGTCCTCTCTAAATCTCATGTTGAAATATAATCCCCAATGTCTGAGGTGAGGCCTGGCGGGAGGTGTTTGGGCCATGAGGGTGGATCTTACATGTTTTGGTGCTGTCATTGCTACAGTGAGTTCTCGTGAAATCTGGTTGTTTAAAATGTGTGGCATCACCTTGCCTCGCTCTCTCACTCTGGCTGTCACCATGTCATGCACCTGCTCTGACTTTGCTTTCTGCAATGAGTAAAAGCTCCCTGAGGCCTCCCCAGAAGCTGAGCAGATGTGTGGTGCCATGCTTCCTGCACAGCCGGCAGAATTGTGAGCCAATTAAACCTATTTTCTTTATAAATTACCCAGTCTCGAGTATGTCTTTATAGCAATGCAAGAACAGCCTCACACACTAGGACTTGATGACAGAGAAGCAGGTAGGGTGAGGAGGAGTGAGAGATGCCTCTGAAGTTTCCATTTTGGGTGACTTGGAGAAGAAAATGCCAATATGTGAGAGTCAGTGAAACAATGGACTCTACATTGCTCATCCTTCTTTCCTTTTACCTGTGTAAAGCCACCCTGACCAGGAAAAGGCCAACAACCTAATCTTGCGCCACCTCCACACTCTGTGTATCCTGAATCGGGATGGCTTTGAATCTACAGATGGGACAAAGACTTTGAAGTGCACACACTGCCTTGGAGGAAAAGCCCAACTCTCCTGCTTTCTGGATTCCCTGTTAGGCGGCAGCAAGACAGCTGCTGGTGAACAAAAGGATAGCAAGAATGTGAACAACTGTGCCTTACTTTACCAGGAACTTCTGCCTAAAGAACATCTATGATCATCTCTGCCTGCCTGTAAACATCCCCCAGCCCATCAGCCATAGCCTCTCAAATTATATTTATACACAACACACATGCACACATGTATACACACATATTTTGTGTATAAATAGTGTCAGTCAGAGTTTTCCAGAGAAAAAGAACCAATATGGTGTGTGGGGGGTGTGTATGTGTATATAAAGGTTTACTATTTAAACCTTTGGCTCACATGATTATGGAGACTGAGAAGTCTGCAGTTGGCAAGCTGGAGCCCCAGGAGAGCTGATGTATAGTTCCAGGCTAAGTCCAAAGGCCTGAGAACCAGGAAAGCTGATGTAAGATCCAGTATGAAAGCCAGCAGACTTCAGACCCAGAAGAGTCAGTATTTCAGCTTGCGTCTGAATGCAGGAAAAGACCAATGTCCCAACTCAAGCTGTCAGGCAGGAGAAATTCCCTGTTACTCAGGAAAGGGTCAGCCTTTTTGTCCTATTCAGACCTTCGAGGGATTAGATGAGGGCTGCCCACATTAGGGAGGGCAACCTGCTTTACTCAGTCTGCTAATCCAAATGTTCATCTCATCCAAAAACTCCCTCATGGACACACCCACAATAATGTTTGACCAAATATCTGGGTACCTCGAGGCCCTGTCAAGTTGACACATAAAATTAAATACACACACACACAGATTGTGTGTGTGTGTATATATATATATGTAAGTTGACACATAAAATTATATATAGTCATTGAATATATATATTCAAGTTGACACATAAAATTATATATATACACATATATTCTCTAATATATATTCATATACATGTGTCATTTTTTTCACTTGGAGTCTGGCCCATAGAGAGGAAGAGGAAGAAATCAAACATTTGATTTCTTATCAATTCAGCCTGAAACTTTAGTTCTGTCTTAGGAAAATACTCCCTTGTAAATGCTGGTAGAATAGCTTATGTTCAGCTTGATTTCAAACCTATATATTTAAGTTTTGTTTTATTGAGGAATTTATCCTCATCAGGGATCTTAGCACTTTGAATGGTATTTGCTCAGGGAAGTGTTGTCTTTCAATCCCTGATAGCTATAAGAGATGCTCAGGAGAACTGGAGTCCTAGGGTGGTCTCTTTGTAAAGCATTAGCAATTGCTCCACTTTGCTATCATGATACCTTCTGTCCAGAGGGACATCTCAGGGGTGTGGGCAGCATCATTCATTTGACCTATACTTACGGAGCACGTACTATGTATCAAACATTGTTCTAGGCACTAATGGCATAGAAATGAACAAAACAAGGTCTCTGCCTTCATGAAGCTTGTATTCTAACCAGGATAGAAGTGGGGAGATAAACAATAGCCACATAAACCAATAAACATGTATGTTTCAAGTAGCAATAGACATTTTATAGAGAAGTGAAGGATTGTGTAGGGAACAGAAAACAATGGCAGAGTGAGGGGAAGCTGATTTTGATAGGGTAATCAGGAAGATTGCTCTCTGTCTCATAAAAAGACAACTGAAGGAAATGGCCAAGAAAGTCGTGAACTCACCCAGGGTAAGAGATTGCCCAGCAGAAGGAACAGCAAGTGCAAAGTCCCTGAGGCAGGGAATGCAGGACATGTCCAAAGATCATCAAGGAGGCCCATGTGACTACAGTGAAGAAGTGAGATCAGAGAAGTGATGGAGGGTCAGATGTGTAGAACCTTGTTAGCCAGGGTTACAAACTAGGATTCTACTCTGCGTAAGATGGGAAGGCACTGGAGAGTTTTGAGTATAGCCTAGTCATGATATGACTTGTGTTTTAAAAGGATTGCTATGTTGAGGGTAGACTGTATGGTGGCAAGAGTAAAAGCAGGAAGACCAGGTAGGTAAGAGGCTATTGCAATGATCCCGGTAGATAGGATGGAGGTTTGGAGTGGGAGCAGCAGTGGAAGGGGTAAGAAGTCAGTGGAGTTCTGGTGAACCAGTTCTCTGGAAAAGAAATTAAAAATAAAAACAAAAGCCCTGATTTGTAGCACCTGCCAATTTCTGTGGTGTAAATAGTCCCACCACAGCTGACTTCGAGTACTTATAGTTTAACAGCTAGATTGCAAGTTTCATGAATATTTAACAATCAGTGCTCAGCACACCACTATAGGAAGTGGTTGGGTGAGGACATATTTGGATAGTAGAGAGCCCAGAATTGTTCATGGATTACATATGGATTGTGAAAGAAAGGAAGGAGTCCAGGTTGGCTCCAGGATTTTTGGTTTAAGCAGATGGAAGGATCAAGCTCTCTTGATGGAGATGGAGAAGAAGACAAGACAATCAGGTTTGAGTAGGAGCACTGGGAGTTCTGTTTTGGATATGCTATGTTTGAGATGCCAGTTACATATCCAAGTGGAGATGTCTGGCAGACACAGTTGAGGGGAGAAGTCTGGGTAGCATATGAAGGGAAGTATATTACCTCTTCCCAAAAGGGCTCCCCTTGCCTGGTTTCAGCAGACCGGATTTATTTCCACAGTGTCTACTGCCACAGGAAAACTTTTCAGAGTTTTGGCTTCCAGCTATGGCTGAGGGTTCTTTAGTGAGCCACCCAGGAGAAGACAACAAATGCAGTAAACACCTCAGTGCAGTGAGTGCCCAGCCAGGGCTATATGCTATATAAATAAGACTCAGGCTCTGCCGTCAAGAAGTTAGTGTGCATGTAAGGAGATAAAAGAGAAGAATACAGATATTCTGTAAAAAGGTCTAGGTTTTGCTGAAACTACTCAAATCCACCCTCTGGGCCTGGGTCTTATTTACACGGCATCTAGCCCTGGCTGGGCACTCACTGAACTGAGTCATTTACTGAATTTGCTGTCTTTCCCAGGTGGTTCACCATAGAAACCACATCTCTAGCTGCCAAAACTGCCAATACATCTCCTGTGCAGGTAGACACTGTGGAAAGAAATCCACTGTCAATTCTTTGTACTATTAGAGGGCAAGGAGAGAGGGAAGATGATGCAGTCAGCTGGACTCAAACTAAGCCGCAGAGGAGGCGTCTGCTCAGGGGAAATGAAGAGGCAGAGACATCTCAGCCTGTTGGGTCTGCAGAAGCAAAAAACACCAGGGTTGCTGGGGAATATGCATGCCCAGGGATTATGATGATGATAATGATCAAAATAACAACATTTATTGAGCATTTAAAATGTCCCAGGCATGTGAATGTCTAAATGCTTTACACGTTTTAAGCCATTTAATCTTCATAATAACCCTAAAAGGTAGATATTGTTTTTCTGTTTTACAGATGAGAAAACCGAGGTACTCTGGTACCACAGTGAGTAAGTAATGGGGAGAGAATTCTAACCCAGGCAGCTGGACTCCATGGCCCTCACTCTTGGCCGGTAGGTAAAATGGAAAATAGAGGTGGGCCTGGCGGGGACACCAAGTTTGGCTGCGTTCCACTGGGCAAGGGTTGGGGATGCGGGGAGCAGAGGAGGCTGCCCAGGGCCCCCAGAGAGTTCCCTCAAGGAGTTCCATCTTCCTGATTCTTCTAAGACAAATGAGGACACACACTGGCCATATGCTCCCTGACAGTGAGAAGGCTGCCCACACCAATGATACTGGGTCCATTCTATGACTTTGAGCCTCTGAATAGTCATTTTTAATAACCACCCTTTTTTTTTAAAAGAAGAAATGAATTGCTCAGTTTTATTCTCCGTTTTTGGATAACATACAGAAGCCACTTAGAGCGTAATATTAACACTGTACATCAATGTCGTCCCGCTCTAAGTGGCGCATGTCACATCTCAGCCAACTGCAAGCTCTAATGTTAGATGAGCAGGTTTTCTCCTGACAGCAGAAGCTGAAAAATTCAATGAGAAACTCTTTTCTTTTCAACTCAGCACTGCTGCAGGACGATGAGTCCCAAGGCCATCTATTTGTAGAAATATCAGAGATCTGTCCCAACCCCTGACACCCTATGTGGCCACAAATACTAGTCTGGCAACTTGCCAAAGACCTGTTAGGTGTCTCTGCTAATCTCCTGGACATGCCAATGCTCTCAAAATTCCCATCTTTAAAAGACAAAGGAGTGGTTCAAGGGACCTTAAGGCAAACTGACGCCTCAAACCAAGCAGCCATATCGCCCTGACTGTGCCAAGAACTGGTTGTTGTTACTCTCTCTTCTCCCTTGCTCCTCTCCTTTCCTTCCCTTGTTCCTCCGTCTTCTCTGTGCCTGCATCTCAGGCCCACCTCCCCTGTATGTCTAGCTCTTTCCTTGTGGCAACTCACTTCCCACTCTCCCCTCACTTTTCTTTCTGTCTCAGGCACTGCTCTTCCTGGCCTGGAACCGTTTTTAATCTCTTCTGTTATTAATCTCTCCTTGACTTGTAATTTACATGCAGTAAACTACACAAATCTCAGTGGACAGCTCCATGCATTTTGGTATGTACCCACCCATGCAACCACCACCGGATCAAATACAGCACACCCCCAGCACCCCAGAAGGCTCTCTTGGGCCCCTTTTCTCTCTGAATGGGTCATCACTGTCCTGATTTTTACCTTTCCTTGAATTTCATCTAGATGGTATTACGCAGGAGATCATTATTAGCTCCCTGGCTATGGCACTGCTGAAAGAAGGAAACTTTCAGGAGAGAGACCTGATAGGGGTCTGACTTACCCTGCCTGGTCCCCTTCCCTGGAGGCCCTCAGTGCAGACATTTTGTGCCTGGGGTTGCCCTGGCTCACACTGTCCTGGCTCCTGCAATGTCTCTGGAAGGGTGAGCAGCATTCCTGAGCCTCCAGATGCCCATCCCTGGTCCTCCATGGGCTGGGGCCTGCTCCAAGGGAGCTTCTGTTACATTCTTGGCAAAGCTCTCACTGATCCCTGCTCACTGGATGCCTCAGCTTCCCTTCTATGTGACCATACATGTTAGGTATGAAAAATAATCCAAAAGATCTTCCTGTTTATTATTTAAAATCAGGAATTTAAGACCTATAGAATGGCTCAGCTGGGACTAGAATTCATGCCTGTTGACTCTATCTTGCACTCTTCCTACCACAGCATTCTACCTCTGCAGCCTTGTCACCTTGTTTTTTAGGCAGTTCTGCTTAAGCCCCATCCCCTCCTTGGACCTTTCTGCTGATCTCCAGAGTACATTTCCCACTGGGGACAGCATAGCTGTTGTAGGTCCTACCCTGCGGTAGACAGATATCCCTAACCAAACATTTACTCCCCCTTCCCATCACTGAAACCTGGAATTCCTTTCACTGGGATCATGCTCTTTACCCCGTAGTGAGAGAGCAGGCTCAGATGCAAGCATCCCTGGAAAAGGAAACACAGGAACTTTAAACTATTTGCAAATGATGGCCTTTGATTCGTTTTTTCCCTAGTAAAAAATTATAAGGCTTACTAGTTGTTGACATCAAATCTCTACGTGGTGTAGGTCTGAACAGGGAAAGTAGAGGTAAACATCGGGAAAGGGGGAAGACCCATAGGAGCATCCACTGAGAGCCCCTCCAAACTCCACGATTCTGCCCCGTGAGCCCTCTTCCTCCACCTCCTGCAGATCCAGATGGGCAGCGCTATTGTCCTAAAGACCTGTAGACACACTGTGGCAGTCAGGCATCTGGGGAATGGGGGAGAGAGCACAGAGCTGCCCCGCACTCGGTACCCTCTCCTCCCCTCTGTCCTCTGGGATCTCCTACCCCAAGGGAGGAAGATGATCTCAGCCACCCAGGAGCTTCTGTCTAAGAGGGAGTGAGATCCCTCACACAAGACTGAGTAACTTCAGGCCATGTAGACATGAGAGTTTTACACGCAGGTGCACACAGCACAGATCAGCAGCTTCAAGCGCTCAGGTTAATTAGCCCACGTGTGCTCAAGCATGTGCGGGAGCCACAGGATAAGAAAGGCCTGAAGGGGAGATTTCATCTTGCCCTCATTGGTACTCAAGTCAGGGGCCAAGCTGGCAAGTTGGAGGCTAATCCAGCACCTGCTCTCACAGACAGAGCCACCAGGGGAACAACTCCATCTTCGGTCCCAGTGTGGCAGCCTGGGATGAGATCGGGGGTGACCCCATTCCCCTGGTCTCTGCAGTGGCCTGTCTATCGCCATCCCACCCTCCCTTCTCTGTCCGGCTCTTCCTGCCCAGTGGAATCCCGGGCAGGGGCTCTGTCTACTCCATCATGCATTCAAACACTTCATGCAGACACCTGCTGGGTCACCACTTGTCCCCACTAGTTCTTGAGACAAACTCAGTGGGAACACAGGGTGAAATTCTCCAAGTGCCTTTTGTTACCCCAGATCCTGTGGCAAAAAAAGTGGTGGAACTGAGACTCAACTCTTCACTTCTGATTCTAGTCCAAGGATGGGGCAGTGGGGGTCTTAGCAAGCCATCAGAAGTGGGTGAGGGGCACTTTGAAACTAGGGTTTTGGGGCCCCTTCAAATGCCCTCCTGTGAGGCAGAATGAGTTTAGTTCCTCAAGGCCAAGAACCCAGCTAAGTACATTGTTTTCTCATTGGCTCTCTTTGGCCTCTCTGAGTTGAATATCCTAGCAGGTTTTGAGAGGCTTGTGTGGAAATCTATTTAGCTGGAGAGGGCTGTGAGGAGAGGAGTTTGAGGGACAGTGACAGCAACTTAGAGAGAGGAAGTCGCTGCTGTAGGGAGAAGAAATTTGTGGAATGAGTACAGAGATGGTAAAAGGGATGTCTGTGAAGTTTTGGCATTTGATGTGCAAGTTAATCTCTGTCTCCCCATTCAACCTTCAGGGGAAAAAGATAGTGCTCATTGAAGTTTGGGATTTGTGTATGTGGGGTGTGTGTGGCTGTGTGTGGTTGTAATGCAACTCTTACTGAGTCTGGCTGCATGTAGGGGTTACCCAGGAGCTTCTCTCTGATATGGATATGGGGCTATGGGTAAGCAAGGTGGCCCGGGCAGGTCCAGGGACATGAAAGTTGCCATGTGAGCCTGACAGCATAGCCTGACTTCTGCCACAGTCCTGCCCCAGGCTCAGCCTCTTCTCTCATCCTATCCAGGCTACTGAGAAGTCACCTGCCTGTGATCTCACCCCTTGGGACATCATCTGACACACTCCTCTGGAGGTTCCAAGGTGAGGTGAGGCCTGGAGAGTAACCAGAAAGATGTTCAGAGGCACTTGCCAGTACAGATTTAAAGAGAGAGGCCAGGCGTGCCACAGAGATGAGAAAGGAAGAAGGTGGCCAGGAGCTTCTGCACCAGGCTTTTCTGATTTCTCATCAGCTTTGAAGGGGGGAGGAAGAAAAGAGGATTTTCTCCTCCCTCCTTTGCTCAATAAGCACTGTAACTACTCAGAGCTTGGGTATAATCCTTATTGCCTCCATATGCCGGGGGAGAGAGAGAGAAAGGAGAATTTCCTGGAGCTGGGGCCCTAACTCTCCCCTGGGAGCTGAGAGCCTGGGGCTTATCCCTCAGTGCTGATCTTCCCCTAAGCTATGGATAACATGCTGCAGGACTCTGAGTTAGAGAAAGAAGCAGCAGTCAGACCAAAGGCCAGGCCTGAGGGGCAGTGAGTTGGAGGGAAACCAGGTCCTGTTTGTCTTCTGTACCTTGGCCAGAGGCCAGAGATGAGGCTAGTGGAGATGGGGACTTGAAAGAAAGCCCTGGAGCCAAGAGATTCTAACAATTACCGACAAAGGAAACCAGGGTTTTAATTATCCCCCCAAACTGGGGGTTTCTTCGTACTTTTACATCTATTCTTGGCCTCAGAATTTTTTTAAAAAAAGTTTTGACAAAATGCAGAAGTAAGCAAAAGTTCTGTAGAAACTGGGAGGACGTCTAACGCTGGGTGAAGACAGCTGCCTTGCTCAAGGTCATGCCCTTCTGAGAATGGCCCCATCCAATGACTGAAGGAGACAGGGTGTAAAAGCCCAGTCATTTCAAGCCAACATAGGATGTTTTATCTCGAGTTTCCTGTGGGGTCTGCCAAGGCTGCCGTCAGTGCTGCATGGAAGACTGACCTCCCCCTGCCTATTCCTGTGTCCTCTCCCTCCCTTGGCCAGGGTGTTGACTCTAGGATCCTCTTCAACACACAACCTACCAGCTAAACTCCAGCTCAGAACTGGCTTCCCAGAGACCCTAACTGGCCATATCACATACTCAGAATTTCTAATAAGTGTAAGGAAGGAAATTAAACAAGGCCCTGTGATAGAGAGGAACTGCAGAGGGAACAGAATAGTGATGGGAGTCTTCTCTAGGTAGAATAGCTGTGACATTTGGGTTGATCTCAGAGAAGGAACTGGTCCTGTGATGAACTAGAGCAAAAGTTTTCCAGGCAGAGAAAACAGTGAAGAGCCTCCAGGATATAAAAGGGCCTGACACACTCATGGTATTCCTCTCTGTGCGAATGGAGAGGGAGGTGCATCAGAGAAGGCTCTATGGTGGAGAGGAACTTTGAGTAGAGGCTTGGATATGCATTGGTTGTTTCCAGGCATAAGAGTGGGAGTTGGGAAGAGGAAATCCTAGCCCAAGAGGACAGCAGACACAAAGACTTGGAGGTGAGAAAGGAATCCACTGTGGCTGGAGGGTGACGTTCAACTGTGGAAATGCAAGGAAATGGAGGTGGAAAAATAAGCTGGAGCCAGAATTCATAGCTACTAACTCTGTGTGTGTATGAGCATGTGTGTGCACACATGTTAAATGTTCTGAGAAGAAAATAAAGAGCAATGTTGTGAGAAGATTGCATGGGAGATCATTTGGAGGATCCAGCAGGAGCCAACAAATGCTAGATGAGGACAATGGCATGGGGCATTAAAAGGAAACCAACTTAAAAAATATTTTACAGAACTCAAACACAAGGTGGCTGAATGGGGCAGAGGGGAGATGTAGAAAATGAGCATGGGTTTTTCTGGCTTGGGTAACATAGGTTTGGGTTTTTCTGGTTTGGTGACCTGATGATGCCAAGGTAGGAGACATAGCAAGGGGAGCAGATTTGTATGGCAGAGGGAAGGAAGAGATGAGTTTTTGTCATGGGAACGCATCCATGTGGTGTCGGTTAGTGGGGGATTCTGCACAGAAGGGAGGGCCAGAGGTAAAGAACTGATGCTTGTTCATTCATTAGGGATCCTTGAGGCCATGAAGAAGGTGCAGCGCGAGCTGAAAAGGGAGAAGATTACACAGACCTAGGACAAGAACAAGAGGCACTAGCAAAGAAGCACTGATGAAGGGCCGTCGGGAGTTAGGTGAGGGAAGTCCGGGGAGAAAAGCAGAAGAGGGAGGCATAAAGAGTCACACTCAGCAGCTACAGAGAGGGAGGCAGAGTAGAAACAGGAAAGAAGCCACACTGGTGGCAGCAAATAAGAAGTTTTGGTGACCTTGACTTGAGTAGCTACAAGACAGTATGCTCAGGAAAGGAGAGGCAGAGCCAGATGGCAAATGATTGAGGGTTAAATGAAAGGTAAAAAGTAGAAGTGATAAGATAAATTACTAACATTCATTGAGTAGTTCTTATGTGTTAGGTTCTTTTTACCCAGATAAATTAATCCACTTAACCCTCCCAGTGAGTCTGCAAAATGGGTGATATTTTCATCATCACCATTTTTCCAGCTGAGGAAACAAGCTCAGAGAGGTTAGGAAACTTGTCACTAATAACATTGTAGAGCTGAGCCCTGAATCCTATTTGCTGACTGTCAATCTTGTGCTCTTTCCACCCTCCCATGCTGCCCTCCCTTTTAAAGCAAAAGGAGAGGAAGAAGATGAGTTGGTGGTTCAGGAGGGAAGCAGGGTCAAAGTATGGTGCTTTGATGTTTAGGATTGAAATGTTTAACATGTTCATAGACTTTTGGAAGGAAGCCAGAGGAGTAGTGATAAGAGTAAAGGGAACTATTATCAATGGATCCAAAGGCATGAGGGAATGGAATCAAGTGTGGAAGAGGGCCAGGGCCCATCCTTCTCTGATAGGTGGACAGGGAGAATGAGTGAGTTAGTGAGTGGACAAATATTCTTTGAGACCAAAGTATTGAAGCTGGGGTACGTTTGAGTTTGATGGCCTCAGCCTCATTGATGAGGTGGAGGTGAGGTCATTTGCTGAGACTGAGGAAGCAAATGTGACTTTTTGGAACAGAAAACTTAAGCTATCTAGAGTAGCTTAAGTACAAGTGGGGATTTATTGGGAGGCAAACAAGTTCCATCTCTACTTCTCTTTGTGCACCTGCCTCTCTCTAGCTTTCTCTGCTTCTCTGCAGTTGTTTAGCTCCAGGATCCAATATGAACTATTTGGACCCTCTGTGGCACGATATTTCCTAAATTTCAGGAAATGGAATCTCATTGGTTCTCAGCTTGAGACAGGCAACACCTTTGGTCTAATCAGATATGGTCAGGTTTGGGGGTGTCCTAAATCCAAGAAGAATGCTGGGTTCAAGGCAGTGGAGGGTGTAAGTGGCAATAAAGGCCATGAGCAAGAGTAGAAGCAGTGTTGAAAAGAATGTCAAGGTCTAAAGCTGCCACAATGCTCAGTGTCAGAGTACTGCCAAGCAGCCCAGAGCCAGCTGCAGTTGGAAAACTTTAATTCATAAGGGAGCTTGTCAGCATGGATGTGAGATTTTTTCCTAGCAACTTCAAAAAATTGTGAACAGAAGTGGAAAAATCTTGACCCTTCCACTGTCCCATGATTAGAGGAGATTAGGGAGGTGATGAGCAGAAAGATGAGGGCAAGGAAACTGGTGTTGGTGACAGCATAGCTGGAAGGGCCAATCTATCCGGGCTGAATAGGAAATGCTGAGAGATGGGTGGCTGGAGAAATAGAGAGTGGTCAGTGTCTGACATCAAGGGGAGGGTGAAGAACAAGTCTGGGGGAGACAAGGAGAAGAAAAGAAGTCAACTGGGTTTCGTTTTCCATAAGGATCACTAAGGAATTTTCAGGCAGTCTTCACTCTCCATAGTGACCCTTCACTCCAGACATGAGACCAGTTTGCTGGGCTTTTCTTCCCTCCTTTGAGAAGCATAATTGACATACAACTTGGACCTAATAAAAGCTTCCTCCAGGCCCTGATAACTGTGTAGCACCAGGAGAGAGAAACAAGATCATTATCATTTTGTAACACCCTCAGAAGCGGGGAGATAATCCATCACCCAGAGATATACAATCTCCTCTGCCTTCATTGCATCAAGAGGAGTTTTGCACATTTTCTCATTTAATGTCCCTACTGCCTTGGAGAAGACAGTCTCTAAGACAAGGGCCCTGGCTTTCTCCACCTGGCTGACATTGACTTTCCAATTCTGTCCCTTAGAGCATGTGAGGCTAGTGAATAGAAAGTACCCCCTGTTGAGGGAAAGCCTTTTAAAGCATAGTGAGGGGAGAGGCCTGAATTGGGCTCCTCTGTCATTCCGCACTCTCCTTTGAGAAGCCGGCCTTACCTTCAGCAGAAGTAGGACTTGGTAATTGACAGGACAGGCAGGCATGACTAGTGCTGGAACCCCATTCTCCAGAGATTTTGGAGACAGAAGAGGGTCTGGATTCTCCCCTAGTAGATTCTAAGTTCCCTGAGGGCAGGGTCTATGTCTGACACATTCACCTCTATATCCTTAGCAGCCGGCTGGCACCTTTCCAGAGCAGTGGTTAATGTGATTACTGAACAAATGAATGAAGCATGGCACCTTGAGTTATGAGGCAGTTCAGACAGATCTGTCTGGAAGCGGGTGAATAGACTGAAGGGCCTGTAATCTCCCCACTTGATCTCTAACTCAATCCATGAAAATGATGAGAGCTCCTTTGTGGAGATCTGACTCCCTCCTCCTACCCTAGCAGAAAGGAGGCCTGGCACCACTTAAGTCAGGTAATGGCACTGAGGAGGAAGCCCTATCAAGGCAGGATGGGGCCTCTTCTTCCTGACTTTCAGCCTGGGGAATTATTCCATAATTAAGGGGAAAAATGATGAATGAAGAGACAGGGAAGTCCCCATACTTTATCCTTATTACCATTGAATTAACAGCATAACACATTATGTTTTATTATAACTTCATAATAATTACAGTTATTACTGAACTCATGTATATGGAAAAGACAGAAATCTCATCACTGTATTAATTCTGGAAGCCCTGCAAAGGGATTTATTGACCAATAAGTGAATTCCAGCCACTTGGCATGAAACAGAAACATTTCCCCAACACAGGACTCTATTAGCTATTATGAAACACAAATAGCTCACTTCACTTGAGACCATACTGCTTCTTCTTTTCTCCTCCTCCAGGAAGTCTGCCCTGATTTAAAGGGTTTATTCTCCTAGCATGTATCAAATATCACAAATGTCAGTCCAAATATTGAGATAAATCTTTTTCATTTGCACAGGGCTTTATAATTTTCCAAGCATAATTACAAACATGAACTTTCTGTTTGGAAGGTCAAACAGAAAACTATTTTGACAACAGAGATATACGGGCATCAGGGGCATCAAGAGACTTTGCCTTTGGTGTATGTGTGTGTGAGTGTGTGTATGTGTGCGCACGCACATGTGTGTGTGTGTTTTGGGGGAGGGTCACAAATGTAAATGGCCAGACCCTTTTAAAGAATGACAAGTGCTTGGCAATGATCACATGCAGTCAAGGGAAGCCTGCCTGTGGGTACCTGCTGGTCAGGGCTCTAGAAATGAGAGGCAAAGGAGAGGCAGAGGCTGAGGCAGGGGGAAAGTCTAATGTTTAGCTCAAAGGAAAGAGGACTTTGGAGAATTGAGATAACAACTATCAACTCTGGACTTGTGATAATTGAGATAGCCATCAACTCTGTGCCAAGGGAGAGGGGTGGAGAGTGGCAGACAGAGCTGGGATCTAGGGGGAATAAATCAGTGGCAGGTTTAGTTTATCCTAAGGCACAACTTTCGGGTGGGAAGACCAGTCCAGCTGCCAACAGGTCAGCCTCAGTGGTGCTGGGCTTCTTGAAGTTTGGGAGACTGGTTAATTGGTTTATTCAACCAGTACTCACCTCATTGTCATTATATGCAGGTAGTGTGGACAACGCTGCCCTTGGAGAACTCACAGGCAAGTTGGGACACTGGACAATAAAAAATTAAATGTACCATTACAAGTTGTGAAATGGTCTATAGAAGAAGAGAAAAAGGATAGCATGAGAATAAAGGGAGGAAGGATGGAAGCAAAGAGAAAAAGAGAGTCTGGTGTAGATTAAGGAGGTAGGGGTAAATGACTGGCATTTCTGTTTTATCAGTCTCCCCACTTGATCTCTAATTCAATCCATGAAAATGGTAGGAGCTTCTTTGCTGAGGCCTGCCCCCCTCCTCCTACCACAGCAGAATGGAAGCCTGGCACCACTTAAACCAGGTAATGGCACTGAGGGGGAAGCCCTACCAAGCCCTATCACTTCATGGTGAGTGCCTGTTAGTGCTGGGTATGTTCAGATATCTTATTCTGTCCTCCAGAACTGAGCAGAGGTGTTATTTCCCCCTGTTCTTATGGATGAAGAAACCAAAATTCAGTGAGGTTAGGTGGGTTATGCAAAGTCATTAAGTCAATACACATTTTTTAATGCCCACTTCATAAGTGACCACGCTGGGAATGGAGCCCATTCTGGTAAGTGGAAGCAGGTGGAGACAGTGCAGGAGGACTATGGAGGACAGTTCTCTGCTGGGTGGAGTTCAGGCCTCATGGCCATTGAAGTTCCATCTGCCCTGAGATCATGCATATCCTCCTATGCGTATACCTGAGTCAGCACCACAGGTCCCACACGCAGGATCCCAATGGGGAGAGAATTTTAAGGTAAAGAACACCCATCACTTTTCCAAAGCATGGATTCCCACTGCAACACCTTTTTGGGGGCAGTCGTGCGGCCTGCGTATGAGCATCTTCGTGCGGCCTGTGTAAGAGCATCTTCAGTGATGGGGTTCGCTGTCTCCATGGGAGCTTACCTTAACTGGACAGCTCTGACAGCAGGGAATGCCTTTCCTTATATCAGACCCGACTCTGTCTCCTCTTGGAACACACCCACCTGCTGCGGCACTTTTCCACATGGGCTCCCTTTCCATAGGGCTTTAAATCCAAAGCCTTCTGGATTTAAAAGAATGCCTGGACTTTCTTGGTATGATTTCAAGCCTACTAGGTCCCTTTCTGGTTTACTATTCTGCTACTCAAAGGTAGAGAAAGAGGTGAACCCCTTACCTCACCCCATGTAGGCATCTACTATTCTCCAGAAAGGGAGCATGGAGCTATGTCCCCTCTTCAGAGCCCAGTGGACCAGATAGTCCTAGCACCAAGCATCTCCTCCAGGAATGTCTGGTTCCCCACAAAATCTGTTCCCATTGCTACCATGTCCACTGTGACTGCTGGGATTCATGGTTCTGTTAGAAGAAACTTCCTATCTCAGTCTTTTCATCACTGGGCTCTAAGAAATTAGCAGGCAACTGCTGCAAGGATTCTAGACCTATCCCAGGACTATGCATAGATAAGGCTGAAAGTTGATGCCTGTGTTGCAAGGCCAGAGTGTTATTCATGCATTGGGAGGTGCTCAGATGTGATGACCTCCAGGCTTCTTACAGTTCTAGAAGTCTGCGAATCATTCCCCTAAGGCACTGGGAAACAACCCAAATGCCTGGCCCCTGGACAGAGACCTAGATCTCATTCAACCTGTCTGCAAAACCTTAATCAAATGGCATCAACTTTTATGAAAGAGCTGGTCATTGTAATGGCAGTAGATGTTCCTAAAAGCTCTTGCCACCTGGGTACTAGTGATGTTGTTTGATAGGGGCTTTGTTGTGGTGATGGTTAATTTTATGTGTGGACTTGACTGGGCTACGGGGTGCTCAGGTATTTGGTTAAACATTGTTCTGGGTGTGTCTGTGAGGGTATTCCTGGATGAGATTAACCTTTGAATAGGTAGATTGCCCTCCTCAATGTGGGTGGGCCTCATTTGATCCATTGAAGGTCTGCATAAAATAAAAAGGAGAAGTAAAGGAAAATTCCCTTTTTTGACTGTTTTAGAGCTGGGGCATTGTTCTTCTTTGGCACTCACACTGGAACTTATGCCATCCACTCTCCTGGTACTCTAGGCTTTGGACGTGAACCAGAACTACACCACCAGCTCTCCTGGGTGTCCAGCCTGCAGATGGCAGATTGTGGGATTTCTCAGCCTCCATAATCATGTGAGCCAATTCCTGATAATAAATCTCTTTATATTTATTAAACAGAACTCTGTTGGTTCTGTTTATCTGGGGGACCCTGACTAATGCAGTTGTGCTGCTGGTAGAATAAGGGTGTTTGGAAATGAGGGAGAGGTGACAGTAGTAATAATTAATAACTGTCTATAATATGTGTGCCAAACACCTGACTAAACATTTCGCAGAAGTTACTTTATTTACAGAGAGCCCAAGCAAGGTCTTCAGCATTCTGGTCTTGTTTGTTTCTTATTCTGGATGCTGGCCAGAGAAGTGTGTTCATTTTACGAAAATTCATTCAACTGAATACTAGAGACATTTCTCTATATATTATCTCAACAACAACAAAAAATTTTGAAAAAATTATGTAACCCTTGCAACCATTTACAATGCAGGTGCTGCAATCCTTATTTTGCACATGATGACATTGAGGCATAGAAAGGTTAAGGAACTTGTCCAAAGCCACACAGCTAGGAATGGCAGTGCTAGGCTTGCAATTGAGATCTATCTGGCTTCAAAGCTGGTGCTGTCTCCATACCCCACACTGCTCCCCCAGACTGAGATGCAGGAGGGGTGATTCCTCAGGCACTCCCTCACCCTCAACTCCCCCATGCCACACTTTAACACTACACACACACAAAGTCAATCCTAAACCAGAGGGCCAGGCTAGAGAGAGTGGCAGAGGGAGGGCTGGGTGGCTACCAAGACCAATAAGTACAACCCTATTCTCAAAGAAGCTTCCAGTCTGATGGGGAGGCAGGCATGGCACAATAACACAAGACTATGCTTTCGGGGCATGGGGACAGTGCCAAGCACCAGCTAGGCATGAAATCCATCAGCCTCCGAGTTTGGGGTACCTGAAGAAGAACTGCTTTCAAAGCTCTCAGGTGGAGTTAGGCCAGATCTGGGGCTCGGTGTCTTAACTCCTTTCTGCTCAGGGCTGCTGCTGAGGTGGCCAATGGGCTCTGGATCCCTGATGGCATAGCAGGGTGGTATGACTGGATTAATTAGGTTTTATTAATAGCCAAGCACTTCATGAATTATAATTAAGCAGATGTGCATCTGGTGGCAGTAGTGGCTGAGGGTGGGAAGCAGTGGTTCCAGGAGGCTCTGAAGCACTATTAAGTATGAATACCATGTCACGGGATATAGCGAGAACCCAGTCCAGGTGCCTTGTTAAACAGCCTGCCCAAGTGCTCTGGTGTCTGAGATCTTGATTTATTCAATAAACATGCCTTGACCCTGCTAGGTATTGGGTGAGCAGCGATACTTTCTGAGTGAGACACAATTGTGGGTGTGGGGCCAGGGGGTAGAACTGGCCAAGTGTTCAGCTCTCTCAAAAAGCAAGGAGGTGATAAGGGTGCAGTGGGGTACGTACACAAGCCTGGGGGAGCACTCACATATGAGGACTGCTTCTTGAAGTAATGAATCTCACCCTGCCCCAACTCTCTCTCTCTCTTTCTCTCATAATTTGGCCTTTGGATATCTTGGGGTCAGGGCAGCCTGATCTCTGGGGACTAAAAGAGCTAAGCAAGAGGTCTTTTGTACCAAGGGGCTATAAGGGCTACACTGGCAGGCAGCCAAGGAGGCAAGAGACCCGCACACAGCGCAGCCCAGGAGATGGAGAAGGCAGGTCGCTCGGCAGAGAGAGGGGCCTGGAACTGAGTGTTTAGACAGGAGAAGGCATGTTTAGCTTGTGGAAAAACAGAGCGCAGAATGATAAAGTGGACGATGAAAAAAGAGGTCTGAACAATGAAATATTCCACTGTTGCTTGCAGCCCTGACAGCATGACAGATGCAGAGGATAAATTTTCATCTGGCCTTTTCTAAACCCATTCTGATTTTCCATTTGGCCACAGAGAAATATCCCAGCATCAATTTTTGCCTTTTGGAATTTTAGGATGTGTTAAATTTACCTCCATTCTGCCTCAGAAATACATTTTTCTGTGTACTCTGCAACACAGCTCGCAAAATTAGGCTGATTATGGAATGCTCTAGGCATCTGCCATCCTGGGCCTTGTTAATGCTACCCCTTCATCCTGAAATGCCCTTTCACCTTTCCGGGGATTCAACCTGCTTCACCTACTAAAGTTCACTTCAGGTCCCTTGGAAAAGCTGTCTTCAAAACCACCAGTCAGGATGAGCTACAGAGTTTCCTCTACTTTCTTGGGCTGTAAAGGGAAAAGCCCAGAGTCAGAGGCCTGGATTCAAGTCCCAATTCAGGTCTCCTTGGGCAGCAAGTCACATAATGGCTCTCAACCTTGGTTTTCTTATCTATAAAATGGGGAAGATGATAGCACCTTCCTCACAGGGTTGTGAAGATTAAATGAGATGAGGCTTGTGAAATGCTTTATAAATGGTAAAGTACATGTCCACATAAAAGCCTACATAGCACTTTGTGCTTTGTGTTAGTTGATTACTTGACTGTCTCTTTGATTGGTGCTCATTACTTGTTAGTCAAATGGATAAAGGAATGAACAAGGCAGAAGATTAAGATGAATGCTTTTTTTTTTGAGAGACAGGGTCTTGCTGTGTTGCCCAGTCTGGAGTGCAGTGGCATGATCATGACTCACTGAAGCCTCGATCTCCCAGGATCAAGCATTTCTCCCACCTCAGCCTCCCAGTACTACCGGTGCATGCCACCACACCCAGCTAATTCATTTATTTATTGTTTTATAGAGACAGAGTCTCACTAGGTTGCCTAGGCTGGTCTTAGACTCCTGGGCTCAAGCAACTCTCCCTGCTCGGCCTCCCAAAGTGTTGGGATTACAGGTCTAAGTCTCTGTGCCTGGCCATGAATGCTTCGAGTTAGCTGGCTGTGCCTGTGGTTTGTTTCCACAGGATCTCGGGGGCCTATGTCTCAGCCAAGTAGTCAACCCAGGCAGAGAGAGAGTGACATGAAATATTTAGGGTGGCAGGAATTGTGTGCCAACCTTAAAGGCCCGTGTGTGTTAATTAGTATAATTAATGATGGCACCAACTGGCTCATTACCTGAGGGAATTAATGGGGATCATTTGTCTCCCTAGAGCAGCCATTCTGTGTGCTGGGGGCTGTCAGGGAGATGGGGAGATACCACATGTTCTCTGCCTCAGGGATGGATTCCTGAGCTTCTGTCTAGATCTGCCTGCTCTCCAGAAGTTTTTCCCCTGTTTCCCCCTTTGGCATTCCCCTGCCCAGGGCTTTTGCCACCATTCTGAAGCCCAGCTTCACTTTATATCAAAATAAACTATTGATATCTAAGCCTAAATGCATATAGGGATTAAAAAAAATAACAGCTGTGGGATTTTTATCTTTCCTCTAATCTTTTCTCCCTCCCCAGCCATGACCAGGCCACACAGACGTCATCTTCAGCCTGGGCCAGTCACACCCATACAGTATTCTGGGAGCTCTTAGAGACCCATGTTAAGAGGAGCTGGTCTGTTGCCACTAAGGCCGATTTAGGGATAAGTTAGAGGCAAAGCAATCAAGCTCAGTGACGTCGGATCCCACTCTGAGACACATGGGCTGTCTCTTCCTCTCCAGCATCCAATGCCTCTGTTCCAAGCACTTCTCCCTTTCGGCTGTTAAGAATTAGCTGCTGCAGCTGCATCTGAATTATACCTTCCTTATGTGGGAGCAGAAACAGAGTGCCTGGACCCATCTCCCTTCTAAGAAGACCAGAACACATATTCAAGGCAAAAGAAAATACTGTGGAGAATCTCTTGGCCCCTAGAGCTCACAGCTGTGTGCAGTCGTTTGTAGGAAGATACTGAAACTCTTGACCTTTTCAAGGGAATGTGATGGGCAGATAGGAGCCCATGTTGGGAGTCAGGCAGCGTCCCGTAAATCATCCTACAAAAGTACTCAACTGGCCCCACACATTTCTAGCAATAAATGGTCGGCCACCCAGAAAGGAATGCCTACCACAGCGTTCTACCCAAAGGTGATATGATAAAACGATGGAACAGACTTGCAGGCACATTTCAGGTTCAGGTTCACATTTACAGCCCAAGAAGTTTATACGTACGGATGAGTCCCTGTAGCTACATTTTTGACTGTGTATGTTGGGTTTACATATAAATGTGTGTTTGTGTGACATAAATATGTGCTTTTCCTGCTTTGGTGACTGTTATGGTTTACAACTCTGTTGTGTACATCAGCGTATCTCTTTACAGAGGCTGACGGCCTCTAGGAATGTGTATGTACCTATGGGTATTGCATATCTTTCTGTGTTGGTGGCTGCATTTGTCTTGTTGTGGGTACATGTGTGTGGATTTCTGTCTGCTCTCTGAGTGTGAGTGACTAATGCAAACAGTGAAGACAAAACATCTAATGTGTCAAGACTAAATCCTCTATTTTCCTTTAAGTGGATCTTAGAGTTCAAGAGACTGAACACTGACCGGATTCATCTACTCTACTCCACAGGGCCATAACCCTGGAATGGTATATGCAAATAGTATTGTAATGGTGAAGGTAACCAAGGAGTACATTTGTGTGTGCCTGTGATGGGTGTGGGAAGGGTACACTGCGGTGTTTATTAGAGCAGAACTTGTCCCTGTGGACCATTTCATGCATGAGCAGCACCAACAACACAGCCTGGGGCCTGCGTGGTCCAGAGCAGCTCTGGGAGACAGCAGAGGCACAAGGTGTTTGCGTGTGTGTGTGTGTGTGCATGATCAAGGCCAACACATTGCCGAGCTCTGGATCCACCATTTGCTGTGTGTTCTGTGGAGTTCCAGGAGGTGTCATGCACACTGAGTACAATGTGAATATGCCCCGTGGATTTGTGCAACACAGAGGCCCTGGGCAGCGTGGTAGACACAGGGTTCCTTCTCACCATATCCCTATTCCCAGTCCTTCCATCTCAACCAGACAGGCCCCCGCCCTGAGACAGTGTTGCTATCCCCAGGCCCCTTCTCATGACAGCTCCCTGATCTGAGGCTGGACAGAAGAAAGCCCAGGCACTCATTTCCAGGGGCCCAGCTCCCCAGAGTGTGGAAGCACAGCCAGAAACCAAGTCTTCTTTCCCTGGAAGGTTGCAGTGACTTGTAAGAAAAAAGGTTCTTACTGAAAGAAATCAGATGAAAAGGATGGGGAAGAAGGCAAAAAAAATTTTTTTAACTGAGTTTTGCTTAGGAAAGGTCAGCCCCAGGAATCTGCTTCCTCACCAGCGTGAGTGCTCCGCGACCTTCTCCAGATCAATAGGACACTGATCACCTCATAAAATCACGTTGAGGCAGCAGGGGGCTGCTGGAGGGAGGCTGCCTAGCACCAGCACTGAGTCCCCTGAGGGCAGGACTCTTGGCAGAGCCCCATGCTGCCAACCTGCCCCTGCCCAAGCCCTCCTGCCACCTCTTAGGAGCCCAAAGCAACCCGGTTCTCATTTTCAGGCTCTACGGCTCCATGGATAGCTGTCCTTGCTTATGACTATGAGTTGGGAGCACCCTTTCTGGAGCAGCCTGGGCCCCTTGGTCAGGCCACCCACCACAGTCTTCCAAGGCTCAGGCCACTGCTGAGTAGAGTGTAAGTGACACAGGTAGTCCCCAGGACAGAGAAATGTGGCATTTACCATTGGTCAGCAGAGCCACTTGCAAATTATTTCTCAGTAAATGGTATAGGTGCAGTTGAGGGAGAGAGAAGCTGAGAATCCTCTGTGCACATGCTTGGCCTGCACATGAGCATCTGCTCAATCCCTT
The DNA here is from genome assembly GCF_000001405.40 of Homo sapiens. NCBI lineage: Eukaryota > Metazoa > Chordata > Mammalia > Primates > Hominidae > Homo > Homo sapiens. The sequence goes on along the minus strand of NC_000001.11, from coordinate 112,028,143 downwards.
GCACCCTCAGAGGATGCACAACTTTGACATCTTTAGCCAGCCCTAGCTATAAAGTGCAGCACAAACAGTCCACAGGCTTGAGGGGTGTGGGAGCAGGAAAGGGGGACAGTGACACTTTCAAAGACTGGAAGATGCTATTAACATGTCAGTCCAATTATGGTAATGTGCTGGGGTAATTGGCCCTCCAAGGGCTCAGGGGATGAGCATGAGTACAGTAATTGCAGGTTCACTTTGCTCTGCATTCTTTACCCTGCTTTGGTGACTAATTATTAGTATTTAGCAAGTGGATTTTGTCATCTTCAAAGCAGGTGCAGCTGTGGCTCAGGCATTGGAGCTGGGGCCAGCTAAAGGTCAGCTTCTGCTCGGGGATAATTAATTTGTCTTTTGTGGATCTGAAATGTGCTCCAAGCTTGTCTCTTCTTTTTTGCTTCCAAACAAACAAACCAAAGGGAAGGAGAATATACCTTACAGTTTATTTCAGTGCCCTTTCCATTAAAAGGCCAGAATTGACAAATAGGGGTAAAATGACTGGAGGAGGTCATTTGTGAAACTCCGTTTTCTTTAGGAAAAGAGCCATAAATTGATTCCCTGCCAGGATCCCCATGAATAGAAAAACCACATAGTCTGAAATGGTAGTCAACAGGTGAGTATAGTCTATAAATTCTTTGACATTCTACTTATTTGCTTGTTACCACTTACAGATTGGACACTAGGACACTCTGTTCCCAAAAGGGTTTTGGAATTCAAAAATGAAGGAGAATAACAATAGTGCATAGCTATTGAATAACTACTGGGTCAGATACTACGCTCATGCACATAAAATGCTTACTTTGTCTAATCCTCACCACAGCCCTAGGAAATAGGTGCTGTTATTATCCCCATTTTATAGCTGAGAATCTGAGGCTCAAAGAATGTAAAAATGTTGCTCAAAGCTGAAGTAACAGAGCTACATTTAATCCCTGGTCTGTCTGATGCCTAACAAAATCCCTTTATTTAGTGAGGTGCTATGCTTATCTTTCTGGAATGCAAAGGCAACACTCACTAACTTTCCTTTATGGAAGACCAAAAACCCAGACATTTTTTTTTATCAGAGCCTTCTAGGGTACCTCAGGAGGCCAAAGTTTGAATTAAGCATTATTCCATGGGTATGATGCATGATGGAATTTTATCAGAGACAAAACAGAAATCAGCATAGATGAAGAAATAGGAAAGGCAATGGTCCCATCCTGAGTCCTGCCTCTTTATTGAGTCTCCTCAACAACTCTGGCACATGAAGCCCTTTCCCTATCCCAGCTGCTTTCTACCCTGTAGGGTCCTGGCTCTGTTAGATTCCCACTCATTTTCATGAATTGTCTTGGAAACTCTAATCATTTCATATTCATTTATTTCTCTAACAAGGATCCAAATGCATTTAGGTCACAGAACTGACCACATGTGCTTTTGCTGCTCCTGGGGTATTTGGCTCTGCCCTGGGGATATAGGAGGTGCCCAATAAGTCCTGACTGAATCAAATTGGGGGAGGAGGGTAGATAAGGCTCCTCTTCTGATAGTTGGGTTGACAAAGGAAGACCTTTTGTTTCACGTTGGCTTGGCAAATACAGGATAATTTAAGAGATAGGTGTGACCTTCTCACACATATACATTTTGAATTCAGAAGAGTGTATGGAAGTTTCTTGTGACCCACCTGCATTGCAAAATGGAATTCAGTCATATGGTATCATTCTAAGGAGTGGCTGGCAAGGTGAAAGAAGTGAATGTATAGGAGGGAGTAGATGCTTCAGGAGTTCAGATTTGTGTCCAAGCCTTGCTGTTATGGCAGGGCAACAAAATTTTGTTCGGTGGTTTCGCTGCAGCCTACATATTGATGCAGCCAAATGAATTCTCCTCTTTGCAACCTGACCTCCTTCTTACTGTGAAATGATCTCATTTCAAGGCTAACCACAAGAGGTTTGGCTGGGCACCCGGCATGCCGTGTGCCTGGCATTTGCAAATCTTCATGCAAAGTGCAAAGTTTTTTTTAAAAGACAGTAAATAATCCTGTCCAGAGAAATCTTGGAAAGGTCTGCTCCCAGCCACGAAGTGAAAAAAAAAAAAAAGCAATTGCTCTCCCCACCCTCACAACCATTATCTGCCGCTCTTCTCGAATGCTAAGGCTTAAGTCGCTTTTAATTTTAGATCAGGAACAATCTGATTTGGGGCCAAGGTCTTTTTTCACTGTCCTTCAAAATGTATTAAGCTGTGGTGTTTTTCCACATCCAGCCTGCTCTGTTTCAGTTTCTTTAGTGCCAAAAGCTGAGGCTCCACGAAGAATTCGACCTATGGCCAGGATGCAGTGAGATTGTACCCTGCAAAGAGCATCACCCTCCTGCCTACAGTGGGAAGCCCAGCAGTTATATGAGGAAGACAGAGAGAAAGAGAGATGGTTCATTGTCTGCCCATTGTTGGGGGGTACTCCTCATTTGCTTGGTAGAGTGTGGTGATGCCTACATGGCTGGTCAGGCAAATGACCAGAGACTAAGAGAGTAGGCAGAGTTCCCAGAAGCTCAGGCCACTGCTGCCCACTTCCTAACAGCATACTCCCTCTGTGCCCCTGTCTAACACAGAAAAGAGAAGGTCCCCTTGCAAACCAGGTTGTCCCTTGGTCAGTGCCATCTTGCTCTCAGTCTCCTGTGCCACCAGTGGACCCTGAGCATGCAGGTCATTCTTCCCAAGCAGAGGGACCAGGTGTGGGATGGATGCTGATTACTGGACCTCACTTTCAGTTCTGTGGACAGAAACTCAGCTGCCCATACCAGCCTTTGTTGGTGAAGCCTTAGCTCTGTCTCCTGGGGGTGTTCTGCTCCCAGCATGAACCTCCACCCAGGATGAGATGTGCAGACATGGTGGAGGCTGAGATGCAAAAGACCCCATTTCCCTAAGCGGACTCTATCTCACTGTAGACATCAACATTGAATCTACTTGGCAGGACATCAATCCTCTCATTTTGTTCCTTTGAAGTCTTCCACACCTCAGTAGACAGATCTGATTCTAGACCTTGGCCCATTCCAGAGTCCCTCAACTGCAGTTCCTAGAGCAGGTCCCAGGATATGACCAGGTAGTCCTGTTCAACATGGCCTGGACACCATCTTGGCCTCTCAAACTGGATGGAGTCTTGTGGATATCAGAATTGACTCCTGAGCAAGATGCCAAATTTCTTTAACCCAGGTACTCCCCATTGGGATATTCTTTCTCTAGGCCTCTGACAAGAGGAATGTGTGGTGGAGGGTGGGAGAAATGTGAGGAAAGGAGGACGAGCTAACAGTGAGTGATAGGTTGAAAACGGGAAGAGTTTAACTCTAAGGCACTGCTGGGCCCCTTGGGATCCCAGGCTCTAAAGAGCCTGGGAAAGTGACAAAATATTTATATACATATATTTTTTCCTTCCTTTAGCCATGACCTTTCTTGGGAACACTTGACAAGGTTGTTGGTGAACAAGCATATCCAGTGTGCAGCCAGACAGGCTGGTAAGGTGCTAAGGAGAACAGCAGCAGCAGCAGCTAATGGGATGGCCTCCTTTTTCAGAGGAAGCAGTACCTCTCTGGCATCTCTGCCTGGTGCCATGCTGCCTGAAGTAAGAAGAATCAGCTTCTGGAAAAGAGATAAGTGTCTCTGAGTTGCACTAATGAAATGCCCTGAATGCTCATTGGGTGGGGATGCAGGAGTGAGTCAGAATGGGACTGGTCCATGCAAGAGACTTGGTTTCCTAAAAATCTGAGCATATTTGGGCTTGAGTCAATGTAACTGGGTCTTTGGAAGGACCTCAGTAACTTACCCTGTTTCAAAGGGATGATTTAAGATTCAAACCACAGGGGACCCATGCTCCAGTCCTCACTGCATGCCCCATAGCCCTGACCCCATGGAGATATTGTTGGGAGCAACACAAGGTGATATTCCTCAGTCCTGATCTTCATTTGAACTGACATGCCATCCTACATATGCCCCTTCCTCTTTTCCTTCATTAAATTTCATTAGAATCCACACAGAGTTGTGGAAAGGGCATGGGGACCAAAAAAAAAAAAAAAAAAAAAAAAGATGTGGAAAACTATCTCCACTCTATCCACAAATAGCTGACTGCAGGTAATTTGCTCTTTTCTGCTGGATTGGATCTGTTTATGTTTTATGGTTCTGCGCTTTCAAGATTCTATGCCTAAATCTTGATACCTGGCTCAGTGTTCTACTTTCCAAATATGTCTTCTCTGTCTAGAACTTTGGTTGGGACACCTTAAATCCTAGTGTGGTTTTAGGGACCAAATCTGAACTTTCCTGAGATTCATCCTGAAGAGTCTTTGGGCTCTTCTCTCCTCCTAGGTTTTAACCCTCCTCTTCTTTTCTTCTTGGGTATGGGCTTCCAACGTCTCCATGATAAACTCTTTGCACTCTCTACCTTTTGGCTTTCTCCAAAGGAAAATATTTCTTTCATTCATTCAACAAATATTTACAGAGTGCCTTTTATGCAATAGGCCCATGTAGCAGTCAGCTGTTGCTGCATTAATGCTACATAAGAAAGAACCCCCAGGCTGGGTGCAGTGGCTCACGCCTGTAATCCCAGCACTTTGGGAGGCTGAGGCGGGTGGAACATGAGGTCAGGAGATCGAGACCATCCTAGCTAACACGGTGAAACCCCATCTCTACTAAAAACAGAAAAAATTAGCCGGGCGTGGTAGTGGGTGCCTGTAGTTCCAGCTACTCAGGAGGCTGAAGCAGGAGAATGGCATGAACCTGGGAGGCAGAGCTTGCAGTGAGCCAAGATAGCACCACTGCACTCCAGCCTGGGCGACAGAGCAAGACTCCGTCTCAAAAAAAAAAAGGAAAAGAAAGAACCCCCAAATATCAGTGACTATCAACAACAAACATTTGTTTTTCTTGCTCACAGAGCTACAGGTTGGCTGAGATAGCTCTTCTTCAGGACTCAGGATTGGGTTCAGGTCTGCTTCTCAGGTCTTCATTTCAAGTTACAGGAAGAAGAAACAGCTATGTAGGGAAGCTCTTCTTATGGCGGGGAGAAATATCTTCAAGAAATCAAGCCAGGCCGGGCGCGGTGGCTCACGCTTGTAATCCCAGCACTTTGGGAGGCCGAGGCGGGCGGATCACGAGGTCAGGAGATCGAGACCATCCCGGCTAAAACGGTGAAACCCCGTCTCTACTAAAAATACAAAAAATTAGCCGGGCGTAGTGGCGGGCGCCTGTAGTCCCAGCTACTTGGGAGGCTGAGGCAGGAGAATGGCGTGAACCCGGGAGGCGGAGCTTGCAGTGAGCCGAGATCCCGCCACTGCACTCCAGCCTGGGCGACAGAGCGAGACTCCGTCTCAAAAAAAAAAAAAAAAAAAAAAAAAAGAAATCAAGCCAAACCATGCAAGCATGTTTAAAGCCTTTGGTCAGATGTAGTTTACTTTACTTCTACTAACATACCATTAGACAAAGCAAGTCACAGGGCCAAGTTGAAAGTCAATGAGACAGGGAAGAATTCTCCACTTACAGTTAAGCCGTGCAAGGATAGGAAAAGAAGGAAGAATTATGAACAGATAATATGATGTAAAATATAAAAACATAAATATAAAACAGTTTCTACTTTCATAAAGGTCACAGTCTAATATAAATGACAGATATTAAACATGCAACAAGAAAATTAATATATAATAAACTGGGATAAATTTTGTTTTTTTGTTTTTTTGTTTTTTTTTTTCGAGACAGAGTCTTGCTCTGTCACCCAGGCTGGAGTGTTGCTTGGCTCACTGCAACCTCTGCCTCCCAGGTTGAAGCAATTCTCCTGCCTTAACCTCCCAAGTAGCTGGGATTACAGGTGCCTGCCACTGCGCCCAGCTAATTTTTGTATTTTTAGTAGAGACAGGGTTTCGCCATGTTGGCCAGGCTGGTCTTGAACTCCTGACTTTGTGATCCACCCGTCTTGGGCTCCCAAAGTGCTGGGATTACAGGCGTAAGCCACCACGACTGGCCTGATGAATGTTAAACAAAAATGCATAACATGAGGGACCTACATGTAGATTGGGTGGACTGAGAAGTCCTCTATGAGGTAGCACCATTGAAGCTGAGACCTGAAGGGCAAAACGGACTCAAGTAAGCCCATAGAGGACAAAGAGTTTTCCAGCCAGTGGGAATGGCTTGTGCAAAGTTCCTGGGGGAAGTGATGATCTTGACGGTTGAAGAACTGGAACAAGATCCAGTGTAACTAGAATGTAGTAAGGGAGGACAAAGTAGTGTGAATGAGATTGAAGATGCCTGCAGGTGCCAGATCATGCAGGTTCCTGGACTGTTACTGCTCTCTCTCGGACCTACCAACTATTGCTCTTCCATTTATTCAGTGATGCTTAAAGCACACACACAAACACACACACACACATACACACACACACACACACTCCTCCTTATAGCTTCCTTAGGTTGATCGATGTGTCAAAGTCATTTTGTATTTCAAAGAACAAAAGCAAAAACAAAACAAAACAAAAAACCCTTTAGTCTATGTGTTGCAGGGGCTTGTGCTGGGCCAGGATTCAGAAAGTCTGGAGAACTATAAAGTTTCACCTGGTTGAGAATCACTTGCAAAACCAGAAAGTAGCATTTCACGGCTTAGAAAGGATTAACAGTCACAGCTTAGCACGGACTATCTGTTAAGTGAATTCCTGCATCTATGGGGAGCTGGTAGAGGCTCCTGTCCCGAACAAAGGAGGATTGGAGGAGTCTCCATGCTGAGAGTCATCATTCAGGGCAAGAGAAGCAGGCCTGGTAAAGTTATGAGAAGGTAAATTTCTGGATACAGCTTTAAGTTGGCCCTCAAATCTTCTCTGGCACAAGGAGACGCTTTGGAATAATGAAAATCTTCTATATCTTTATTAATTAAGGTGGTGTTACACAGGTTTGTCATTTGTCAAGACTCATCAAACTATACACTTAAAATGAATACCTTTATTGTATGCAAATTATAACTTAATAAAGTTGATTTTAAGGGTAAGAAATCAAATCAAATCAAATAATAAACAGACAAGAAAACAAAGTAAAAACCTGACGCTGGCCCACCTCCATGTTTTCTGCAAAGATTACAGTAAATTTTAAAAAGGAAAAGCGTTCAATGTACTCTTAAATATTAGAGCACAAATAGCTTTCTCTACTCTGGGACTCTTTTAACAGGAAAATGAGAGGGGTAGGGAGGTGCTCTCTCCCACCTTGCCAGAGAGCACTGGGCCACTCTGAGAACCCGAGAACTCAAGGATGTTAGTGGTATAGTACCTGGGTGGGGATCAGGAACACCACACAGGATTGGTGGCTGTGCCTGGTAGATGATATAGGACCTTCTAGGGGAACAGAGACCCCACCCGGCAGAAGGGAGAGACACCCAGCCATTTGGAGAAGATGTGGCAGCAAGGGTGGGCGCCGGTCCAGTGGAGCCCAGGAGAAATGGCAGCATGTATGGCAGGGCTGTATGCAGAAACACAGAAATATGGAAATAAAATGCCTGCCACAAGTGCAAACCACAGATGTAACTTTAAATTTTCTAGTAGCCACATTTGAAAAGGCAAAACAAACAAAAAACTAAACTCAGTATCCAAAATATTGTCAAGTCAATATGTAATCCATATGAAAAAGATAGTACTGAGACACTTTACTTTTTTGCACTGCCTTTGAAATCCAGTGAGCATTTTACACTATGGCATGTCTCAATGTAGATCAGCTGCATGTCAATGGCGCAGTAGCCCCACACGTGACCTTCCTTCTGGACAGCACTGCTCTGTGGGCATAGCAGCACCCACGTGACCAATTTTATTGTATGCAAGGGCTCTCGCCACCCCACTCCACTCAAGAAAAAGCCCACAACTCAGGGTTTCCACCCATACCAGGAAGTAGGGAGTTCACAGGGGCCAGGCCTTGGGTGGGCAGGCAGAGATGAGAGTCAGAAATAAGAGCTATTGCCATGAATGAGAGCCATAGGCTAGAGAGGCTTGGAAAGCTCAGATTACATGTATATTTTAAAAGTCTAGCTCCAGTGTAAGCTTCAGTGTTCTGTTAACAATGAGCATCACAGAAAAACATCAATTGCATCTTGTCAACCCTCTTACCCTTTGCACTTCTATTTACCAACAATGTTCATGCTACATTGCAGGACCCCATTTTCATTCAAGCCACCTATAATTCTTTCTTAGTTTATCTTGTTTATTCCATCCCATCCTAAACCAACTGGCAGAGTAGAATATTTTAAAGCTTAATTTCTGCAATTTGTGTTACAAAAACAATTGGCTTATTGGATCAGTGTTTCAAACTACAGTTACCCTCCTTCCTCCTTTTAACTCCCTCTTCTCCTTTTAGCCCCCTCCCCCTTTAACTTGTCCTGATTGACAAGTTTCACCCGGCTGAGAATCACTTGCAAAACCAGAAAGTAGCATTTCACAGCTTAGAGAGGATTAAAACAGTCACAGCTTAGCAGTTACTATCTGTTAAGGGAGTTCATACCTCTACAAAGCTTAAAACTGTGCCTGGCACAAAGTAAGTGCTCAAAAAGTGTCAACTACTACTAGGACCAAGTAATTGAACAATATCATTCAACAGGTATTTCTTGGGTAACTGCTCTGTGCCAGGCACTGTCCTAGTGTTAGGGAACAAAAGGGAACAAATGGATCCCTACCCTCAGAGAGTTAACATCACAGCTGGGAAGATAGACAAGCAACAGCAAACATCATAAATATGTAGATTTTATTGAATGCTAGAAGGTGGTAAGTCCAGTGGAAAAAAAATATAGAGCAGCTTAAGGGGATTGAGAGTACAGGGTGGAGAGGCAGTGTGACTGGAGCAAAGGCTTGAAGGAGGTGAGGGGGGTTATCAGGTGGAACAGCCAGTAGAATAGTAGAATAGCTTTAGGGCTGGGGTGTCTGGTGTGCTGAAGAATCATGTCTTTGTCCATTTGAACTGTGAGAACAAAATGCCTTAGGCTGGGTGACTTATAAACAACAAAAAACTTACTTCTCATGGTTCCAGAGGCTGGGAAGTCCAAGATCACGGTCCTGGCAGATCCTGTATCTGGTGAGGGCCCACTTCCTGGTTCATAGATGGCCATCTGTTTGCTGTGTCCTCACATGGTGGAAGGTGCGAAGGAGCTCTCTGGGGCCTCTTTTCTACAGGCCCTCTAATCTCATCACGACCCAGGGCCCTCATGACTAATCAACTCCCCAAAGCCCCACCCCCAAATACCACCACACTGGGGATTAGGTTTCAACATATGAATTTGGGAGTAAACATTCTGTTTGTAGCAAATAGCAAAGGGGCTGATATGGAGAGAGCACAGAAGGTGAAGACTAGGAAAGTAATGACTAATAGAGAAGGAAATCGAAGAATTAACAAAGAGAACAGAGTGGGGGTAAATGATAGCTTACGGGGGCCCTCAGGCTGGCGTAAAGACTTCAGCTTTCACTCTGAGGAATGGGGACACATTACAGGGCTTGGGGCTGAGGAGGGACAGGACCAGATTTCCATTTTAAGTGGCCTGGGTTAGCTGCTTTACTGAGAATAGACTGTGGAAGGTGGAGACAAGGGTGGAACAGGAGACCAGTGAGGAGGCTATTGTGGTGATTCAGGCAGGAGATGAGGTGACTTGGCCCAGGAAGCCAGCACTGGAGTGGTGAGAAGTGATATCACTGACTTGTAATCAACTGGCCACGTCTGTATGTCCCTATTAGCTGGAACTGCCCATCAGGCAAGTGATGATGTTTCTTACCTCTTTATGCCATCGTCAGTAATAAATATTGGTCATTTAGTTTTGTATCTAAACCAAGTTTGAGACGCAGCTATAAGGAAGTGTCATGGAGAAAACTTATGGGTTATATTCAAATTACCAGCAAATTTCAAGCAAAACCAAATATATCTATAATGGAAGTGTTAATGAAGCAGGTGGAAACTTTGGAGAAAAGGAAATCTCAGGTTCAGGAGCATTAGAAGGAAATGCAGGGAGGGAGGAAGAGAGAGAAAGAGAGGGAGAGAGAGAGACAGAGAGGGAGGGAGGGAGAGAGAGACAGGGACCGAGACCAGAGGACATGGCTCAGCTGTGAGAAATAATCTGTCCACACCTGAGAGAGGCTTAAGTCAGGAAGTTGTGTGGAAATGGCAATCTTGGGCCTGGTCTGGAATTGCAAAGCTGAGAAATAAGGAGTCGGGGTGAGCTAAAATAAATCTTTTACTCAAGCCTAAGGGAAAGAAATCAGGTTAGATTGAAATCCATATTTAAGGGTTAATAATGGTAATAAATTGTACTTAGATGACATTTTTAAAGTTTACTTTTTAAGATACTCTTTTTTATTTTTTAATGTTGTTGAGCTTTTTTTAAAAAAAGTTTTATTTCAGGGGTAGAAGAAAAAGAAGCATGATCATCACATAGTGGAAAAAACACGTGTTGGCCTCAGGGTTCCTGGATATTTAGCTTTATTCTTATTAATTAATTGTGTGACTCTCGGGCAAGTCTTTTCAACTCTCTGAGCCTCAGTTTTCTTTTCTGTGAAATGAAAGCACAAGGTTAAATGGTCTCTTCTGGCTCTAAAATCGTGTGGGTTTTTAACGGAGAGAAAAATGCACTCAGTTCCCTCTTAGTTAATACCCCTTGTGGACTGCCTGCCAGTGTGAAACTCAAGGTCAAGGGTACGAGTAAAGCCCTCCTTACCTATCAGTTCATCCTGACTGAAGGCAAACAGGGGGTCTCTTGAGAGCTGGATTTACAAGCTGAACCCATCACGTGACAACAGGCAACCCACTCAGAGCGGGTGGAGGTCCAACACAGATCCTGGCTCCTCTTACAACTCTGGGGGAACCTGGCCTTGGCTCATCCCTGGAATGGTGTCTGCCTCTCCATAGCTGTTTGTGAGGGTCTGCCCTCTGACACCTTGTCTTCAGGCTTTAATTGACACACGTGCCAAGCCATGCACTGTGTGCCAGGGACCCAGCTGTGAACAAAGACCCTCACAGTCTAAAAGGGAAAACAGACATTAAACAACAACTACGAATGATTTATTAGAAAATCCTGAGCATGCAAAGTGCTATGCGAAGTAACTACAGAAGCACTTAATATTGCTAATTTAGTACCCCAGGCTAAAAAAGCGATTTAAACTGACCCCTCAAGGATGAGCTGGAGTTAGATGAAGAGAGGGAAGAATATGCTGGACTGAGGAAATAGCTTTGAAGAGGTGACAGAGGACCCCTCTCTGGGACTTTCCTCCTATCATGCCACCATGTTTACCAAGGTTCCATATGGCAGCTAAGATTTAGAGGGATAATGGTAGTCATTCATTTGTTCATTCATTCATAGCCATTATTATGTACTTACTATATGCTGGGATATAGCAGTGAAGAAGCAGAACAAACCCTCCTAAATAATTCTGCCCTAATGAAACTTATATTCTAGTGGAGAAGGCAGACAAATGTATAATAAAATATGATGATATTAATATAGAAAAAAGCAGGAAATTGATAAAGAAATTGTCCGTTCTGGGGGTGGGAAAACAACATTATATGAGGTGGTCAGGGAAGGCCTTATAGTGAAAAACCTAAAAGAGTTGGGGTGGGTGGGGAGACTTGTCATACCCAGGTGAAGAGAATTCCCTGCAGAGGGAACAGCAATTGCAAAGGCTGTGAGGCAGGAGTCTGCCCACCCAACTTGAGGAAAGGCAAGGAGGCCAGCACAGTCAAGAACAAAGTGAGCAGAGGGTTGGGGGGTGAGGCCAAGGGGGCTATGGGGCCAAGTTTTCTGTGACTTTAGAGGGCATTTAAGGATTTGGGCTTTTCCTTGAATGAGGAGTTTGAGCAGGAGTAACATGATATGACACATAATTTCAGAGGATCACTCGGAGTGGCTGTTGAGAAAAGACTGTAGGGATTCAGGCAAGGGTGGACCAAGGAAGCCCATGTCAGAGACTGGTGATGTGGACTAGGATAGCAGGGACTGAAGTAATGAGAAGTGTTAGATTCTGGGTATATTTTAAAGGAAGAGCCAATAAGATTGGTTGATGGATTGGATATGGGGTATGAAAGAAAGAGGAATCAAAGGGAACACCAAGATTTTTGGCTTGAGTGTCTGGAAAAATGAAGTTGCTATTTATGACGTGGGAAAGGCTATAGGAGGAGTCGGTTTAGAGGGAGAAATCAGAGAGGCTATCACTGGGACATGTTAAGTCTGAGATCTCCATTAGACATCCAATGGAGACAAGCAATAAGAGTTCAGGGAAGAGGTCTGGAAGGAGATAAAAACAACATAGGAGTTGTCAGATATTTAGAGCCACAAGACTAGATGAGATTATCTACAGAGTGAGGGTAGATGGGAGAAGGGAGAGGTCCCTGAAGCCCTACAGCACTGAGGAAGAACTTGCAAAGGAAAACTTCAAAAGAAGCCATGATCAAAGCTACCTTGAGTAGGCCAAACTTTATTCTTTACCAGCTCTTTCCACCCACCTCATGCTAGCCTCCTCAGCATCCAATGCCTGACACAACGCACACACAAACACATAAACCCAAGTCAATTTCCTGGTTCAGCCCCCGACTCTTCATGATGCTCTTAAAGACCCCAGCCCAGAACTCAGGGAGATGGATTTGAAGGTCTCCTCCCATCTCCTTGCTCCATGCTATGCAATGATTAAATCCTTTCTCTGCTTCAAACCCTGCTGTCTCAGTGCAATTGGTCTGTTTCTGTGCAGTAAGCATGTGAACCTGCTGGTCCTGCAACATTTCCTTTGTGTTCTATGCCCCTGCAAAGAACTGCAAGAATGTGAAGCACCGTCCCCAACCATGCTGCATGTGGGGCAGGCTTGGACAGGGGCAGGAAAGCTTTCTTACTGGAGATTGGCACCCTAAAATGTTATTTTCATATTCCTTCCCTATTGTTAATTCTACTGATCACTGATCACACTGCTATGCCCATGGAAGAATTATGGAGAAGAGATCTCCTATGTACATTCATAATAACGTGAACTTTAAAAAAGGTGTTTGATTTTGAATACCAGGGATATTATGGAGCTCTCACACCAAAGAATGAGTCATCTCATCTAACCCCTTCCTCTGGGGACATCTGAGCCAGTTTCAGGTAGCCCGGTTGCTGTATATTCTGTTCCTGGGATCTCGAAGAGGAGTTGGGCAGGGAGCCTTAGTGGCCTCACCATGTGCCATGTGCCAGCTATTGGCCATAGCCATAACCATCTTTACTCTCATGAAGTTCTTCCTGATCTTTCAACTAAAGTTCTCTTGCTGTGGGTTAAGGTCAATCTCTCTTGCATTCTCCTCTTTGAGCCTGTTGAATGGTGACTGGCCACTCAGTCATTCTGTCTCCTGACAATCTGGTGGGGCACCATACTAGATATCATCTGCTCTCCTGTGTCTCATTGTCCTCAGGTCCCAGTAGCACATGAAGTGAACAAATTAAAGGGCTACTGGCAATTTTGTCCTCAGTGGTCTGACTTGCTGATATGGTGAGGAGCACCCAGTGTAAAAGCCAATGGAACCATTGCTTGAGAGAGCTGGGGAGAACTGGGAAGGGGAATGGGCCCAGACCCTCTGTGGGGAAACCAAAAATATATGTGCCTCAAATGAACCCCAGGGGATGGAGAGGCCAAATTAATACAATCTACTGTTAGATGAAAGTCAGACAGAACAAAAATGAGCAGCCAGGGAACCCAGATGCCAGCAGCATCCCTTCATTCTGATGTCCCATTAGAACCCCTGTTTTGTATAACCAGTGTATACCTATAAAGCAAGGGATTTGGGAAGCAAAGAACAGCTGACAGAGGTGTCAATAAGCCAATTTGTGGCTTGTTAGAGTGTTACGCTTGTTTATCGGCATTTAACGAGACAAGACATTGATGTTAACACAGTGGGAGGGAAGCTGTCTGGACCAATAGTATCCCTTGCTGAAAATTAATTTAAACTCTCTTTTCTTTGTGCCAGAAATGGTAGAGCTAATTCATTATCAAAGTGTTGAAATGCCATTGAAAATGAGTTAGGGTAGTAGGGAAGAGTCATCAGCAGCTGAAAAAAATCCCAATTTAGCTTTCTTTTGGTAACCTCTAGTAAATGAGACATCATGAAATAATATGCTTTATGGCAGGGAACAAAACAACAAGCGCTTATTTAATTGGGGGATGGGGAAGGCTGCAGGGCTGGGAAAGGAGTTTCATGTATGTATTTTTGGAAAACTATGAGTTGCTGTCGCCACAGCCCCATTCGCAGCCACTCTGCACGCATGGCAACTCAGCAGTCTGTGTTTTGGACCTCTGTTGGCTTGAAGAGTCCAGGGTTGTGGCAAGGCCAAGTTCTTTTACTGAGCTTCTGTGAAATCTCTGTTCAGATCATTTACAAGATCTCGGCTCCATGTGATGGTCTGCGGCTGAAGCTGGGCACAGCATTTCTCATCCTGCTTGTTCACGCTTCCCATTCAGCAGTAACATGGGTCACATGACCCGAATTGGAGCAGTTTTTGTTTTTTGCTCCTTGTCGTATATACCTTTGGCCACTTTATTTTCCTGGGGAAATTTCAGACGTGAAAACTACAACTCATCAGGACTTAACCACTATGAGATTGAAGTAATCATTTGGCTCACTACAAACTCTTTGTCTTTCCATTCTGTCTGTGCCCACATTTGAACCAGCACAGGAAAGATGGAGAGGGAGTCATGAGGCCAAGTTACTCTGGGTTGGCCGGGTTCTTCTTCAGAAGATCCCCCCTCATCTCATCCATCCCAAGCAGAAGAGGTATGGAGGGGGAGACCTCTGCAAGAGCTTCAAGGTAGAAAGCACAATTCTGACATCTTTCTGGGTTCTGCAGACTTGTCATTAGGCCAATTTCCTCACCCCCTCTATTCATGCCCCTTGCCCTGTGACTCTGCAGTTCTTCCCATAAATGAGTGGTCGCTTTCCCTCTCCTTAGCTTTGTCACTGGCCATGTGGCAGTGTGACAGTTCTGAGCCTAGGTTTTAAGAGGCATTGTATGCTCTTGCTCATCTTCAGGTGCTTCTGACATCCCCATTGGTCCCAGAGGGAGAATGAGAGATACATGGTACAGAGCTGTATCCCAACTGTCCAGCCAAGTCTGGCTGAGACCAGCTGACTGCAGGTGACCCACATCTGTGAGCTAAATAAATAATCACTCCTGTACAGTGCCAAGATCTGGGGTGCTCTGTTACACAGCAATAGCAAATCATAATGCCCCATTCGAAGCAGAAAAGAGAGTCTTATGTACAAGAAGAACAATCCTTTGGAGGGAAAGACTGACCTCTACTTAGGCAATTATCTAAAATTAAGAGAGTCAGGGCATATTTCCAGCCTGAATGCCCTTCTTAGAGTGAACTGTGCTACTGCACTGTCACTAGGGCCCCCTCTCTGCCTCTGTCCCCTCTCTGGGCAAATAGGGAAATGCCACAGTTTCACCTGAAGAAGCTACCTTTCTAGAGTTTGAGTACCTGTTTCTCTCATCCTCTCACCATCTCAAAAGGAGGGGAAAAAAACCCTGTATCTGTTAAGGACCCATTCCAAACAATTGTATTGGAATCTTCCTTAGACTCCTTATCCCATTCATGATAGGAAGATAGGATTGATAGTTCCAGGATTCAAGGGCCAAACACATAGGAGAGTCTTTGTTCAGGGACTGCCATGTGCCCAGAGAGCCTGTCCTTCCATGCCTTCCAGCCCACTGACAGAGCCGAGAGCTCAGGACAGTATAAAAGGGTGTAATATGGTTTTGTCAAAGCCTTCATAATATGAGCACAGGTCTGGCAGCTTGAATGTGAGCTGTTTGGGGATAAAAACCTAGATTATTCATTTTTCTGCTCATGAAAGGCTAGCGATTGCTACGTTTCCACTAAGCCTGGTTGGCATATAGCACAGAACCTCCTTTTTTCCTGCCGTTTATATAAATGGACTCACCTTGCCCAGGCTCTCTGCTGCAAATGTGTGATTAAAGGATTATAATGGTGATGGAAATAGTAATCATGTCTGTTTTCAGACAGAGCCGTCCCTCCAGGGGCCCAAAGTGGTTGTGCTCTTATTCATACCTGTAAGGAAAGGGAACCTAGCAGGCACTTTCATAGATGAGCCCATAGGGCCCCACAGAGAGTAGGATCTTACTTCAGGATACCCAGCCCACAGGCTTCTAGCTTTGATGGGATGGAGGTGGAGGGTGGCTGTTGAAAGAGAGTTTAGAGCCTACAGACAGCCAGACCACCAGATCACCCAGACTAGAATTGGAGCATTATCCATTGTGGTGGGTGAGTAGCATAGGGGCAAACCTACCAGCAATGGGAGGTGGCCAGCCCACCAAGCAAAGATATTTATTTGGAAAACACATCATGGGAGCTAGACAGACACCCTAACTGGTGGTCAGCATCAGGAAGGTCCAGTAGTTGGTGTCTAGTTACTGAACAGAGCACAGAAAAGGGGATCTAGAAACAAGCAGTGCACAGTGGTTCCAGGTAGAGGTTCTGGAATCAGCATCAGGATAGGGTCAAGGGCAGGACTGAACTCCTACAGAGGGAGGACTCAGAACAGCAAGGCAGGACCCAGGCTCAGAGGAGCAACGGGGTGAAGCAGATTATCAGGGATGTCCAGCCTGATCACTAGAGCCAGGCAGAAATCCTACTCAGCTGACTCAAAGGCCAGAGCAGGCCCAGCAGCCAGATCAATTGGTGCTGACTCACCAAAACCACTCACTAGACTCATTCTTTGGAAATAAAAGTCTGGCTCCAGCACCCAGGGAAAGGCTTATTACGCTGCTGGGAGGACAGTGAAGGAGGTGGGAGGAGCACCACAAAAGCCATTTAAGTGCAGTCTTCTGGAGGTCATCAGGATTTTGGATTGCTCCCAAACAGAATTTTGCCTTATGGAAAAACAAAACTTCAACTAACTTCAACTAGTCACGTATCATGATAAAAGTCCAGTGTTCTAGCCCAGGCTGCACCACTGCCTCACCATGGGACTTAGGCTGAGTAGCCTCCCTTGGCCCTGCCTCAGTTTCCCCACCTCCCTAACTCCCTCCTTCACATCATTGTTATGAAGAACACATGAAATAACATATGAAATCACTTTGAAAAAATATAACAGTAAGGTGTTTTCGGTATTAATATTTACGTGACATATGCATCATCTTCTCTCAAAATTGAATTTCCCAAGGCTGATTTGCCAGTTTGAGGACTATCTCTAGTCCTTTTGCTCCTTTTCCCTGATCCCCCACTCTTGGCCATTTCCTTATCCCTCATCTCCCAGCAGAGGCTTCAGTGATTTTAGAAGAGATAGAGCCATAACATGTGAGAGAACTGCTGGGGCTGGGAAGCTAGGGATCATCTGGTCAACCTTTTCATTTCAGTAGTAGGCCTTTTCACACATGAGAGATGTTACCTGACCAACGTCACACTCCTAGTTAATACAGAGCCAGAAAGCAGTGACTGGCATACAGTGGAAACTCAGAATACGGTAGCCTCTCTTATTATCATTGCAACTATACCATGCTTTCACAAAGCAATTTATTTTGCTACTTAGTAATAACTTTGATAGAAGGTTGGTATTGGAAATAGTGAGAATTGAACAAGAGGCAAGTCATAATTAATGTTACAAAGGGCATTTTTAGATTATCCAATGTCACCTTCAATGCCTCCTCCTCCAGGAAGCCAAAGCTGATCAGGATCCTTTCCCATATTCTCATTATATCTCCTTGTATCTCAGACTTATCCCACCATGCTAAACTGAAATTACTTCTTTTTTTTTTTCTCTCCCCTTCTAGACTTGAGATTGCTTGAGTGTAGGGACTGTGGTTTTCTCAAAGTTGAATCCACAGTGCTTAATGTTTAATATATGAAACTGTAGATTGTATTAGAGTTCAGCAATCTGTAGGATATATCTTAGATGTTCCCATTTCTTTTTTTTTTTTTTTTTTTTTTGAGATGGAGTCTTGCTCTTTCACCCAGTCTGGAGTGCAGTGGTGTGGTCTCGGCTCACTGCAAGCTCCCCCTCCGGGTTCACGCCATTCTCCTGCCTCAGCTCCCAAGTAGCTGGGACTACAGGTGCCCGCCACCATGCCCGGCTAATTTTTTGTATTTTTAGTAGAGACGGGGTTTCACCATGTTAGCCAGGATGGTCTTGATCTCCTGACCTCGTGATCCACCCACCTCAGCCTCCCAGAGTGCTGGGATTACAGGCGTGAGCCACTGTGCCTGGCCTAGATGTTCCCATTTCTTTGAGCTCATGGGCCCAGAGAACCCTAGTGCTCAACAAACCTTAGTTATCATCCCAGTTGCTTTATGTATAATCTGCACAACTTTAATAAAGTCACTTACCCTCTTCAAGCTCCAGTTTTGTTATAACTAAAAAAAGGCGGCTATTTATGAAAGGCAATTTGTCAATAACTATCACATTTACAAATGAATAAAGCCTTTGCCCAAACAATTCCTGTTATAGAAATTTGTCTTCACATACACTCCTATATACCCTACAGGTATACTTACCCACAGGTTATTCATTACAGTTTTATTTGTAAAGGTTAACAATTGGAAACAACTTAAATTGGTTAAAGAAACTAATTTCTATAATATAATACTATGCAGCCACCAAAAAGAATGATGTAAGCCTACATATACTGATATAGAATAAGCTCCAAAGTATAATATTAAATGAAAAAAAATGCAAGGTGCATGAAAGTGTGTAAAGCAAGCTTTCAATTCATGGAGAGGGGAGAGAGAATATATGTGTATATTTGCTTATATATACATAAATACCTCTGGAAGTTACTCAGGGAACTAGTGACATTTAGTGGAACCATGTGAATAGGAATATATTTTCAAAGAAAAAAGAAAAGGAAAGAAAGAAAGAAGAAAGAAAGAAAGAAACAAAGAAAGAAAGAAAGAAAGAAAGAAAGAAAGAAAGAAAGAAAGAAAGAAAGGAAAAAAGGTCCCAACCTACTCATTCATCTGTTGAGAAGCATGTGGGATGACCCCTATGAAGGCACACTGTCCAAGTCAGGATGTGATACCAGTGTGGGGACCGGCACGGCTCTCAGGCCTTGGTTTACCTATTGCCTCTGAATTGCATAACTTTTTTCCAATCAAGATTCTGTCCTGATCACTCATAGAAGATCCATAGCACAACCATCCAGCAACATGTAGATAAAATATTTCCACTCTCCATTGTGAGAAATCTCTTGTGAGGCATAGAAGGAAGGAGAGCTCTCCCTAAAAGAGTATAGGGGTTGACTCTCGAAGGGGTCTTATTATGCCAGGGTCTGAGGTCAGCTGCCTGCAGCACTCTCCCTCTTTGTCTCATAGTGAACAAGCTGATGTGGGCTTTCCAGCTTCAGCACGTATACAGGTTGTGGCAACTTTCCTAGGGAGAACCTAGGAAAGGTTGTCCCTGTAGCTAGCAGTTTCCTTTGTCTCTTTTATCCCCTTGATGGTTATCTTTCTAAGGTTTCATTGCTTTTAGAGTTACGAGGGAGATTCAACCCTAAAGGAAGATAACTGTGAGCTACTGACCAGAAAATCAGGCCTAGTTATGTTCTAGTAATTATGTGACTCAATATGAAGGAGATTGAAAAGAACCACTGACTCAAAATCCCTTTCCCACACATGCCTGAAATCACACCATTAGCCACTTATGTGTAAAGCCTTGTCATCATAGGTCCTCTCTTTAGATTTCCCTGGGAATGGTAATGTCTTTGAAAGAATTAGCTTAAATGAACATTCATTCATTCAATGATTATTGCATGTTTATTTATGCCACTCTACCAAGTACCTGGACATATGGGTAAATAAGATAATCATTGACTTTAATAATAAATATCATAACAATAATAATAATGATGATGATGATGACAATGATGATAGCTAACACTTTCTGAATGTTTATTATGTGACTGGCACTCTTCCAATCTCTTTACGTGTGTTTGCGCTGAATTCTTATAATAAATATGAGGAAGATAATGTTATCTCCATTTGTTAGATGAGGAAACTGAGGCACAGAGAAGTTAAGTAGCTTGTCTAGGGTTCCATACCAGGTAAGTAGCTAAGCTGGTATGTGAACTTTTAATCTAACAGATATTTTTCCAGGAAGGGGCCGTAGCTAGGAGTTGAAGGCCTGGGTTCTTTCTCCCTGAGTCATGGAGGGAAGGGAGGTGATCCAGAGTGAGATGACAGATGGTCCTCAAGCCCAGGTCCTGTCCTGGTGATGTTGAGAAGACCTCAAGCTGCATACAGATTTGAGGAGACCAGAGAGAGATTAATCAAGTGACAAGGAAATTGCATGGAAACCAGCCAGGATGAATGGTATGCCCAGTAAACAGAAGAAGCAAACCTAGGGAAAGAGCCTGGGCTGAGTCAGGATCCTGAGGGCTGCAAAAACAAGCACATTTTACCCAAAAGCAGCATGAGGCTTGGGATCCAGGTAGCCCAGCAACCAAGCAAAACTAGAGAAATAAATCTGCCTGGCAGCAGTGTGAAAATTTGAGCTTTAGTAAGGAAGGATATAGTGACCCAAAGGATCTGGCTACATGAGGAGTCTACCAAATTGAGGTGAGACAGTAATGGTCTGCAATTCCTAAACCATATTTCAACGTCAAGCTCAGCCAAGTTGAAAGGAATTGAGAATCTGCTTTGGGCCTGGCTGAATGTCCCCAAGCTCATCGTAAGTGGCTTGGAGTTGGATTGACTGAGCCACTTAGGATCAGGCCAGAGACTAAGCCTGACACATTAAATTCAGGTTTGTCAGGGGGCACTTAGCTGGTCTCCCTCCCTTCTCATGCAAATTATGGATATGCCACTGAGAGGGGGAGATTGTTTCTTCCTAAAGTGCTCCCTGGGACATGGAATTGAGCCCTGAATAATAACTTCATTCTTTTTCTAAGTTTCCCTGCCAGATCTCCCTGGCTGAAGAGGAAGCTGTGTGCTTGCAAGCCAGTCTCCCTCTTTTTGGGCTGTATCTTCTAGGAACTAGGTGATTGGGACAATGGAGGTAGGGAGAAGCCAGTGGGGGTGGGGAGGCTAAAATGGACTCACCTGTCACCGAGTCACATTCAGAACCTGGTCTGCAGCACTCATTTGGGGGCTGGAAATGGAGGGGGAAGAGATGAGCTTTAGCCTATTCTAGAAGAAAACAAATTCTGGGTTTTTTCCTCCCTGATTAGCATTTTTATTGCGTCCCTCCTATTTGCTCTGCCTGCTCATAATTAAATACTGCCCATGGTGTCTCGTCTATCTTGGTAATGTTCTCTTGGACACTGATGAATTGGATTTTCTTTATGGACTCGCTCCACTGAGAGAAAATAAGACTCAAGTTCTGCACCTCACCCCTGGCAGGGTGGCTCAGTCTCAAGAGGGTGTTTGGCACTGAGGTCAGGAGCCTCCTCACAGCACTCTCAAAGTGCCTGATCTGGAGTCTTGGAAAGAAAACGAAAAAAGTACCGGGTCTTCTTGTCCACAGAGCAACCCCAGTGAGAGATGACCGAGGATATGAGGCAGCTGCCTCTGTTCTGCTTGGGAAGGCCTGGGGCCCAGAGCCTGGCAATAATCCTAGAACGTTAGAAGAGAGGGGCTGGGGAGAGGGATGAGGGATGAGGTGCTCTAGAAGGGAGACTCTAGGCTTTCATCCAGGACTCCAAACAGAACTGTGGGGCTGTTTGTAATCCCTGTACTCCCATCTGCCAGACTCACCATTGATCTCTTTACACAACCCAAAATCATAGATCCATAGTCATGGCTGCGGCTGTGCCCCTCGGGTCATCCCTCCTCTATGTCATCATATTCCCTCAGTATCCACTCTATTTCCAAGGAACTGCCTTATACTCTCCATCTTTTTCTCCACCTCTGCTCTTTAACCAAAGCCCAGCATCTCCTCTCATCCTGTCTAACTTGGTCCACAATAAAGGGTGGATGAAGTGAAATTTGAACCTTCTCAAGTGCAGGTTTATCACTGTACAGATTCACAAGATGCGTCCCTAGACCAGCAGCATCAACTTGCATTTGGGAACCTGTTAAAAATGTAAATTCTAGCCCAGCTGGTGGCTCATGCCTGGCCTGTAATCCCAGCACTTTAGGAGGCAGAGGTGGGGGGATTCCTTGAGTCCCGGAAGTCAAGGTGGCAGTGAGTCAGGATCCATGACTGTTCCATTCTGGGGGACAGAGGGAGACTCTGTAAAAAGAAAAAAAAAATAGAAAGAAAGAAAGAAAAAGAGAGAGAGAAAGAAAGAAAGAAGAAAAGAAAGAAAGAGAAAGAAAGAAGGAAGGAAGGAAGGAAGGAAGGAAGGAAAGGAAGAAAGAAAGAAAGAGAAAGAAAGAAAGAAAAAGAAAGAAAGAAAGAAAGAAAGAAAGAAAGAAAGAAAGAAAGAAAGAAAGAAAGAAAGAAAGAAAGGTGAATTCCTGGGTTCCACTCCAACCTAATAAATTAGAGACTCTGGGGGTAGGGCCCAGCCACCTGTGTTGTAATAAGGCCTCCAGTCATTGTGATGCATTTTCACATTTGACAGCCCCTACACTAGCCTGATTTTCCACAACTCCCTCAGCAGCATCTTCCCTGAAGCCCACACCATATGTGTACTACTAACTATTTCCTACCAACAACTGACTCCAGGCCACTCCCCTGCTTCCTAAAAGAAACTAATTGCCCTGCCTCTGACCACTCTCCAAGGAGCAATGCTTGCCTCCTCTCACATCCCTCCTCTGCACCTTCTTCCTGGGCAATGTCATCTTTTCTCACAACTTCAGCTGTCACCTCTAGGCCGATGATTCTCACATGCGCATTTCTAACGAGCAACTCTCTCCCAAGTCCTAGAAATACACTTCTTTCTGCTTATCGGGCACTTGACCTTGAATACACCAGGCACCTCACTCACCTGTGCCAAACAGAACTCCCCCACACTGATGTCCCAGGTTTCTCATTTTAGTTCATTCCCCACCTTGACTCTGCACAGAGATTTCTCTGACTGAGACTTGCAAACACATGATCACCTATAATCTACTATAACCTTCTCATCCCCACTCCCTTATCATCCAAGCAAAGTGGTGGTGGTCAGGGGAAGGGAATGTCATTCCTACACACCCCTCAGGCAGCTCTTTGACATGGGCTTCCATCCTTGTCATTTGTCTTATGTGTCAAAACTTTTCCTGCATTAGAATCGTGGAGAAAATAAGTATTATTTGCACCTCAGGTCCCATCTAGGGACGGTCCTATTCCACAGCAGCTTAGTTTCTAGGATCTCTGATTCCTCTCCACATGCTCAGCAGCCCTGAGCTGTGTGATGAATCTTCCTCCAGCAGAGAAACGATGAAAGGGAGATGTCCCACAGTCCCTAATCTTCCTGTCAGGGTCTGACCCTGACTGGCCATTCTCCTGAAATCTCAGAGTGGTAGCCACACAGACATGTGCTGTCAGGGGACATTCCCTGTGGCTCTGGATCCTGAGCTGCCCCCAGAGAGACCCCTGTCTAGGCAAGCAGCCTAGAATACAGTCACCCTTCAGTAAGTGTTTGTTGAATGAGTAACAAAATGCTGAAGAATGGAAGAGGCTCTCAGAGTACCTTGTGCCAGTCCCTGCCTTTCCAGCCCATCTAACTCCAATGCGTCTATGCAGAAAGGAGCTAAGGCAGCGAAGAGGAAGATGGAGAGACTTGCAAAGAACATTTCTTTGTGATTTTCTCTTCTGTTTGCCTCTGAGGAAGACCTCTGGATCAGGAAACACATGTAGGCTTCCCAGGGCAGCAATCCCTTATCCTTCTTGCCCTCCATCCTGGGCCTGTGCCCTTCCAGGCTATGGGCAGAAAGAAGTAGACAGAGTAGCTTGGAGACAACTTTAAGTGAATTCAATTACCATAGCAACCAAAACCACCAGAATGGAGATTAGGCTCCAGACAGCAGCAATCCTGGCACCCAGGAGAGGCAGCAATCTGAAGGCCATTGCTGCGAGGCCAAGGGGAAAGGGGCACCCAGCTCATCTGCCCAGCATTCTCCAGCTCACTTGTACTTTCCGGACTCTGCAGAGCTCTAACCTAGCAAGCAGCAGACATCCATCCCTGCCTGGAGCTGGAGAGCCTGGAGGGGTATGGGGGTCAGAGCAAGAGCAAATGCTGGCCTCTTATTTCCTAATGTGCCCTTCTATGGAAGGTCAGGGTACTGGTTTGCCTTCTGCACTTCCCTGCAGCATAATATTTAAGAATAGCAGCTCTGGAATCACATTGTTTGGTTTCAAATCCCAGCTCTGCTATCTGATCTTGAGGCAATTGCTGAACTTATCTGTACCTCTGTTTTTTCATCTGATAAACGGGGATGATAGTACCTGCTTCAGAGAAGCATTATAAGGACTATAAAATAAGAATCCAGAGAAAGGCTTAGAACACTGCGTGGCACATAGTAAATGTCAGGCAAGAGCTTCTGTCGCGGTCATTGCTGTTATTGATTTCATAATGACGATGATTCCAGTCTCCAGCACCCCCGGCCCTTGTCTGTTGCCCTGCTCATGAGCACCACCTTTGTCAAGTTAAGGTGCCCAGCCCGAGGCAGGCAGAGATGATTCTTGGGAGACTAATAAATTGGTTCATAGCGGTCAGTCCTCCTCCTGCTCCTGAAGCCAATAAGAACCCAGAGGACTGCACAGGCCACCTGACAAACAACCGAAGGTTTCGCTCTCTGGGGGGCTTCATCTGGGCCCACCAACTGTGGTCAGCCTGGGGAATCTCTGTAAGAACCAAACCCCAGACAGCTGGTGTTCTCATTTACCTACCCATTTCCCTTGAAAGATGTTAAACAAGTCTTTGATCATTTTAGTCCAAAAGAGCTGTTGCCTTCCCTGAGGGTGAACCCTTATCTGTAAAGTGGGGATAAATATAAGGGCCAATTTCAGAAAAATAATTGACCTGTTCATGTAGAACTAAGGGTGAATGTAGGCACCACCTTTATGGCCCTTGTCTCATGTGTTTTCAGGCTTTATTTCCCAATGGCATGTGAGTGTCCAGAGAGCAAAGACACCACCCTTCATTGAAGTGAAGAACTTGAGATCATGGCTAGGGAAGGTATATTCTAGTCCATCTTCAGGGGTTGTGCTCCTTCCTCAAACAGTTTTTGAGCACCAGTGATGGACCAGAACTTGTGCCACTGCTGGGGATGCCAAGATTGACAAGACTTCAGGAGTTCGGCTTGGCAGTGAAGAAAGACCTCAGGGAAACACAATACAAAGTGCTATTTGATGGGGGAGAAAGTGTGGAGAGGACACTTAGGGCAGGACAATTAACCCCACATGGGGTAGTGGGGCTGGGCATCAGAGAGGCCAGGCATCTGGATTGGTGTGGAAGGAAGAAAACAATTTTGCCCAGTGGAGAATTTGGAGGAAAGACTCTGCAGGCAGAGAGAACAGCAGGTGCAAAGAGGAAGTGGGGCAGGCCTGGTGTGTCTGGGGGAAGGTGAGAAGTTTAAGGATGATAAAGCGTATGCACATGCGCATATGCATGCTTGAGCGTATGTGTGTGCACACGTGTGCTGATTGGGGGACACAAAGGGGGTGGGAAGAAGAATGATGGGGGATGAGACCCAAGAGTTAATTGCTCCTCTCATGTCTCAACTGTGATCAGCAGTTCTATAATCCTTTAGCTTCTGTGGCCTGCTATCCTGGGAATTGCTTAGACTTATTTTGAAAATTTATCCCCCTATAACCAAAGGAGTTATTGAGTTTGTTTCAGGTGAACCCAGCCTGTTTCTGAAGATCTGCATTGCTCTCAGGCCTTGAATGTCCCCAGCTGACAGGTGTCTCCAGTCCAGCATAAACAGCTCTGGCTGGAAAAGACCCTGAGAGAGAACTATGACCACCTTCCTTCCTGGAAGGATTGCATCTACACCCGCAGCAGCTCTGCTTTGCATTGCTGTGTCCCAGATTAGCACAGTCATTTGTCCAGGCAGCACAGCCTGACCTGGGACCTTCCTGTGCTGCTCCACATCCAGCCAGAGTCCTGATCATTTTTACCGCAAACATATTTCTCTCATGTTCCCTCTTGTCCATCCCCAGTACCATTGCCCTAGTTGAAGCCCTCCTCATCTCTCTCCTGGAATGCTGCAATAGCCTGCTAATTGGTCCCCCTGCTTCCCATCCGGTCCTCCTCAAATCCATCCTCCATATGGCCGGGCCAGAGTGGTTTTTTCAAACAAGATCTGACTGCATTATGCATCTGCCTAAAGCCCTTGGGTGGCAACTCATGGCCTGCAGAATAGGGTCCAACTCCTAAGCTTGCCACACGAAACCTCCATGGGCTGCTTCCCCCGCTTCGGCCCTGAAGTGCCCTCCCTCTGGCTTCACACTCCAGGCACATGCTTTGATGTTTCATGCCCCGGTGTCTTTGCCCTGTCTGGTGGTCACATCATTCCCCCACTCATTTGGCAGATTCCTGCCTTCTTTCCAGGCTCAGCTCAGATGTCATCTCCTCCAGAGCATCTTCCCTGACAGCTTGGCTGGACCAAATGTCTCCTCCCTGTGCTTCCCTAGAGTCCACACACACCCCTATCACACATACTAGCTCTGCCACTACTGCAGCTGTGTGACGCATGCCTCCAGTTCTTCATCTGAAAATGGAATCATAGCTCTGTCTCATGGGATCATTTTGAGAATTTGTAAATCTAGCTTCTAGTCACCCCTCAGGCTTCACTGACCCCAGATGAGGTTTTAGTAAGCCTAACCATCAGTGCAGAATGCAGATTCACTGTCTGTCTTTCTCTTTAAACATGAGCTGTACTCCAAGAAGGCAAGGTCAGTGTCTATCTTGCTCACCACCATATGCCAGGCACAGCAATTGCATTTCAACATTTGTGTGTAAATGAATGAATGAATTGTTTAAGAAGTGTTTATTGAACTAGCATTAGTGGATAAAGACCTATCAGTTCAAATAAAATGTTTATTGAATGCCAGGTTGCCAGGTTCCCCTGCTAATATGTAGGTGGGGCAGAGGAATACAGATAAGACAAAGTACACTGACAGCAAAGCATGGCCAAAACAGCATCTTGAGTTGGGAGTTGCATTCAACTCAGTAGCACTTGAATAGAGTGAAATGAGGAGTAAAAGCAATCTTCTAGAGAAAAACAGTAAGTCACTCTCTCTCCTGACCCTCATCACCATCCCACTGATGCAAGCAGTGCTGTAATTCACTAAGAAGGCTGTTGTGTTTCCTTTTCTGTCTACGTCAGGAATCTGGAGCAAAGAAGGAACCTGCTAACATTGAACCTGTATTTGCAAAATTGACTCAGGCATTAGTTAAGAAGTCATTAGCTTGCCACTTCGGAGATTCTAGTCTGTCTCAGTGGGAAAAAAGCCCCATGGAGCTATCAGGAAGGGTATTCACTCTGTCATCAACAAAGAAGTTAGAATTTTCTAACTTCTTTAAGCATGTGGCTGTTTTTTTGTTGTTTTTTTCACACCGAGGCTGGCTGTCTCCATTCTTTGTGACTCTGGGCATGATTTAACACATACACTTAAAAAATGGAAGAACAGCTTCTTAAATTTGCAGTAAATATATTGTTCAATAGATTTGATTTACTAGTTATGAGCCATGGAAGAGCCACCATGGCGATTTATTGTCATGCTATCTCAGGCATTGGAGTCACTGCTTCTATCTGCTCCAATCCTATAAAAGTAATCCAATGAAGTGAAAACCCACAGCACTTCTTGGCACCAGCTTGGATTGTGACTGCCACACCCTATTCTGTATATCAAGCCCCCCTTTCAGATGATGGGATAATGGCAGGTAGGAGGGGGAGTGGGGCATGGCCCATGGATTTAGTAGCACTTGTTTCACAGTGGCTGGCTGGGGTCAAGGAGCAGAGGTTTCTGGGTGTTACAGCTTGTGAGAGATTTACAGGGCTCCACTTGCCTCCCTGGTGACTCTGCAGAGGAATTAAGTCGATGGGAAATATGTGTGTGTGTGTGTCTGTGTTGGAAGGAGGGAGGGACTGAGACTCATGATTTAGATGGATTGAGAAGGGTCATCCTCTTGAGAAAAACCTCCACAAAATAGTCTCTGCTTTTGATACCTGAACTGAAAACATCTGCTGTTCCCTAAACATGGCTGGGAAGTGTGGTAAGTTCTATAGTGGGAAAGGGGGTGGGAGTGGGGAAGAAGTATTTCCAAGCTAAGCCCTACATGTAGGAGTTAGCTAAACAGACATGGGGAAGGATAGAGTCCCTGCAGAAGGAACAGCCTGAGCAAACACTCAGGGGTAAAAGCAAACCTGTAAGTTTGGAGAACTGCAGCACTTTCAACATGGCAGGAACACCAGGTTCAAGGGGCCCAGGAGTAGAAAGTGGAAAAGCAGAAGTAATCAATGATTCAGTAACAACAGGAGACACGTTGAGATATGTTTACTCAATTCTGAGGGCAGTGAGAATTATAGAAGGATTTCAACTAACGGTCAACATTGTTGGATATGTGTTTTGAAAAATCACTCTGGCTGCTGTGTGAAATATCCCTAATCCAGGCCAGGAAGCGCAGCCCTGTTGGCATCTACTGCTCAGCATCTACACAGTTGCTGGGGAGGGAATGATGTGTGGACCCTGCTCTCAGGACTGTCTGGAGAACAGGGTCAGACAGAGCTCCTTCTGTTTAAGGAAGTCATATCCAAATTATGTTACCAGTGAGTACAGGAGGGCCATAAGATGATTGTCTGAGAGTTAACTAGGAAAGGCAAGAACAAAGATCCAAGGTTCAGGTCAGGGGAGAGAGAGAGAGACCTTTATGTCTATGACAATCTGGTTGCTGGCTATGCTACCCTCCGCCCTCTCGTGAGCAGCATCCCCGTCTTCTTCCAGCTTTTCTGCAGGGGTCTGGGGAGGGGTGCGTTGTGAATGAAGGTCTATCTAAGACAGCATTATCCAACAGCACTTTCCATGATGACGGAAATGTTCTCTGTCTGCACATTCCAATGTGGTAGCCATTAGCTACATAAGACTACTGCACACTTGAAATGTGAGCCTGCAATTAAGAAACTGAATTTTTAACTTTATTTTAATTAATTTAAACTTTAATTTAAACAGCCCCATGTGGCTAGTGGCTATCATATTAGCACAAATCTAAGATGCGAGATCTCCTTGAAGACAGTCCTATCACATGCTGAGCATGTAGGTGATTCTTATAAGCAATTCTTATTTGTTGTGCCTGGAGGCAGTGTGGTTTAGGGGAAGACTTTGGACACTGGCATAGTCAGATTGAGGGTTTAAATCCCATCTATGCCACTGTATTGGTCAGGGTAGGCATTACTACTTGAACATACATCACCCACATTTCAGCAGTTTCACATAATAAAAATTTATTTATTTATTTATTTTGCGTATTTCACAGTTCAAAGGAAGTTGGGAGGGACCTCTACTTCACATAGTCACCCAGGGACCCAAGTTCCTTCCTTCTTGTGGCTCTGTCCCCTTCTAAGCCCTTGAAATTTTTTCCATTCAGCCAGTGGATGGAGAAAGAAAGAACATGCTAAATTGCCCTAGATGTTTTTCATGGGACTGGCCTATATTACTTTGGCTAGAACTTAGTCAGATGACCAAACCTAACTGCAAGAGAACCTGGGAAAGTAATCTAACTGTATCTACAGAAAAGAGGAACTGAATTTGATTGGCATCTAGTCTGTCTCTGCCACAAGTAACTACTAGCTGGGTGAGCTTAGGTCTTAGTTTTCTTATCTGTAAAATGGAACTAACATGAGAATTGGTGAAAGCTAAATGAAGTAAAGTATGTGGAAAATGATGAATCCAGTTGGGATTCATGATCATGACTCTTTTCTCTCAGCTTGGACCTCATCACAGCTATTGAGCATCATCCCTGCTGACAAAAAAAAAAAAAAAAAAAAAAAAAAGCTTGCACACAGTGGCACCTCTACCAGACATTTTATGGGTTCCTTTTTCTACCCAAGGAAAAGGACAAACTTTGGATAACATTCAGTAAACCCTCAAGCTTGCCTAACCCAGAGACCACTCCTGGGCATGGATGCAGGTACTGGCCAAATGTTCTTAGCATCATGGAGGGAGGGAAGAATGACTTCTCTTCTAGAAAGATGGATTTTGTTGGCCATAACAAAGGTGCAATCACAGAAATATTTACAGATGAAATTATATTTGGAATTTGTTTCAAAATTATGGTGGGGGAGTGTGTGAGTAGGGTACAGATGAAAAATGATTGGCCATGAGTTGGTAACTTTCAAAGCTAAATGACAAGTTCATGGGGGTATATTATACAATTCTTTCATCTTTTGTATGTTTGAAATTTTCCATGATAACAAATTTAGTTATTTCCCTTTTTTCTTTCTTTACCTTGCAGTCTCAGCACAAAGGACATAATAAAGAATTCTGTAAGAGCCATGAGGACTCATCTTTAATGAGGATTTTGTGGAGAAGTCCAGAAGCCTCTTATGATTTTGCAGTGTGGGGACAATAGCTGGACTGTCTTTCTTTACTTGTTGATTCACCAAAGCAATTAATGACTTTGTAGCTGAGTCTCCTACAAACCCAGTGAGGCAAAAACACCCAACTCTAGCCTTGAGCTCTGAAGAAAAAAATGCACTTGAGTATAAGTATCATAGATGTGCAATGCTGGAAAGGCCTTGGTGCTCATGAGCTATGTCTCTTTACCAAGAAGAGGTTGGTATATAAAATTAGTGTCCAAGTTTCCCTATTACAACACTTTTGCAAAAGCTGGAGACTTGATTTTCCAGCTGCAGAATTCAAACACGGACCACCTTGTTGCTTATAATGCATCAATAGTACCAGTTTTATGAATGGGCAGGACTCTGTGGAATTGGGAAGAGTCTCCTGGGACCCCAAACTTTCCCCATTACTTTGATGAATGCTTGAAGTACCATCCACTCTATTTCACTGCCTTGGCTTAAGGCTCTGACCTACTAAAATGTGAATACTATATCTCTGGATGAGATGGTCACTTACATATCAGTTCAAATAATTTTATCAGTTCTTGCTAATGAGGAGGAAATGGAGAGAAATGGGCTGAAGCTCAAGGCTGCAGAAATGGGGTTGCACAGAATGGAGAGAGGAGCCAGTGGGGTGAGGGGAGTGTCTAGGGACAAACTTCTGTGATTTCACACATTTACCAAGGTTCAGTAGAAACAATAATTACATAGAAAGAACTCAGGTGATCTGTCTAAACTACACAATACTGCTTGTAAAGCTGTACCCAGGATTTAAAAGAGCTAGTTTCAGATACATGTAGACTCAGTGACAATATTATAACAGCCAACATTTTTATTTATTATTGTATATGAAACATGTTGTTTGCATTATCTAGCTCAGTCCTCATGAACCTTATGAGTTGATGCCATCATTATAACCCATTTTGCTAGGTGAGGGAACTGAGCATCAGAGAAGAAAAGTGGTTTGCCCAAATTCACACAGCTGGTGAATGACAGAGCCAAGACTTGAAGCCAGGTCTATCCAGAGCTCATGTTCTCACCACTAAGCCTCCACTGTCTCAGACCTGCAATGTGCTTTTCATGCAAGTTTATACTTAAAGTTCAGCAGCCTTTGGTCTTGGCATCTTCCTGAGCCAAGCCATAGTTTGGCTAAAACATTTTTGACAGGTCCCCATTTTGGCTTTTATGGTGAGCCGTCAGCTTCCAGCAATCAGGAACATTTTCAATGGACCATGCCCTGGCTGTGCCCAAGGAGGTGATATTCTGGATATGTGATTGACATTCTGCCAGAAAGGAAAGAAAAGAGTTATCTGAAAACCAATCTGGTTCAAGAAAAGAACACTGGCAAGGTCTCTGCAGGCAGCATCGACTGAGGCTCACTTTGTAGATACGAAAAGACTTTCCTTTCCTCCCTACTGGAGGAGTGGGGCTTTGGGGCTCTTTTCATGTAGGATCAGCTGAAAATGGAACACCCTCATTCTTCTTTCTGTCCTCATGCTAGTGCTTAAGATCAATCAGATAGGACCTGGAGACCAACCAGTTGACAAATTAATCACATATTCCCAGTTACATACAATCAAGGGAGCCACGTAAATTAAAGTTAAAATAAATTATTAATGCAAATGTATTGAACATCTGCAATGTCCCGAGCACTGAGCTAGGATTCAGAAATGGCTGACAACGGTCCTTGCCATAAACAGCTTGAAGTCCAGAGAGGGATACCACTATGCAGAAAACAAGGCCATACAGGTCATAAGAACCATATTTGAGGTATGCAGGAAGGACTGTGAAAATCCAAAGTGGGGAACGACTAGTTCATCCTGGGATGTGGGGGAGGACTTTACCAACACTTACATGACTTTTTTCTTGGGTATTTAAGGTTTGAGGCTGAGTGGAAGTTTGCTAGGAAGACAAAGGAAATAGGAAGTGGTGGAAGGCATTTCTGGAAGAGGGTGCAGCATGTACAAAGACATGAAGATATGAGATTTTGCAGGTAATGAAGAAAAGATCTACATGCTAGAAAGGAAGATGTGAGTAAGTAGAAGAAGGTAAGGCTGGAAAGAAAGTAGAGGATATACCATGATAGGAAGAGGGTTTTTTAGGGGAAACAATTGATTGCAGAAGGATTAAGGCCACTGGTGAGATGAAGCATAGAGGTGCCTATGTACAAAGATGGAGATGCACAGTGGATCATTACTGGGAACAGAAGAGTGCAGGAAGAAATCATAAGCATCTGAGTGAACTTGAAACCATGGACTTGCATAAACTCTCCAGGGAAAAGGGCAGAGAGAGAAGCAAAGAAGGCCAAGGACAGAGACCTGGGAAACATCAGCACACAAGCAAAAGAAACCACCAGCAGAAAACAAGTCATTGCACCTAAGAGTTATATCCCCAGCCTCCACTCACCCTTCTCCAGATTTTCTAGCAAGAAACTAAACAAATGATTAGGATTTCCCCCAAACTCCCAGTACCTATCTCTCCTTCTCATATTTGCTTTCCTCCTTCTCTTCCCTCCTCTTCCTTCCCTAGCATCTCCCTCCAAGGGAGGTCTTGATGAGCAGAAAACCCTCCACCTGGACTTTGCTTTCCCCAGGAGCTGCCTTGGTTGGAGCAGGGGTCAGGCTGGCAGAAGGTCCACTGGAAGGGCTGACTTTCAGAAGCTCCACTGGAGCCCAGCAAGTTGGATGGCTTCTCATTTGCCATAACTGGTCTAAGCATATTGATCAATGAGATGACCATCCAGGCCACTACTGGCCTCCAAAATGGAGTTAGTGCTGCAGGAAGCAAGAGTTCTCCACCCTCAGAAAGGGACTAGAAGCATCTGATAGTTGTGAGCATTCAGCCATTGGGGCCACCAATGTTGGACAGTGCCTCCTGGCCTGGAAGCTGGACAACCTGGGCTGATACCCGGTAGGCAAAGCCCTGGCCTTCTGAGACTGGGGCAAAGCTCGTCAGCATTTACACCACCACCTCCTACCCCACCTTGGGAAACTAGAGAAAGCCAAGCCACCCCTAAGCTTTGGAATTCCTCAGGCAGACATCACCCTGAAGAAAAATAGGGTGCATCCCCACCCTGGACATACTGAGCCTCCACCCCCGTATTAGTCCAGGTTTATTTGGCTCATGGTTTCTGCAGGCTGTACAAACACGGCACTAGCATCTGCTTCTGGTGAGGTCTCAGGAAGCTTTTATTCATGGCGGGTGGGAAAGGGAAGCAGATGTGTCACATGGCAAGGGAGAGCAAGAGAGAGAGGAAGGAGGTGCCAGACACATTACAACAACCAGCTCTCACGTGAACTAATAGAGCAGGAACTCACTCATTACCATGGGGAGGGCACCAAGACATGCATGAGGGATATGCCCCCATAACCTGAACACCTCCCACTAGGCCCACCTCCAACATTGGGGGTTGCATTTTAACATGAGATTTGGAGGGGACAAATATTCAAACTATGTCAACCCCACACATAACTTATGGAGGCCAAATACAGGAGAGGTCAAGAGTGTCCTCTTAGGATAGCCCCTCTATCTGACTGAGGAGGATACTCTACTTTCAGAAGCGGGGAAACCAAGGATCCTGGGATAGCGGCAAAAGGGAGAGGTCAGAGTTCCAATCCAGCTATGCAGCCTCACATCCTTCTGGAGTGTCCCTCTCCACCAGCTACCTTCAGGTTCTCTATCAATAAAATGATGGTAATATCTACAGTGCAGGATTATGGAAAATCTAGCAAGGAGCCCAACATATGGTGGCTCCTCAGCTTACAGCTGATATGCTAAGCCAAGCATTTGCAACGTTGCTTTCATCCCTTGGACAGCCTCCTGTCCTTCAGAGCTCCTCTTCCTGCTAGCAGCTTCCTGCGGGCCCATCGAGGTGAAATAAACTCTAATAGCAACTGAATAAAAGCTCACATGCCCAGCTGTGGGAATAAGGGATGGAACGCAATGGCAGTATGAAAGTGAGAGTACCCCAAACCCAAGGGGAGCCTTGGGGAGAATGAGGT
Source organism: Homo sapiens (assembly GCF_000001405.40). NCBI lineage: Eukaryota > Metazoa > Chordata > Mammalia > Primates > Hominidae > Homo > Homo sapiens. Next base: position 111,993,708 of record NC_000001.11, on the reverse strand, counting down.
GCCACCCTCCTGAGTTTCTCGCTGGAGCTCACTTTCAAAAGGCCTTGCTTTCAGTGGTTAAATAAGGGAGGCTGGGACCACATGGATAGTGAGGGGCCCGGGACTTACTCTTCAGCATAAAATCGGCTCCCAAGAAATGTCCCATGGGCTTCTGACATGGTCAAGCCCCTTCCTCATCTCTATCCCTAGACTCTTCCTCTATTCCTTCAACAGAAATCTCCCTTTTCTGGGACTTACAGAATTAACTATCTCAGCAAGGTGAACTTGACTGCCTGTGGGCTGTGGCCTGCCATTTTTATTGTTACATGCATGGGTGGGTGAGTGACTATATGTGTCTCTGTGTACAATCCGGCAGTTCTATCTTCCTCCTCAGACAGATTTCTTTGCACCTCCTGCCTGCACCACTCCTACCTTGAACAACAACAACCAACAATTATATTGTACTTCCCATGTTCCAGGCACGATTCTAAGCACTTTATCTGTGTTACTTCATTTAATTTTCACAACCCTATAAAGTAGATAGTATTATTTATTGCCATTTGAGAGAGGAAGAAATCATGGCACAGAGGGATTAAGTACCTTCCACATGATCACACAGCTAATTAACAGCAGACGCAGGTTCAAACCCAGGCAGTCTCACCTCAAAGTCTGTACTTTTTACTTCTAAGGTACATAGCACCCTAAATGTAGAAAGGCTGTAACCCTCAGAGGTACAGCCCACCCCCAAAATTCTTGCCCCAGCATGGGGCAGATTGCTAAAATGGGACAGCTATAAGCAGTGAGGGTGGGAGTGACCCTTAAGGACATTCTCAGGCATATGAGGCATAGCTTCAAAGAGAGAGCCTGAACAGAGCAGCCCTGGGAAACAGCCACGCAGACACACTAGCCTGGCACGTCAGCAAAGAAGCAGCCGACTTTGAGCTGGGCTCCCAATTACCCTCACAGTCCACACGGTGACAAGCTTTGCAAATACCGGCCACAGCCATGAGACTAAAGAAGAATCCTCATGTGTGCACAGCTTGGAAAGGACACACACACAGAGAAAGAATAGTCATCCATAGGAGCACCGTCTTTAAATAGAAAAGATAGCCTGAAATACACCCTGAGCTCGCGGGTGCTCACACACACAGACACACACGGCCAGGGCCAGAGGAGTGACTGAACAAATGCCTCAGCTGTGCTGGTGGCAACGGGAGGAAATCTAGTGCCCTGGCAGCTCCTGACTTTCAGTTCCTATTTAAAATGTCTGAATTGGGAGCATCGACAAGCTCCCAAATTAGCTTTTTAAATAGAAGCTGAGAGTTAAAGGAAAAGCGGCCGTGTCATGGGGGAAAAGCAAGTGAAAATCCCGGCCAGGCCGGGACCAGAGGCAGAGGGGGAAGGTGAGGACAGGCAGTGCTGGAAAGATGCAATAGATGACTGGGGACTGGTGGGAGGGACAGCATCTCCTGGGCAGCAGGACTACTCCAGCTGCCCGAATCAAGGGGCCTCCTTTCTCCCCATCGCTTGCTCTCATTTTGCAGATCACCTGGTTGTAGGAAGGACTGGTAAACAAAACCCACACTGGCCTAGACTAGAAATCCCAGTCTTTCCTATTTTCCCTAGATGGTTAAGACAGAAAGGAGAGAATAGTCTACAGCTACCACACTTAAGCAATGAGTTACGAGCTTATGAGGAATGAGGGGGCAGGTGTCTGGACCAGTGTCTGGTCTTCAAACGGAGCTTACGAGTCTCAGGAGGCCACAACTGTCCCATTAGTTGACTTTCTGAGGAGAAATGATGTGCCCAACTGTCTCCTGAAGCCTCCAAACACTGAGGGGGGCACTCAACCCCTGAGCTGCCCCCAAGATGCTAAACAACAGTGAGAATGTACAGGAGTTCAAACCTGGGCAGAAATAAAATATGGGTTTCACTTTCCCGAATTGAACATGGGATGGAGTACTGAAGGAAAGTGCCCCTGCCTCCTGAGTAGTGACCACCCAGGACCTGAGGCACTTTATCCCAGGGGTCAGAGCAACTGAGGAGTGCAGTTGCCAGAAAATTAGCCCTTCCCCAGAGGAAAGGGAGGAGGGAGGTGGGAGCAGCGCCAGGGCCTTCCCCGAATTCTTCCCCTGTCTGCCAGGGAGTGGCAGTGTTGTTAATCATTATTACTGTATGCAAATCCCACACAGCTCCGGGACTCCTGGCAAACGCTAATGGAGCCCACGCCCACCTCCTGAAGGGCCAATTGTGTACCTTTCAAACTGACAGACTGAAGGGGGCTCCGGAAAAAGTAAGAGTGAGTGAATGAGGGACTCCAAGGTGCCAGGGGCCACAAGGGCCCAGACCACAATTACCGACTTCCACTCCTTCATCTGGAAGAGGGCTAGGGGTTCTCACAAGCCAGAAGCCCCGTTCCGGATTCAGGGAGGTCCTTTTCCAGCCCTGGGTCTACAATTGTCCTAGGGTCTAGAACACCCTCGCAGTCTAGAACACCCCAGAGGTCACAACGCACTTTGCATTTCTCTGCCTCGGCACCCACCTCTCCACACCCAGAAATGTGATCTCTCAAGCCAAGCGTTCCCCGTCCCTGCTGGGGCACGGAGCTGCCTCGCTTCCGGAGCGCCAGGCCGAGATCCAGGATTCCGGGCACCGAGGCTGGAGACACCGGGAAAGCCGGAGCCGCGGGTCCGCCCAGCGGCGGGGACTGCGCCCTTTGCGCGCCGCCGCCCTGAGGGTGGGAATCTGGGCCGGACACCTGGCCCTGTGGGCACATGCTGACCTTCCCACTCCCCATCCTGGGTCGACGAGGCACGGAGCAGTGGGGACCCATGGGCTTCAGGGAGGGACTGAGGGGCTGGGCGGGCTCCAGTTGTAAGGGGACCGGCTCGGGTGAGAGTTCACGCTCCCAAGTCCAGACTCCCGGTCTAGGTAGTGGGTAGACGTGGCGGGAGAGGAGGGCGAATCTCGACCTTCTGATGGTGCCTTCGTCCTCCGAGAGGAGAGCGGCTCATAGGTGGGGTTAGAGGCAGTGTGTCCCCCGGGTACCTCTTCAGCCTCTGCACTCGGAGCTGAGAGCCGGGGGCCAGCCGCAAAGATTGCGCGGTAGGGGGCCCCACCTTGCCAGGTCGCCGGGCTTGGTCTCAAGCAGGTGCTGCTGCCCTGTGGACAGTCAGCGAGAAATAGACACACAGCTAGGTGCACACATACCCCACGCGCGCACACGCCGGCCCTCCCTGCCACCTCTCCGTGGGTCCCCAGCCACACACGCCCCCGAACTTACGCTCACGCCGTACTCCCTGCTCCTCCCCCACCCCCAAACCCAGCTCACCTTGCCACGCTCACCCCCGTGCCCACCCTCGCTGGCACACGCGCTCACACCCGCGTCGGTACACTCCGCCACCTCCAGGCACACCCTAGGATTCCTCCACTCGCCCGGGGAGACGCACTAGGCTCTGCCTCGTCTCCCCACCCCCCGCTCACGCGCGCGCCCCTCTCCACACACACAGACACACACACACGCACTCACACTCATACACACCCTCGCGCGCGGAGTCACTCCCCCTCGCACGCCCTCGCCCTGGGCACCCTCCCGCGGCGAGACTCCGGGTCCTCCTCCTCTCTTCCTCCACTGCCTGGCGGCTCGGCGCTCTCCGGCCCGGCCTGGGGCCGCTGGGCCCGCGGGGATCGGAGGGGAGCCGAGGGCGCAGCCTTGCCGCCTCCCCCGGACTCTCCTCTCCTCCCCGCCCCGCCTGCGCCGCGCCCCCACCACCTCCCCCCCTCGGGAAAGGGACCTCGGGAGAGGCAGCCCGTGGCCGGCCGGGCTCCGCTCGGCGCGGCGCCGGCAGCGGCGGGGGAAGGGAGAGAGCGAGGGAGCCCGCGAGCCCGCGAGCGGAGCGGCGAGGCGGGGAGGGGACGCGCTGCCGAGCCGGGGCTGGAGCGGCGGAGGCTGCGGCAGCGGCGGCGGCGGCAGTGGCGGCGGCAGTGGCGGCGGCAGTGGCGGCGGGGGAGGGAGGGCCCCACGGACGGACGGACGCACGAACCGACCGAGCGAGGGAGGCAGCGAGCGAGACTGCGCTGGCGAGGAGGAGCCGCGCGAGCGGCGGCTGCTGGGCGCTTCCCCGCGCTGCTGGGCGCTCGGCGCCTCCGCGGCCCCGGCTCCCGGCCGCAGCTTCCTCGCGCGCGCGGGGCGCCGGGCGCGGGGCCCGGGCTGGCTTCGCGGAAGGTAAGAGGGACGCGACCGAGCCTTCTGGAGCCAGGAAGTGCGAGGAGCGCTGCTCCCACGCCTGTTGCTCCGGCTGCCCACGCGGCACCCTCCCACTCCCGCGCCCGGGTGGGTGGGCGCTGGGGCGCCGGAAGGATTGGGGGTGGGGCCCGTGCCGTGGGGGAGCAGACAGCCGGCCCGGGGGCGTCGGTTCCCTCGGGCTGTGGAGCCACCTCCGGGCAGCCAGGCGCTGGGGTTCGGGGGTGGGGTGTGAACCTCTGCCCTCTTTCCATTGGCCTGTCTTCCCTCGGCGGGTGCCAGAGACAGGTGGCGAAGGCTTGCTCCGTCCCCGCTCTTGGTGAGGGGACAAGGAGAGAAATGGCTGAAAGTGGAAACCCGGAGCGGTTTGGGGCGCTTCGCAAAGTTCTCCAGCTCGGCGAGCCGGCGGTGTGTCTACCAGAGGCTGGGGGCCAGTCCATCTGGTCCTGCCCGACGCCACTTCCACCCCGCGAGCTCTGGGAAAGGTCTCTACGTGACGCCAAGGGCCGTCGCGGCCCCGGGGAGAGGGATCGAAAGACTCACTCTGCGAGGTGTTTACACTGGAGGTGGGGGACGGGAAGGGACTGGGCAAAGTTACCTGGACTCAACTAAATTCCTGCGCTTGCTTAGTGTTGACATTTGAATAGGATCCGAGATGTTCTGCTTTTATCCCGGGCAGCCCTGATATGTCAGCAACAGGCTGAGGTTCCAGACCTGAAATCGCACTGCAAGAAAAAGGGTCCGTATTTCTTAAGAGAGAGCGTCTGAACTTTCTCGGGGTCCTAGGCACAATGCGATCTGTTTGTAAGACCAGGCATGCGTTGCTGTATTTTGCATGAATGTACGTGATGGTCAAATGTATGCCTTGTTTACCTTACTTCGAGGGAGCCTGTATGTTTACTGTCTGTAGAAAGGGCTCCTGGGTGTCCACGAATTCAATACAAAGCATGTGTACATTTCCCCATGTGGACCTGTTGGCACACAGGAAGGGAACTGATGTGTTTATTTTTTCCTCGTCTCTACTTGAATGCAACAAAATGCAAGTATACAAGGGACCCCCCAGAGAAAGAGGTTAGTAGCTTGTTCCCTTTTGCTCTTGAGGAGGCTGGAGAAAAAGAGTTCAGGAAAGTGCCCTGGCTAGCCTAGGAGTGGCACCGTTGGAGAAGAGGATCTGTGCGTGTGTCCCAAGCCTGTCCCCCAAGGATCCCCAGCTTGGTTCACCTTGTCAGTTTCATGCTTTGCCTACCAAAATCCTGTGAACACAGGAGAAGCCCTCCGGGTCATGGGCACCTTCCTCTGCCCCCAGACCAGCCCCATTCTGAGCTAGGGGATGTGATGTGAGATTGTGGAAAGTAAGTTTCCAGAGGCTCTCCACTGAGGTCATTGAAGGACAGACCTTGGTGACATGACTTTTTTTGCTGCCTTATGCCTGTACTCAGCTAGGTGTCAAACCCCAGGACAAGCTGTCTGGTCACTCCACCCCCTTTTGGCCTTTTACCTCCAAAATAGAAGCTGTTTAATGGAGTAACTGACTTTTTACAGCAGGGGAAAATGTTTTCCTTTGCCAGGATTTGTCACCTTTTTCATTTCAGAGCTTACCTGTTTTGAATGCCTCTTTTCCAGCCTCCCCCCACCCCCTATCTTTCCCACTGTCAAACTCTTCTGCCAAAAACAAAAATAGCTTCAGATTTTTCATTTGTAAGGCGTCCACGTCCTAGTAAAACCTTGGCATTTGAGGCATGTGCAGTGCCATTGGCTGGAAATGGGGCCGCACTGTTGTGCCTGTTGCAGGAATTCATACCCAGGCCAGCTCCGGAAGGTGTTGGCTCCTGTCAGGGGGTGAATGCTGCTGTATGAGCTGTGGAGAAGGCCTACTTGAGTGGGTCATTCCTGCAGTGTTGTGGGGTGGGTATGGCCAGTGTGGCCTTGGATATGGTATCTGGTGGGACACTTGTCCTCCCCTTTCACCTCCCAACCCCCACACACAGAGAAAGTAACAATGGGGTAATTGCTCCTTTTTTGGTATGTTTTACCAGGGGGACAGGGGCTGAGCCTCTGGAGACAGCCTGGTGCTTGCTTGGCCTTCTTTAGGAAGATTGCCCTGGATTCACGCATGGGGTAAACATTTGGCTGTGGGACCAGAAGCTTTTATGGTCCCAAGATAGGGAGGGGTTAATTTTTCCTTCCCCTGAGCTCTCAATTATTCATCTGAAAGCAGTTTGTAAAGGACTGGTGGTCCTTGGAGATTGGCTTAGGGTAGAGAGGAGAAGGTGATGGGACTCAGCTTGGCAGGGGCAGGTACCTGGCATTAAAGCTTGGGAATCAGGGTAGAGCAGGACTAGGAGAATGAAAGGGGAAGGGCATCACCCTTTCAGGGGGCAGAACTGTGTGTCTGGCCACACAGGGTTCCACAGGGTGCCTCTGATTCAGTGATCTCTTACTTTTTGCCTCTTGAACCCCCTCAAGATTCTGCCTCTCTGAGCTTTATTCTGGGATAAAACAGGATATTAAGGGTCAAAGATCCAGGGCTCAGAGTCTGGGAGCTTGGTCTCCTTTACTCTCTAGGAAGGTGGCCAGGGGTTCTGTGGGTGAACTAGGCCTTGGATTGCCCCTGGTTTCCAAGTGACACAGGTTGTGTGCCCTGTGCTGAGCACCAGCCTCAGCAGGAATTCCCAGAGCTCCCTTTGCTACCTTGAGGCTCAGGCTAACTCCATCCTCACAGCAGTAAGCCCAGATGCTCTACTTCCTTCTTTGCATGGGTGATTGTCATTAAGAGGTCTCAATGAGACCTAAGCTATAGACTTGATGTCCTGGATCCAGTGGAATCAGGGATCATTTGAGCCAAAGGGTCTTTTGTCATGTTCCTGTCCAATTCTTCTCATTTTACAGAGGAAGACTCTGAGGCCCAGAGGGTGATCATGGCTTGCTTTCACAAATTGAGGATGGGACTGAAACTGGAATTGCAAGGCCTCATGAGCCCTTGCTCATTGCTGCCTGGGGAAGACAGGGAAAGGAATCTCTGCATCTTGCTGTCTTCTCTTGGGAACATCAGTATTGGGCAACACCTAGATCAGGAAAGCCATTTGGCAGTGAGGTGATCAATGGTCTGTTTGAAAATTGTCAGCTCCCATATACACAGAACTTAGCCACTTTGAAAGAGACTTCTGAGCTTCCTTCTCCTTACCTGTAACCTTTGGGCAGAAAAGCCTTTATCATAGGATTTTAGTGGGAATAAATTAAATGTTGTGTGTAAAAGTGTCTCAGACAGTGTCCAGAGCATTGTCAGTGTTCAATAAATGTTAACCAACTCTGAATTGGAACAGAGTTGAACTTGTGAGCTTGCTTCTCAAACATCCCTTGCCCCTTAGAAATAAATCCTAGCTAAGTGCATGCTGAGGAACTACTAAGTCTCCTAATCCTAAACAAAGTATAGTTAGAAGGGTAAATTTCTTCTAGAAAGAAATACAATGCAGGATGTGTTCCTGACTCTTCTATCAGTAGCATGTGGATTACCCACTGCCATGCATGAACGACCTCCATTCTTTCCTCAGTTCCTCAGTTCCTCAGTTCCAGTAATCAGCTCATCAGGCCTGTGCTGTTTTTCTGTTCTCTGAGCAGTGACGCTTACGGGAAATGTCATTGTCATTCCTATTGTCTTCTGCAGCATCTGACTCAACCTCCCTTTATTAGGGAGAGAAGGGACCTGTGACAATTTCCTTTAGCATGCAGATGGGGAAACTGAGGCAGAGATTGGCTTCTTTAGAAAACTCGACTGAGTGAGTCAGAGGCAGATACTTGAATTGGATTCTTCTGATTCAGATCTGTCTTCAGATTTTACTCTGGAGAAAGAACGCTCACCCTTGGCAACCCCTGAAATATATTAGCAAGGCATAGAGTAAAGTTGATGGGAAAAAAAATGGCACATATAAAACCAGGGGTCCCAGCTCGAGCACCTACTGATGCAGTTCACTATGCTGCCTCCTGGGTTGTGATACAAAAGTGGAGGCATCTCGGCCTTTGCCCGAAAGAGCTTAGTGTGGGATAGGGAAAGTTGGGAAGTGGTCTGGCTGTACTCTTGAACTCCACATTGAGACTGCCTGGGTTTAATGGCGCCGCCTACTTATTACATCCTTTAGACAATTATTACAACTCCTTATGCTTCATCTTTCTTTTGTGGGCAAAACATGGCCTACAGTGGTGTCTACCCCTCAGGGTTGTCGGTGGGATCTCTTGAGACGCTCCATGTAAGTGTGTGGTACTGTGCCTGGCACACCATCAGCCCTCAGCAGACTGCCTGAGATGGAATCCCTATTCTGCCACTTTGGGGTTGTCAGACTGCTATGTCTCAGTAAGCTTTAGCTTTCCTTATCTATGAAATGGGGGACACAACAGACTCTTCTTCCTAGGGTTGCTGTGAGGGTTAAATGAGATAATCCATGGGAGACAGTGTAATGCCTTGCATAGCGTAAGTGCTCAATTGTTAGTCATTACTATTAATTAAGATGTATATAAAGTGTGTGTAATCCTAGCTGCGGGGTGATAGGTGCTAGGGAAGAGGGGCAAACAACGAGTCAAGAGCCCAAAGGAAGAAGAGAATCTCATAGTGAGGAGAGGAGGAAGCATCACAGAGAGAGTGATGAATAGGTAGGATTCTAATAGGAGGGGTCCAGGGGAAGGATATTCTCATGAGAGGGAGGAGTGGTCCAGAGGCAGACCTCCCCAGGGTCTGTCCATGAACAGGTCTTGGTCTTATTGCTGGATACTAGGATGGGTGCCTGGGCCATTGGGCTGGAGTATGAAGCTAGGATCTATTTGTGGGAATTCTGGAATGCCAGGCCAAGGAGTTTGGACTTTATTTTGTAGGTCGTGGGGTAAAATACAATCAGAACCTTGCTTTAGGGAGATAACACTGAGCAGAATGGATTTCAGGGGAATAGGAGAAACCGGGTGGGGTGTGAGAGTGAGAGACAAGAAGGCCCGTGGGAAGGAGGCCAGAGGGAGTTTGGGCCTTCATGAGGGCAGTAAGAACTATTGCCTATTATTTGGCAACTCTTTAGAGAAAAATGGTCAAGGTGACAGCCCTGCAGTTAGGGACGTCATGAAGAAAAGGCGAACAGCAGCTTTTTACAAGGAGGCAGGTTCTGTTTAAACCTGTCCACTTCAGAGGCATCTGAGCAGAAAAGTCCAGTGGCAGCTCAGGAGTTTGAGGGAGGTAGAGATCTGAAAAAACTCAAAGAGTTGGGAGTCAGGAGAAGGTGAAGCAGGTTTATAGGGAGAGATGAAGATCGACTCCCATTACAAGTCTTCGTGTAACAGAAAAAATTTTCCAAGACTCACCTCTTCCTCGTTTATTTAAACTTAGAATCACAGCAGCTGAATTCCAGAGGGCCCAAATAATTCCAAGTTAGGATTTGTTCTGTGTGATCAGTTTAGGATTAGTGGAGATGAGTGTGTCAACCCCAAACAATTTCCAATTTCTGTTACGTGTGTTTCCGTGTCACCACATGCCTTCCCACAGATGGTATACATTTGGGGACTGCAGAGTGATTTCACTATCATCTTTAAAAAGCCAGATTTGGGAAGGTAAATCTGCTTCCCAAAGCCAAATATAATTCTCCGTGCCATTGCTCCCTCTGTCCACACAGGTAATGGGGAAGTGCTTATGCAGTGTGGTTTAGAGAGGTGAAGGGACAGGGTAGCCTGGCTCTGGAAAAATCTCTGAGGGTGGAGTGGGGACCAGGTGAGAGAGGCTGGTATGGGAAGGAGTGTTGTTATATAACCTGAGGGAGTTATGGATGGTGGGCAGATGGAGATGGGAGGAGAGGAATCTAGGGACGGCAGTGAGCGCGGATCGGCTTCTTCTGGGGAGGGAGAGAGACGATGCATGGAAGTCAGGTGAACCAAGAAGCCAAGACGCCCTTCACAGAGCAGGGAAAGAGACCCTGCCCAGCCTCACAACCCTTCCCACGTCTTTCCATCATGGCTCTGAGGGTCTGAGGGGAAAAATTTGATACTAGGTTGCTAGGGCAAGGAGTAGGGGCTAAGTGTCCCTCAGAGTAGCACTTTGCCAGGGAGAGCCTTCTCCATGGGAGTTGGGGACAGAACCTCACCAATCCTGGTGGTCACCTGCCATCTCAGAGAATTTTCTGGACTTGGGCAGCCCCAGCCTCTTCCTCACTAGGGAGGAGTAGAAAGAATTGTTTACCTGATCTCACTCATCTACACCCCGTTCCTGATTACCCCAGTGGGTGAAAGAGTGAAATAAAAATTAGCATGTTTATCCCACTTTTAAATTCATTTAATGAGAACTCATCTACCCTCTCCCAATTTAAATTGGTAATAACGCCATAACCTTTCAGAGCTGATTATTACCCACGTCTTGCCAGATCTTCCTGCTAAAGAGGCCTTCCCTCCAAATGCTCTTGAGCCCTCTTGGAGCTTGACGATTTGTCAGGCAGTCAGCAACATCTGGCGATCCCACCCTGCCGAGCTCCAGGAGCTAGGTGTTCTCCCAGTGTCTGGATGGCAAAGAATCAAGTCCCCTCTCTGTGGTGGGGATTTCAGTTTTATTAATCTGCCCTGGAGACTTTGGCCGTTTCACTCACCAGTGATCCTTTCCTGTGTCCCATTTCTTACCTGCCAGTCGATATGGACTCACCGCTTCTCTCTCTCCCCTCCTGTCTCCCAGGGTTTGCTGAACTAACTCCAAGCTGGTGTGCCTAGCGTCCGCGCGGCTGCCGGCCCAAGAGCTGGAGTCACCATGGCGGCCGGAGTTGCGGCCTGGCTGCCTTTTGCCCGGGCTGCGGCCATCGGGTGGATGCCGGTGGCCAACTGCCCCATGCCCCTGGCCCCGGCCGACAAGAACAAGCGGCAGGATGAGCTGATTGTCCTCAACGTGAGTGGGCGGAGGTTCCAGACCTGGAGGACCACGCTGGAGCGCTACCCGGACACCCTGCTGGGCAGCACGGAGAAGGAGTTCTTCTTCAACGAGGACACCAAGGAGTACTTCTTCGACCGGGACCCCGAGGTGTTCCGCTGCGTGCTCAACTTCTACCGCACGGGGAAGCTGCACTACCCGCGCTACGAGTGCATCTCTGCCTACGACGACGAGCTGGCCTTCTACGGCATCCTCCCGGAGATCATCGGGGACTGCTGCTACGAGGAGTACAAGGACCGCAAGAGGGAGAACGCCGAGCGGCTCATGGACGACAACGACTCGGAGAACAACCAGGAGTCCATGCCCTCGCTCAGCTTCCGCCAGACCATGTGGCGGGCCTTCGAGAACCCCCACACCAGCACGCTGGCCCTGGTCTTCTACTACGTGACTGGCTTCTTCATCGCTGTCTCGGTCATCACCAACGTGGTGGAGACGGTGCCGTGCGGCACGGTCCCGGGCAGCAAGGAGCTGCCGTGCGGGGAGCGCTACTCGGTGGCCTTCTTCTGCCTGGACACGGCGTGCGTCATGATCTTCACCGTGGAGTACCTCCTGCGGCTCTTCGCGGCTCCCAGCCGCTACCGCTTCATCCGCAGCGTCATGAGCATCATCGACGTGGTGGCCATCATGCCCTACTACATCGGTCTGGTCATGACCAACAACGAGGACGTGTCCGGCGCCTTCGTCACGCTCCGGGTCTTCCGCGTCTTCAGGATCTTCAAGTTTTCCCGCCACTCCCAGGGCCTGCGGATCCTGGGCTACACACTGAAGAGCTGTGCCTCCGAACTGGGCTTTCTTCTCTTCTCCCTCACCATGGCCATCATCATCTTTGCCACTGTGATGTTTTATGCCGAGAAGGGCTCCTCGGCCAGCAAGTTCACAAGCATCCCTGCCTCGTTTTGGTACACCATTGTCACCATGACCACACTGGGGTAAGTCAGCGCTGGTGGATGAAACCAGGACGGAGGTTGGAGGGCAGCTGGATGACCTCTGAAACCTTGGATGGTGTCACCATGGGTAGAGGAGGAGGGAGTCCCTTACCCAAGTGTTGGGGGCAGGGGAAGTTGCTCTATCCGAAGGGTAAAGCCCATGAGTCATCTGTTTGGGGGTGGTAGCTTGCTGGGAATTGAGTTTTCTTTTTGAGGTCGGGGCATGTGTTTTATAGAGCTAAGAAAATTAAGTCACCAATTCTTTTTTCAGCCATGCCTTGTGTGCGTGTGAAGTCTCGGGGTGAGGTGATGTCTGCATTTGTATATGCATTTGCGCATATGGGGCAGCGTGGGGAGAAGGTCAGGGCAGTTGTTGGGGAGGGAGGAGACTGTTGAGAAGTTCGGAGGGTTCAGATGTCCATTACCAGAAGACACCAAGAGCACTCTTTTTGGATCCTTTCTGCATTTTTTCTTTGTAGTATATTTTGCAGGCCATTTTCCCATTTGTTATGCTTTTCTCCTGTGCTGCCACAGACACTCAAGCGTTCAGTAGCTCTGAGCAGACTTTCTCTAAGTGACTCTGAACCTGGATTTTTCGCAGTAAGGCACGTGGTTTATTCTTTCTTTCTAAAGCAGTATCAGTCTTGCTTTTTAGTCTGAGTCAGTGATTGAATGACCTGGGTGACTGTGAGATGGTCTGAATGGATCATGTGGTCAGACACAGAAGCAGCAATATCATCAGAAGGAGGGACAGGTGCTCGGTGAGGTCATGGTAATTCCGTCTCTCCGAGGTCTCCTCTCCAGCTGAGGTCACAGAAATGTATTCATGATGCTGGGATGTGAAGCTTTCCATCAGAGGAAGGGGGCTCAGGAAGGAGATTACAGTCTTCACCCTAGCAGGATTATAGCCAATAAAGGTGGCTTTATGGAAACATAGATTTCTTAGGGGTTTCTGCCTCAGCTATTAGAAACCATGGAGCCTAATGCAAAATCCCTCCACAATTCATATACTGGGTCTATATTTGCTTAGGCTAGGAAGCGTTATATTGCTGATGGAGAATTCATGAAGCTTTTTATTTTGTCTTTGACAGTGTGGTTGGTGGTGTCCTGGTGATTTGATTTTTTTTTTTCCTGGCCAAAACCCAGAGGCAATAGTGTTGGTTTTTCCATAGTGCTGCGTATGCTTATTGGGAATGACTGAGCAGGTGACGAGACCTTTTAAAATGATTACATTTGTCATTCTGCCACACACAAGAGGGAGGGAGTAGCAAGGGGAAGAGCAAGGGTGTCACCATCCATTTGTGAAGGCCACATTTGATTGGGGCATTCCCTTTACTTCTTATCTGTCTGACAGAACCACCCTGCCCCTTCCTCCCACTCCAACCCACACACACACACACACACACACACACACACACACTCTTCAAATGGCTGCTCACCCAGAGTGGGTAAGAATGTTTGGTCATTTGACCTTGTTTCTCTTGGCTCAGGTGGCAGATGTGGGCTTTTTGGCACAGTGGGGTATTTTGGAGATAAAATGGACTGGAGAGCTTGTGCTGTCAAGAGGTCGTCTTTATCCCTTTTAGGCTGACCCTAGCCATCCCTTCACCTTCCTGAAGGGGACCTCACCCATGGCCAGACACCTCACTTCCACTTCTAGTCAAGCTCCTGATGTGGCTCTGACTGCCCAGTGCCCTCAGATGCCCCTTGATGGGACTCATGACATCAGAGAGATCCTTCAGGATAGCCATGTGGAGGAAAACAGGCATGGTGATAGCCACCTACTCATTACTTTTTATTAGTAGTATAACAGCATATGATTGTCTACTATATGTCAGCAGTGTACTAAGAACTTTGCATATATTATCTCTTTAAGTTTTTACAACAGCCCTGCAAGGTTGGAAAAAATTCTGTACCCTATAAAGATGCAGAAGCTGAGGCTCAGAGAGACTATATAAACTTCCATAGTCACGTAGCTGATAAGGAGCAGAACTAATTTTCAAATACCAATCTGGCTGCTCCAATGCCCTTTCTCCTTTCACCCTACTACTCATTCCCATGCCATCAGGGCCCCTAGGTAGAAATCAGACCTTCAGGGTTATTACTTTTTTATTATGGCCTCAGGGTGTGATATTCTCTTCTAGTCATATTGCCAGTCAAGAAAGCATCAGCCCAATGAGTACTATATGCCAGGCACTGTACCAGACACACAGAGATTTTAAAAATAAAACATTTCCTTCTGAGCAGTTTAAATACTGACTTAGAAGTTAATGGTGATTAATCCATGTTTTAATGCTCTGGGGAAACCGCTGACTTCTTTTGTCATTCACCCTGTAGATTAAGGGGCAAGTCCAGCATCAAAGTGGAGTATCTTGGTCTCATTTTTACTTTCTTGGGAGGGAACTGATAGATTCTGCTGGAGGGTGAAAGGAAAGGTGCCTGCACTAGGGAGAAGCATGCTTTCCCTGAACGTGGACCTGGTGGGTTCCCTCACCCCACATCTGACAATGAACAAGTTTGTTTTACCTTCCCCATGCATTTAAATGTCTAGCTTCTGGGAGGAGAACCAAATGGGCAAGAAAGGAAACCTTTAGTAGTGTCTTCCTTAAACTCAGATAAGTAATGAGAAAGCAACCTTTTTCTTTCCCTCTTTCCTAGCTAGTGTAGGTCATTGCTGGGTCAGGCTACTTTGACTTTGACCTGAGTTGGCAGTTGACACCATTACCAGGCTCGTTGCTTGATTATACATAGCAAGCACTTGGCAAAATGCTTTTTAGTGGATGAGCCAGTGTGAATGGAGTGCCTCTTCCATTTGCTTGACCTGATACTATTCTCAGTCCCTTCTAGACCTACTTGTCCTCTCTAGAAGGTAGACCTAAGATTTCAGCCTGCACAGCCTGCAGCCCCCTCAGATATGTGTATTCTGCCCCAGCCCTGGTCCCCCAGGAGGGAGGTGAGCAGCCTTTACTTGGTGTATGATCTATTCCCTGGGCTGCCCTGCAGTACTGTGGAGATCTTCTTGTCTTTACTGGAGGTTTCACTGACGTGACCTTGGAAACTTTTCCCTCTTCCATGGCTAGTTTCTGTCCTGACCACATTCATGGTTAGTTGTAGCCTTGTTCAACCATTCCAGAAAGCCCATTTTTTCCTTTACACTGGCATTTGAGTCCAAGTGGCCATGGAATACCAAGGACCAATATCTTGCCATCATTCAGTTGCTTCTAACAGCTCACAGCAGATATCTACCTCTTCCTTTCTCCAGACACTCCCTTCCCTGGTCCTTCCCTGAGTTCCTATTTCCAGTCTGGAGCGGGAATGTCTCCAGCTCTTCTGCAGAGCAGGGCCGACTGATGCACAGAGAGCTGATACGTGGAGTAAAGGCATTCACTCTTCCTGCTCTGGTTGCCCTCTCTGCCTGCTTTCCCAGCACCTCGTTGATGAGTTACTCAGGTGTCCTCCAGGGAGGGATCTCCTGGAACCAATTATTACCGTTTAGTTAATATCTCAGAATACCTTAAGCACACAAGAACAATAACAGCCCAGCTG